>NC_000003.12:119160119-119463149 GCF_000001405.40 Homo sapiens | reverse complement strand
CCTGCACTTTTCTTTCCCTTTGCTTGTTAATGGAGCAAGGACCAGCAGCCCCTGCATCCAGCGGTTTGAATGCTTTGTTTGACTTGGGGTTAGTTTACAGCCGAAGGCTGTTAGGAATAGGGAGCATTTGAAAACACGGGTTTTTTCCAGTGTCATCCTTGGGTTTTAGTTGTATTGTTTAGGAAACATTGGTATCCATGTTGACAGAATCATGATTTTTGCCGTAGAATGATGAAAAGAGCTTTTTTTTTTTTTTCCAGTGAGGATCTTTATCTTTTACTTGCTTCTTAATCTTGCAGTTTCAGTAATTTCTGTATGATTTTACACCAGCTTTTCTGGAGCGGGCATCCCCTTGAAGAGTTTCTTTCAATATTTTAACCCTAACATATAGAGATACCACTCGAACAGTTTTACTTTTAAACTGTTAAAAGAACTACTGGTACCCTTTCATTCCACTTCCTCAGTCCTGACAACCTCTGCAGAACAGGGGACACTCCCCCCCCCCGCCCCCCCCCCTTGAAGAAACACACTCAGAAGAACACACTCAGAAGTTAACTTATCCGGATAAGGTCAGATAATATGTGACCATCTGAGCTCACAAGCCATATCCCTTGATAACAAAACCTAATGTTTTATAAAGTGCCAATTCTTCTATATTTCAAGTAGTTTAAGTGTGAAACATTGAGCTGGAAATGTATAAGGTGTGATGTTTCTTGTAAACTTCTATTTGATTATAATATCTTACAGATGATACAAATCAGTTGACAAAAGACACAAATCATCACTTGCCTAAAGCTGAACAGAGCTTAGATCAGAACTTAGGCTTTTGACCCATTAGAGTCTGAGTAGTCCTTTAATTCGAATAACGTAAGTAGTAGACACTGGGAACATTCGTTTGAAAATCTTATTTTGTAAGGCCTGCTTACTCAGTGTTTGTCGTTGTTTTGTTGCCTACTTTAAAAATAGTCTACTGATGTTTAAATGTTTTTGTTGTCGTTCAGAGTTGAAACTGGTTGACAACCATTAACCTGGGTTGCAACTACAGGTGGCACTGGAAGCAGACTGGTTCCTGGACATGCCCGGTGGAAGGAGGGGCCCTAGTCGGCAACAGCTAAGCCGTTCAGCTTTACCTTCTTTGCAGACTTTGGTTGGTGGAGGCTGTGGCAATGGAACAGGCTTGAGAAACAGGTAAAGAAAAAATAAGGCTATATATAATTTTAATGTCCTTTGATCAGTAAGACTAACATAAAAGTCATCATGTCATTCAGATATTTGCTTATTGAGATTTATTCTTGACACTGTGGTAGAAATCCTGCCCTTCAAGACAAAATTCAGAATTCCAAAATACTTTGGAGGTAAAAAGATGTGAAATGGGGCCCACAAAGTGAAAGCAGTCCCATTCTTTATTTTGGCTGATCATCTAAATTCTTGTTATCCCCTTTTTATCTATTAGAAGAAGGGAGAAGTGAATGAAAATACAAGGTAAGTGTGATGGTTTATCTACTTATAAGCATTCTTTTTTTAGAGGGCAAATTATAAGTCAAATTCCATCAAGGATTTTAAATTGTCAAAAAATTGTTTGGTCTTAATAAATGTTAGCTGTTTTTTAGCTGGGTTAGCCCATGCCATCAGGAGGTTTGATAATGTAGCAGTTCAAAGAGATACTTTTACCTAATGAAGTATTTGCTCAAGATATTTTCTGCCAGCTAATTTCTCCTTCCTCCCTGAAAAAAGTTTTTCTCTTGTCTTGATTTTAATTTTCAGAGCTAGCAATCAGTACTACTGTATTTTCAGGCCTGTCTAATGGTATTTATGCACTTTTGTTTTCTAGGCCTGACCTTTGTCCTTTTTTTTTCCTGACTTTCCAATCCCTCTTCCACCCAATCTTTAAAATTAGTTCTGATCTCATCATTTCAGTGGAGCTCTCCCTGAAATTCCAGTTTGAAGGGATTTTTCCAGTCTCCGATTCTCATACTAATTTTTAATCCGAGTTTTGTTTATGTATGTATACAGAGTAACTAGTTTATGCTAGAGTATTTTTTACTCTGCCGTTCGTTGGATTTCCTTATTTTAAAAATGATGGTACTGTTTGCATCATAGCAGGATGTTGAAATAAATGAAGTAGTAAATTGCAGTAACTTTAAAAAACTTTACTGAATTTTACAAAATTTCTACAAATAAGTATTATTTTATATACTTAAAAATAAGAATGAGAATATGCGAAAATGCTTTTGAAGAAAGGTACTATCTAATATAGGTATTGAGATAAAAGTTGTTTGCTCTTTGAGGTACATGCCTTAATTTTATTAATATATGCTATCAACTTATTGATTCAGTACTTTCAAATTGTGATAGAAAATCTTAGCTGTCCCTAACTAGGATTCTAGCCAACTAAAAAATTCTAACTTTGCCTCCTAACTCTAGCAGTTCTTTGTTCGTTCTCTTTGACTTTGGCTTTGAGGATTCCTCTAGATAATTATGTTCTCTAGATAAAAATGTTCTTAGACTGTCCCATGAAATCCCTCTTCAGTGTCTCAGGGGTTGCTGTAGGAGGGCTTAGAAGGGAAAATGGATCAGGCAAGCCTAACAGTCTAGGCTTGAGTTTTCCTCGTCTTCTTTTAATTAGACTGACTCATTTTCCTATGTGTTTTAAATATTAAGATACTATGTAAAATATCATGAGGAAAGGAAAATAAAGCGTTCTGCTATTAAAAAGAACTGAAAGCCAATGAAAATGTCATTTGTAGATGCTTCTGCTTGCACTTAGAGTCTGCAGATGGTATACTGGGAAGAAGTAGGAACGTTCGGAAAATACCTCGGCTCTTGACTGGGTTTGGTATTCTTTTCTCTGCCTTCACTGTAGCTCTTCTATCCTGGTATTCAAGGTTCCAACCATGGTTGCTTTAATCTGCCTTTCTCTCCTCCTTTAACATATGTTTATTTAGCAATTAACTGGGGGGAGGGAGGGAGTGGGTAGAAAAAAGTATTTTCCAACATTTTAAAATGAAAGAAATAATTGTTTATGGTTTGAAAAGTCACCAAGACTATTATTGAGTGATTATTTGTGACATGTTTACCTAGAGAAATTATTTGGGGAAAAGAAAGCTTTATATTTCTTTCTTGGTGGGAAGCAAGCAGCTGGAATAATTTGTTATAAAAGACCTGGGGACGAGGTATGAAAACATGAAAGAACTAGCGGATAGCTTATAATATAGTTTTAGGAAGGATATATAGAAAGAAGGAGTGTCCAGATGAGGAGAACTCACTTCTGGAGTGTCTATAGAGTATTGGAGGGAAATAGATAATTGCTTCAGTATTACATACTTTTGGATGATACATTTGATTCTGCAAGACAGACATAGGTCAGCTGGAGAGGAGAGAATTTGTCCCTGTTTGGTAGGTGCTTGTGGTCTGATTGGTGAAGTTAAACTCTAGAATGTCAAGGAGCTAGTTTGGTAACACAGTCAAGGTTGAAATTGTAGTTCCTTGTCCTGCTGTCCACCTTTGGGGAGCAGGGATTTGTTCTTGCAACAGTGTATTTAAAGTATTATCCTTTTAAAAAAGGAAGATATATTGTGTATTTCTGGATTTCTTAGAGAGTTCCTGATTGAGGGAGAATCTTATTTGAGAAGAACTATTGTTTTCTTTGCTTATTCCTTGCATATACTTTGTTAATAATATCACCTGAACGTGTCCAAATGACCACTGCTTTCCCTACCTCTTCTATTCCTCTTTATGCCTTTGAATCTTTCTTCTTTCATCCATTTGCTTCCCTAAATTCTGCTGCTTGCTGGCTCCATACCAGTCAGTCTCAGGCCTGCTGTGTTAACCCTTTGCCACACACAAACTTTATATGCAAGGACAAAACACAGGTGTTCAGCATAAACCACATTGTTTGTATAAACAGTTTAGGCACAGTGAGCCACTCTAGTTATTTAGGGAAAGTTTATATCACTGTAGGGAACTGTTTACTAGTCATGGTTCCCAGATGTAAGCCTTGTAAGCAGGCCTTCCTAAGAGTAGCTATGTTGAACACCTGCATTCTTTTTGGGAGTCTAGAATTTTGGTACTGCTAGAAAGAAGGTGCCCATGTGGCCAGCCCCCAATAAAAACCCTGGGCATCAAGTCTCTAATGAGCTTTCCTGGATGAGTAGCACTTCACATGTGTTGTCACAACTCATTGCTAGAGAATTTATATGGGTTCTGAATAGATTCTTAAATCTATTTTTATATTCTTTTTTTGGTTTTGTTTTTGAGATGGAGTTTCACTCTTGTTGCCCAGGCTGTAGTGCAATGGTGCTACCTCAGCTCACCACAACCTCCGCCTCCTAAGTTCAAGCGATTCTCCTGCCTCAGCCTCCCAAGTAGCTGGAATTACAGGTGTCCACCACCATGCCTGGCTAATTTTTGTATTTTTAGTAGGGATGAGATTTCATCATGTTGGCCAGGCTGGTCTTGAACTCCTGACCTCAGGTGTTCCGCCCGCCTCGGCCTCCCAAAGTGCTGGGATTACAGGTGTGAGCCACCACGCCTGGCCAAGAAAAGTTTTAATATGACTCCCAGGTTTCTGATGTGGGCAGCTAACTGAGTGGGCCATGAACTAAGGTCAGGACTATAGGAGGGAAGAACACAGAGATGTCCAGTAGGGAGTTGAATAATGTGTCTATAATTTAGCAGTGAGCTCTATGGAGAGAAATTATAGTCTTCATCATGTAGGAGATAATGGAGGCCATAGCTGCATCTTAGATCACTGACAGAAAGTGTGGAGGGAGAAAAGAGGATCCCAGGATGGAGTCTTGTGGGGAAAGCAGACAGTGAAGGGGTAGATGGAGGAGACAGCAGGAGCCCTTTATGTTCTGTGATACTGGAGGTTATCACCATTTGAGTTAACCATAGTTTTCTCTTTCAGGAATGGTAGTGCTATTGGCCTTCCAGTCCCACCTATCACAGCCTTAATCACCCCAGGTCCTGTTCGTCATTGCCAAATTCCTGACTTGCCTGTGGATGGGAGCCTACTCTTTGAATTCCTTTTTTTCATCTACCTGTTGGTTGCTCTTTTCATTCAGTACATCAACATTTATAAAACAGTGTGGTGGTATCCTTACAATCATCCTGCTTCTTGTACATCACTGGTAAGTCTTACTCAGACTTTAAGTTCTTCATGTTACTTACCCAAGAAACTACCTGGAAAGCCTTTCTGTAGAAATTGTTTTTCTTAATAATTTTTCTTTTAATAAAATGTTTTTCTGCTAGGCCACAGATTACTTTCAGAAATAAAATTTCATGATAAGATGGTTAAATTATAAGTACTACCAGAGGAAGTAAAAATATAAATGAAAATGCAGAAAACATTTAAATAATTTTTTATAATAATATCACGGAAAGGTTTTGGTATTTAGTTTTCTCTACACCATTTTAAATTTGTAAGTATAAGGTGTCAGTGTTACTACATTCTAACAACTCTACCCTTTTAATGGCTGAATTAGGATAGTGGTAGCTTCTGTAACAAATAAACTCTGAGGCAGTTGTCCTGGTTGCCAGGAGTTCTTCAGGGGACCCAGGCTGATGGAGATTCTACTGTCTTCCAACATGTGACCTCCAAGGTGGCTGTGGCCCATCCCTGTCAGCCAGAAGGGGAAAGAGCTTAGGGCAATGTAAAGGACAGTTTCTTATGGGCCAGGCTTACATCATTTCCACACATGTCCACTCCTAATTACAAGAGAAGCTAAATATAGTCCTTTAGCTGGGTACATAGTGAACTTAAATCAAATTGGGAAATTGGGAAGTGAAATTGAGAAATTGGCTGTCTTTGCTGAAGTACATAAAAATATATTGTAGGTTTCTTCTGTTCTCTTTCCATTTATTAAGAGTACCATGATAGGCCGGGCGCGGTGGCTCACGCCTGTAATCCCAGCACTTTGGGAGGCTAATGCGGGCGGATCACGAAGTTAAGAGATCGAGACCATCCTGGCTAACACGGTGAAACCCTGTCTCCATTAAAAATATAAAAAATTAACCGTGTGTGATGGCAGGCGCCTGTAGTCCCAGCTACTTGGGAGGCTGAGGCCGGAGAATGGCATGAACCCGGGAGGTGGAGCTTGCAGTGAGCCGAAATCGAGCCGCTGCACTCCAGCCTGGGCGACAGAGCGAGACTCTGTCTCAAAAAAAAAAAAAAAGAGTACCATGATAGTCTTGATGCAGAGAAGGTTCACCATAGATGGGTATATAAAAAAATATTGGTAAGGCCTGGGCATGGTGGCTTATGCCTATAATCCCAGCACTTTGGGAGGTGAAGGCAGCAGGATTGCTTGAGCCCAGGAATTTGAGACCAGCCTAGGCAACATAGTGAGACCTTGTCTCTACAAAAAATAAACAAAATTAACTGGGCATGGTAGTGCACACTTGTGGTCCTAGTTTCTGGGGAAGCTGAAGTGAGGATTGCCTGAGCCCAGGAGATCAAGACTACAGTGAGCTAAGATTGTGGAAACTGTACTAAGGCTAGTCAGATGACTTGACAGATAGGTTGTTGGCAATGGCAGATTTGCATGAGTGATAGAGATAGGCTCTAGGCGAAAGAAGACTATTGTCTTATATATGTGTTTGGGACTAATAAAGATTAGAAAGCCTCCCTATCATGGTGAACATAGAAAGGAAATGTGGGCCAAAATCCTTAAGATAGTATGGAAAGAGAATAAAAATTTTTGTTTTAAATATTTGTATCATTTGGTTGTTCCTGGTATTAAAAATTTTCTTGCTATATTGACCTCCTGTCTACTTAATATCATGTGATAAGAATGTCAGTTTCTGTGTTGAAAAATTGCAATGATATAGTGCCAAATTTTTTTTTAAGTCTTTTTTTCTTATCTGGATTAAGAGCTTATTGAGTGTAGGAACTGTACTTCATTCATCCTTTTTGGCCATGGTGTTTTAAAAGAAAGAAGTTGGATTGGATGTTCTTTAAGGCCTTTTACAGCTATATAGTTCTATAAATAAATACTCACTATCTTAACAGTGTCAATAACGAACACACATTAAAATATTTAGATTATTTACAAGTATTATCTCATTTGCTCTTTATAAAAATGGGTTGGTACCGTTATATGACTCCCATTTTATATATGAATGTAAGACAAAATGGGTAGGTACCATTATATGACTCCCATTTTATAAATGAATGTAAGACCTATAAACTGGTTCAAAAATCACATAGCGGCATAGTGAGTGCCCAAGTCCAGACCAATCTACTGTGCTTTACTTCCTGTTTTAGTCCTATATTTATTCTGTAAGTGCTTCTTGGGTAGTTCATTATAAAATTTCTACTTGGGTTGACATTTCCCTGGAAACTTCTCATTTGTTGAATTTTCAGTCTCATCGAAGAGTTCTTTGCCCAATCTAACATATCTGACTATAGTTCTTTAGAAAGTCACCTACAAATACTGCCTTGAAACAGGGAGCCAGTGTTCTTGTCATAATCAGGAACCTGCTGTTATAGCTGCTGACTCCAGAATTAATGCTTCCTTTGCTTTGACCCTTACCACCAAAAATGGATGCCTTTTGCTACCTTTCCCCCTAACTTCACTCACTTCTATTCAAGTTTTATATGATGCCTGTGGTTGACAGAACCTAAATCGTATCTAGAGTCTGAGTTGCAAGAAAGTTTGGAAATGTCATTTTTAGCTTTCCAGCCTCTGCAGTAGAGGAACGCACACTTAATGGAGGTTGTAGAGTAGATTGGCTCACTTATCTGATGCACATAATCTTTGCTAACACAAAGCTTAAAATTGGATTGTGAAGCCAAGAGTAACATGTGAAATAGCAAATAAGAGTTTAGCCCATGAATCTGAAAGGAGCCTGTATCAGTGAGTTGTTCAAAGATAGATTGGACTGCCGGAGATCAAGTTATTTCCCATCACTGAAGGTATTGAAGTGTGGAAGGTGGTTACCTGGTCAGGAGGCTCTAGCAAGGACTTCTGTCCCAAATATGTGGTCTGTCTTTTAAGTTTTCTTCTATTATGAGTGTCTGGGTCAGATACTCATAATAATTTTGTCAGATTTATTTATTAGGTTTTTATTTTTCCATTTCAAGACCTTAATATCAAAAAGAAAATGTGGACACCTGAATATGTGAAGTATCATTCTAGCTGTCAACCAATTAACTGAATGAGTCTTAACCCTAAGAAACATAAAAGCTAGAAGTAGTAAATATTCAGAATAGTCAGGAATAGAGGGCTCTGATTAATCAAATATTCTGGGTTACAAAGAGTTAATCATAAGCACATTACCATTTTCATTGATTTGGTTATAACATGATTTGCTTAACAAAAAGATGTATTAGGCACTTAAATATTTTGATTTTTTTTTTGAGACGGAGTTTGGCTCTGTCAGCAGGCTGGAGTGCAGTGGTATGACCTCTGCTCACTGCAACCTCCGACTCCCTGGTTCAGCGATTCTCCTGCCTCAGCCTCCCGAGTAGCTGGGATTACAGGCATGCACCACCATGCCCAGCTAATTTTTGTATTTTTAGTAGAGACAGGGTTTCACCACATTGGCCAGGATGGTCTTGATATCCTGACCTCATGATCTGCCTGCCTTGGCCTCCCAAATTACTGGGATTACAGGCGTGAGCCACCGCACCCGGCCAATATTTTGATTTTTAAAAATGTCTTAGATGGACTGGTGATGCATTAATAAGACCCAGACATCAGCCAGGGGTCGAGTGAATCTGCATGCATTATTTTGGAGGAGTAGGGTAGGCAAGGAGGAGTCCCAAAAATAGGAGGGGATAAATACTGTTAGAATCCATTATACTTAGAGAGGGAGAAAAGGAAATGATCTAAGGAGTGGCAAGCCACTCTTGACATTCTGGCTGTACTATCTCTAAAATGTATACTAAATTTGGCCACTTAATTCCATCTCCATTGCTACTCACACTATTCAGTCTGTTATCATTTTTCACTCGAATTAAAAGCAAGAGCTTCTTAACTGATCTTGCCCCACTACAATAATTATCTCACTCCAGCCTTCTTGCTGCTTTTTAGACACACTAGGCATATATTTTCCTGTCTTAGGGCCTTTGTGATTGCTTTTTCTTCTGTCTGGGGCCCTTTGTCCCCAGAGCTTGTAATGCCAGGTGCCTTTTTGTCATTCAGCTCTCAGCCCAAATGCCATCCTCTCAGAGATAGCCTCCCTAACCACCAGTTTAAATGGGCTCTGCACCTCCTTCTTAGTCATTATTTGTTACTGTTTTATTTCTTACAAGCAGTTTTAACTATTTAAAATGCTTTTGTTTGGGAGCTTGTTTATTGTCATTACTTGCCCTGCTTCTCCAAACAAATTTATTGAAGATATGGGTTTAGCTGCCATAACAGGGTGGCTAAAACAAAATAGAAACTTATTTCCCTATTTAATAAACGTTTAGGTGGGTGATATAACATCAGCATGGCAACTCTTTGTATTTATTGCTCTTCCATCCCCAATATGCTTCTTCCAAACCATGGTCCAAGGCAGGTACTCTAACTCCAGTTATCATATCTGACCAGCAGGAAGGAGAAAGAAAAGAGAAAAGGGGACAGCTCTTTCTAGAAGAGTATGGCTTAGAAGTTGTGCGTATTACTTTTTCACTCATCCCTTGGCTAAAAGTAGTTTTTGCAAGGGAGGCTGGAAAATGAACCTTTAGCTGGCTAGGAGTCAGTGCCTAGTTAAATTTTATGGTGATGCAGAAGGAACGAATAGTAATCTCTGCCATTTCCTTTCCCTCTGACACCACAGTAGAAAGTAAGACCCAGGAGAGCAGGAACCTTGGCTGTCATCTTCCACACTGTATCTTTAGTGTGAAGGAGAGTACCTGGTGCATTGTGGATGCTATGTATAGATTTATTAAATTAAGTAATCAAGAAATTTAATGTTTCATTCTGGAAGGAATTGTGGAAACCTACAGACCTTTTGATCATCAAAATGAAAATACATCCTGATTTTGGTGGTTCCTGGGATATTGTTGCTAAAGACTTTTCATTTGCTTATTACCACAGTTGTATATACAGATTTAGAACTAGAAGGAACTGTAGACAGCATCTAGGTAATGCTATTATTTTTTAGAAGAGACCAAACATAAGGCATACTTCTAAATCAAACTAGGAGAAACACTAAATGAGTATAATTGATGTACCATCTAGTAGAGAATTTAGTAGATGCCCAATTAGATTAACATAAGCTTGTGTAAGAGACCAACAACAGTAACTTCTGAAGACTGAATCCCAACTGATAGTTTGACACATTATAAATATGCCATTTTATATAAATTATTCTTGCCATAATTCTGCAGGTTATAACTTGTTAACTCAAAGCTGCAATCTTTTCCTTTTAGTACAGTAATACTTTTGAAAAGGGAGAGGAATATATTGCAGGTAGTTTAAAATAGTGTTTAAAAACTTAAAGCAATTTGTTATGAAAGAAGAAGTAGAAGGTACGTAGTCTCTTCAAGATCTCTCATATTCCCATAATCTGTAAGGGTGTGGTGATCTAAGGAAGATCTTTTGAGGGATAAACCTCTATTCTTGTAGTAGTGCCAGCTGAATACACATCATATTTCTTTCTGATGTAGTTATTTATTTCTGTTGTAGAATTTTCATCTCATTGATTATCATCTGGCAGCATTCATCACAGTGATGCTTGCGAGGAGGCTTGTATGGGCTCTCATCTCAGAGGTAACAGTTCATTGACTATATTCTATCACATGTAGCTAGAGTTAGTTACTAGAATGGGTGCAGGTTAAAAACGTGACGTGTCCCCATTTAATGAAACAATAAATTACTTTACTCCCATGTGAGTTCTGCCAGTACTTTAAAAAATGTTTCCCTGCAGTGTAATTTTTTAAAATTCAAGTGTCAAAAACTGTTAGAAAATTCATTCGTAGGGTCGGAGCTTGTGTTCCGCTACTGAGTTTTTCAGTACAATTTAAACAATTTAAATAGTTTCAGTAAAAATAGGATGAATTTCAGGTAACTATTAATACGAAGTGTTATCTGTACACATACAATTGCACCTAAAACATTCAGTTCCAGATAATATTCACTTGATACTGTTTATATATACCATTTGAGAAGATTGTTAGCAAGAAACATTTATTTGAGTTTCTTAGAATTTTAAAAACCAGTGAGTATCAGAATTCGTATAGGATTAATCTGAAGATTAGAATCTAAGTTTAGTGAGCAGAATGAGAAAGAATTAGAACATTAAATGATCTTTTTAAAATTAAAAATTGTTGACAGAGCTAGGCCATTGGTATCATTTTTCTTTCCTTTTTTTTTTTTTTTTTTTTTTGAGACGGAGTTTCACTCTTGTTGCCCAGGCTGGAGTGCAGTGGCATGATCTCGGCTCGCCACAACCTCTGTCTCCTGGGTACAAGCGATTTTCCTGCCTCAGCCTCCCAAGTAGCTGGGATTACAGGCATGCGCCACCACGCCTGGCTAATTTTGTATTTTTAGTAGAGACGGGGTTTCTCCATGTCGGTCAGGCTGGTCTCGAACTCCCGACCTCAGGTGATCCACCTGCCTCGGCCTCCCGAAGTGCTGGGATTACAGGCGTGAGCCACCATGCCTGGCCTCATTTTTCATATATTTGTAAATCCCAATGAGGCAGGGAAATGTGCTTTCTTAAAATATTGTTATCTTGTGCTCTATAAGTGATTACAAAAACAAAAAATGTTAATTTAGCTGAAGTGGCTAATAATTTTAATCTTGGAACTTATAATTCAGTGTGAAATTTTAAATGAATAGTTACTATAATCACAAATAATTGAGAGTCAACTTCTTTTTCCCAAAACATACATGGAAGGTCTGTGTGTGTAAGCTCTGATTTTCAGGAACCCTATTTCTGGAAGCAGAGTAACTGGAAATACTAAGTCAAGATCTGAAAACCATTTGAAGTTAACCAAAAAGCACAGGTAGTAGGATTCCTTGTTTTTCACAGTAGGAACGTCTGTTTATAATCTTTTCTTTCAGAGTTTTTATTTAGAGGATGGAAATAGAAACTCACTTTTTGTTATATTGTGAAAGCATGTTCTTTCTTTAGAGGATCTCAGTGGAATTTTATGTTTTCATTTGTTAAAATAGGAAATGATTTTGTTTCATTCCTTCAGTTACTTGGACATGCTACTTGTACATGTCCAATTAGTATGCCCAGTTAGTGTGTAACCCTTCAAAACTGGGATTTCTACCTTGTTGCTGCAAAGATAACTTAAATGCCCTAAAAGTAGTATAGCAGCTTTTGCATAGCCTTAGTTGGAATAGGCTTGCAATTCTTTTTTTTTTTTTTTTTTTTTTTTTGAGATGGAGTCTGGCTCTGTCGCCTAGGTTGAAGCAGGAGCACAGTGGTGCCATCTCAGCTCATGCAACCTCTGCTTCCCAGGTTCGAGCGATTCTCCTGCCTCAGCCTCCTGAGTAGCTGGGATTGCAGGCGCCCACGACCATACCCAGCTAATTTTTGTGTTTTTAGTAGAGACAGGGTTTCACTATGTTGGCCAGGCTGGTCTCGAACTTCTGGTCTAAAGTGATCCACCCACCTTGGCCTCCCAAAGTGCTGGGATTACGGGTGTGATCCCAAGTGCCTGGCCAAGGCTTGCAGTTCTTAATGGGAACAGAATACTTAAGCTAAATTTAAACATCGTTTTATCAAAGTCTTAATTCTATAACTTAATGTTCATCAGTAAGGGAATGTTTAAATAATTTTGGTACATCTACATAATGGAATAGCATACAGCCATTGACAACATGAAAATGTGTTTATGTATTGACCTCCAAGATGTTAAATGAAAAAAGCAAGGTGCAGAACAGTGTTTAAAATGAGACAGGAGGGAACAAAATATATTTGCTTATATATGAATAAATTGTTTCCAGAAGGACATACAAACTAATAACAGGTTGCACAGTTGGTGGCTAGGAGACAGGATCAGCAGGTGGGAAGCTTTTCACTACAAGCACTGTTACATGTTTTGTGTTTTGAGTGATATGAATGTGTTACCTATTCAAAAATTTAAAATAAGAGCTGTATAGTGATTTTCCTCCTAAAATATCTAAATTAGATGGATAAAACCTATCATAAATCATCTTTCCTTCCTTCCATTAAAATATGTTTTCCTCCTTTTTTTGCATATATCACAGAAAGGATCCCTACCCTGAGAAAGATCAATAATATTTAAGGAGAGGCTGCTGGTAATTAATTCATAAACGGAAATGCTATTCAGAGAGGACTACCTCTCCACGTAGGTAGAGTCCGTTTATTCACCTTCAGGCCAGCTCTGCCTGTTCACCTCCAGGCTAACTCTACTTCTATACTTGCTTCACAAGACTAGAAATAAATTTAGCTGTTTTTTCACCAACCTGAAGCAACTCTCTTTTTAAAAATTGTTTTTCTAGGAAAATAGTATATTTTATTGAAAAAAATTTGGAAAACACTAAAATATAAAGCAGGACATTTAAAAATTGCTCACAATCTCATTATTGAAGACCACTTTTTTTGGGGGGTGGGGGGCAGACAGAGTTTTGCTCTTGTCGCCCAGGCTGTAAATGGCATGATCTTGGCTTACTGCAACCTCCGCCTCCTTGGTTCAAGCGATTCTCCTGCCTCGGCCTCCCAAGTAGCTGGGATTACTCCTTGGTTCAAGCGATTCTCCTGCCTCGGCCTCCCAAGTAGCTGGGATTACAGGCGCCCACCACCATGCCCAGATAATTTTTGTATTTTTAGTAGAGACAGGGTTTCACCATGTTGGCCAGGTTGGTCTCAAACTCCAGACCTCAGGTGATCCACCTGCCTCTGCCTCCCAAAGTGCTGGGATTACAGGTGTGAGCCATTGCACCCGGCCAAAGACCACATTTTGCTATATTTTCTTCTGATCTTCATATGCGTATGAAGATTTTATATTTACATTTATTTTACTATATTTGAGAATTATTTATATACAGTTTCATATCCTGTACTTTAAAATTAACATAATGTTATGAATATTTTTCTGCCCCTCACCTAGCGAAATCTTGCTTATCCTTTAGGTCTCAGCTTAAATACCGTTTACTAACACAAGCCATCTCTAGAATAGGATCTCCTGTTATTTACTTTCCATAGCAGCCTACTCTTCCTATAGCACTCATTACAATTAAAAAAATGATTAGATAAAAGTTTAATATTTGTTTTTCTTGGTTAGTCAGCTTCATAAGCACAGGGGTTTTGTTTGTCTTGGTTACCACTGTACCCCTAGGACCTGGTAAAGGGTCTGTGACATACACCACAGTGATTAGCGGCTTGGGGCTCTGGAATAAGGCAAAATTAACAAATCCAAGCTCTGTGCTCTGATGACATTGGGCAGAAATAGTCTTTTTTATTTCTAACCCTGAACTTTTGAGAAGGAGGTAATAGAGTAACTCCAATAGCTTAAATAACTTTACTAAGCTTTGATATGTGAGGTAAATTGGCATGAAGGTATGTATCAGGGGAGTTATATGAAGCTATGTGCCAGGCTATGACTGAGAAGAGCTTGAGCCATCTTCACAGTTTGAGGCTTAAGCCGTTCATTATGGCATTTATTCAACTGCTGCTTTGCATTTTAAAGTAACTATATATTACGTATATATGCTGTATATATATAGTATTCAGTATACAGTATATTGCGTATATGTTATAGGTACTCCATAATATGATCTGTAAACTAAGAAACGGATATATAGGAGGGACCTGAAAAGCTCCTTATCCCCTACCATGTACTGTTGACTCTAGATAATTTTTTTCTCCTTTTTGGGTTCCATCACTGCTCTCTTAGAGGTTATGGGGATCTTCCATTTTCCCCTACATTTTGCTCATTCTCTTCTCCCTAGTTCATTCAGAAAGAAAATGGCATTGCAGAGTAAGTTTTGACAAGTACTTAATATATTTAGTCAGTTTTAAAGATTTGCGATTGAAGAAGCATATTTGAATAGCTGTGATAAAAAGAATTGGAAGTGATTATGCATTATTTCCATGTTTGCAAAAGTTAAAAAAGAAACTTATTTATATAGGGATCTGTCAAAGAAGATCGGATTATTTTTTGAAACTTCACTAATTTATTAAACATTAATTCACCAAGCAAATTAGAGGTGAGGATTCAAAGAAAAATAAAAATATTGTTACTGCTGTTGAGGCCCTTTATAGTTTAGTGGGAAGTAAGACAGATAAATTAGTGTCTCTCCATGTTTATGTACATAAAAAATCAGGCCGGGCACAGTGGCTCATGCCTGTAATCCCAGCACTTTGGGAGGTGGGTGGATCACGAGGTCAGGAGTTAGGACAATCCTGGCCAACATGGTAAAACCCTGTCTCTACTAAAAATACAAAAATTAGCTGGGCGTGGTGGTGTACGCCTGTATCCCAGCTACTCAGGAGGCTGAGGCAGGAGAACCGCTTGAACCCAGGAGGCAGAGGTTGCAGTGAGCCAAGATTGTGCCACTGCACTCCAGCCTGGGCAACAGCAACAGAGCGAGACTTTGTCTCGAAAAAAAAAAATTAAAAATAAATAAATAAATAAAACACTGGTTAAGTTGTTAAAATATAGGTTGCTTGACTCAAGATTTTATTCCTTACCCCTTGAGAGGAAAGTTGTTAGGAGTTTACATGTCCAATTAGTAGCCCAGGTCATTCTGATGGAACAAAATAATGTGATCCGTGGAACATACTTTGAGAAGCTCCAATGTTAATAAATTAGATGATATAAAAAGACCTTAAAAGAGTTCTGTAGATGGCACTCTCGGGGTGCAAGAAGGAAACAACTGTGCCTGGAGAAGTCTGAATTTTCAATTATTACGAAGATAAGGTGGGATGGGGCAGTTTTTCTTTTATTTCACTTTTTAAAGACACATTTTAGCTTCCACTAAACCTATTAAGTTCTTACTTGAATTACAATGCTTTTGAAGAAGATCATTTACAAAATGTTCATTTTGGTGCTTCCAAACTTTCAGGCTACTAAGGCAGGTGCAGCATCAATGATTCACTACATGGTTCTGATATCAGCTCGCTTGGTACTACTCACTTTGTGTGGATGGGTACTTTGTTGGACCCTCGTCAATCTCTTTCGAAGCCATTCAGTCCTCAATCTCCTTTTCCTTGGCTACCCGTGAGTACTCCAGTTTTACCATGTTATTAGTAAATCTTTAGAAATTATTTCGGTCACGTAAACGATACTTTTAAGAGTGAAAAATGAAATTCTTCAAATATAAATGAAGCATTTAGAAAACTGGGAAATCCATGAGCATGGTGAACATATAATTTGTTTTCTAAACTGGAGTACAGTTGGGACAACAGGCATAAACCAGGACTGTCCTGGGAAACCTGGAATGTAGGGTGTGTTGCCAGTGGAGAATATTTTAATTGTCTCTCTTCACCAAGTAAAGGCCCCTCTTGCTATCTATATTTGGGTAAACGGTAGTTAATTTTAGATGAATGCACTGGTTCGAAAACCAGTCTTACCCTTGGTTGGTCATATTACTTTGATCTTCTGTTTCCTGTAACAGAAGTACAATAAGTAGTCCTCCCTTATCCATGGTTTTGATTTCTGAAGTTTCGGTTACCTGCGATCAACCAAGGTCCAGAAACATTAAATAGAAAATTCCAGAAATATGTGACAAATTATGTTTTAAATTGTGTGCTGTTCTGAGTAGTATGGTGAAATTTCTCGCCATCCCATTTTGTCCCACCAGGATGTGAATCATCTCTTTGTCCACCATGTCTGTGCCGTGCATGCTACCTGTCAATTAGTTGCTTAGTAGCGGACTTGGTTATTAGATGGACTGGCATGGTGTCACAGGGCTTGTGTTCACGTGACCTTTATTTTACTTAATATGGCTCCAAAGTGTAGTTATGCTCACAATTCAGGTATGCCAAAGGAAAGCTGTAAAGTGCTTCCTTTAAGTGAAAAGGGAAAGTTCTTGACTTAGTAAGGAAAGACGAAAAATCATGCTGAGGTTGCTAAGATTTACTGTAAGAATGAATCTTCTATCCATGAAATTGTAAACAGTATATTGTTATAATTGTTCTATTTTATTATTAATCTCTTAATGTACCTAATTTATAAGTTAAAACTTTATTGTATGTATGTGTATATAGTATAGGAAAAAACATAGTGTATGTAGGGTTTGGTACTATCCATGGTTTTAGGCATCCACTGGGGTGTTGGAATGTCTTCCTGCAGGTAAGAGGGTCTACTCTATGCCATATTCAAGTGCTGTAGACATGTATATATATTATTATGATTGTAACTAACATTTTATTACAAAACCTTTTAAACATTCAACAAGGTTGAAAGAATTTTACAGCTATCACCAGTGTAATCCTTACCCAGATGATTCTGCCTATTAATGTTTTACTATAACTGTGTAATACTTATCTGTCCATCTCTCCATCCCTCTATCCATTAGTCCATCTTACTTTTGATGCATTTCAAAGTTAAATTTCAGACCTCAGTTTGCTTCCTCCTCAATACTTCAGCATGTGTGTATCATTAACTAGAGCTCGATATTTGTTGACAGCTTTTTTTTCTTTTGAGGTTAAATTCATATAAATAAAATTCCCGCCGGGCGCGGTGGCTCAAGCCTGTAATCCTAGCACTTTGGGAGGCCGAGGTGGGCAGATCACCTGAGGTTAGTAGTTCGAGACCAGCCTCGCCAACATGGCGAAACCCCGTCTCTACTAAAAATAAAAAAATTAGCAGGGCGTGGTGGCACGTGTCTGTAATCCCAGTTACTCGGGAGGCTGAGGCAGAAGAATCACTCGAACCCAGGAGATGGAGGTTGCAATGAGCCAGAGCCAGGATCGCGCCATGGCACTCCAGACTGGGCGACGAGCAAGACTCTGTCTCAAATAAATAAATAAATAAAATAAAATAAAATAAAATTCCCAAATCTTGTGTATATGGAGTTTTGTTAAATGTGGACATACCTGTGTGACTTAATCCCCTGTCAAGACTTCAGAGCGTTACACATACTCCACAAGATTCTGTCATGCCACTTTCCCATCAAACCCCACCACTGTCCAGAGACGGTTGCTTTTTTTTTTTGAGACAGGGTTTTGCTCTGTCATCCAGGCGGGAGTGCAGTAGAGCGATCTCAGCTCACTGCAGCCTTGACCTCTCAGGCTCAAGCAATTCTCCCACCTCAGCCTCCCAAGTAGTTGGGACTACATGTGCACACCACCATGCCCCGCTAATTTTTGTTTTGTTTTGTTTTGTAGAGACAGGATTTTACCATGTTGCCCAGGCTGAGGAGTAAGGTTTTTTTGATTCCAGAGTCTTTGTCTTAATCATTACTGTATCAGTAGTTCTCAAAATGTAGTTTCTAGAACAGCAGCATCAGCATCACCTATAAATTTGTTGGAAATTCTCAGAATCTACCCCAAACCTACTGAAATAGAAACTGGAAAGTAGGACCTAGCAAGTTGTGTTTTAACAAGCCCTCAAGGTGATTCTGATGCATGCTCAAGTTTGAGAATTACTGCTTTATATTATTTATGGTGCTGAAGTGTTAGCGTGAATTTATGTGGGTAATTACAAAGTATAAAATCAAGTCATAATTAGAGATTGTGCTAATAAGGATGACAGGAACAGTCTTTCTATTGGTTATACTATAGTAGGTCTGATTACATTGTTTAAACAGTTATTTAAGTCACTCATCAACTGAATTCATTAATATTACCCTTGTTTTCTACAAAATGAATTATCTGTTACGAACATTTTTCATGACTCTGATTTCATATGAGGAATATATTTTACATGAATTGTTTCTATATTTATAGATTAATATTTCAGCCATTTGAGTTGAAAATAAATTTTTAGTCATTCTCCTTACTGGTTGAATCAGAAGATTAACCGTGTCTGATTTGAACGGCTAATTATGGGTATATTGAAGAATATTTTGGCCAAGTTTAAGAGGATTACTATTATCAGGATGGCTAGCAAACTTTTCTGTTTCAATTTAAGTATATAAAGAAACTTACTCTTAGAGGCTCTCCACACCCCTTAAAACAATGAAATAATTATGTAATTTAAATACATTTTAGTTTTAAACATACAGGCATACCTCAGAGATGTTGTAAGTTCTGTTCCAGACTGCTGCAATAAAGCGAATATCACAATAAACGAGTCATGTCAATTTTTTGATTTCCTAGTGCATATGAAAGTTATGTGTACACTATACTGTAGTCTATTTTATTTTATTTTATTTTATTTTATTTTTTGAGACAAGGTCTTGCTGTGTTGCCCAGGCTGGAGTGCAGTGGTGCAATCACAGCTCACTGCAGCCTTGCCCTCCTAGGATTGCTCAAGCAATCCTAGGGGACTGGGACTGTAGCCGTGTGCCACCATGCCTGGCTAATTTTTAAATTTTTTTGTAGAGATCGGGTCTCGTTTTGTTGCCCAGGCTGGTCTTGAACTCCTGGGCTCAAGTGATCCTCTTGCCTTGGCCTCCCAAAGTGCTGGGGTTACAGAGGGGAGCCACCATGCCCAGCCTTATACTATCTGTATTCTATTAAGTACATAATAGCATTATGTCTTTTAAAAGTACATATCTTAATTAAAAAATACTTGATTGCTAAAGTATGCAGATGAGCATTTGAGCCTTCAGTGAGTTGTAATCTTGCTGGTGGAGAGTCTTGCCTCAATGTTGATGGCTGCTGACTGATCAGGGTGGTGGTTGCTGAAGGTTGGGATGGCTTTGTCACTTTCTTAAAATAAGACAACAGTGAAGTTGGCCACATCAGTTGACACTTCCTTTCATGAAACATATCTCTGTAGCATGTGATGTGTTTGATAGATAATATTTTACCCACAGTGGAACTTCTTTCAACATTGAAGTCATTTCTCTCAAACCCTATTGCTGCTGTAACAACTAAGTTTATATAATATTCTAAACTCTTTGTCATTTCAACAGTGTTCTCAGCATCTTTACCAGAAATAGATTTTATGTCAAGAAACAACTTTCTTATCCATAAGAAGCAGCTCCTTATCCGTTTAAGTTTGATTGTGAGAGAGTGCAGCCACATCTTCAGGCTTCACTTTTTTTTTTTTTTTTTTTTTTTTGAGACAGGGTCTCACTGTCGCCCAGGTTGGAGTGCAGTGGTATAATCATGGCTCACTGCAACATCTGTCTCCTGGGCTCAAGTGATCCTCCCACCTCAGCCTCTCAAGTAGCTGGGACTACAGGTGTGTGCCACCACACCCGGCTAATTTTTGTATTTTGTTTTTTTGTAGAGGTGGGGTTTTGCTATGTTGCCTAGGCTGGTGTCGAACTCCTAGGCTCAAGTGATCCAGCCTCCTTGGCTTCCCAAAGTGCTGGGATTAGAGGCATGAGCCACTGCACCTAGTCCAGGCTCCACTTCTAATTCTAGTTCTGTTGCTTTTTCTTCCACATTTGCGGTTACTTTCTCCAGTGAAGTCTTGAACCTCTCAAAGTCATCCATGAGGGTAGGAATCAACTTCCTCCACATTTGCTCGTGTTGATATTTTGACCTCCTCTCATAAATCACAAATGTTCTCAATGGCATTTAGCATGGTGAATTGTTTCCAGATGGTTTTCAGTTTACTTTGCCCAGATCCATTGGAGGAATCTCTATTTAATGCAGAAATAGCCTTACAAAACGTATTTCTTAAATAATAAGATTTGAAAATCAGAATTACTTCTTGATTCATGGCTGCAGAATGGATGCTATCTTAACAGGCATAAAAACAACAATCTCCATCAGAGCCTTTGGTGACTAGGTACACTGTCAATGAGCAGTAAGTACTTTTTTTTTTTTTTTTTGAGATGGAGTCTTTCTCTGTTGCCCAGGCTGGAATGCAGTGGTGTGATCTCAGCTCACTGCAACCTCTGCCTCCCAGGTTCAAGTGATTGTCCTGCCTCAGCCTCCCAAGTAGCTGGGACTACAGGTGCATGCCACCATGCCTGGCTAATTTCTTTGGATTTTTAGTAGAGTCGGGGTTTCGCTATGTTGGCCATGCTGGTGTCGAACTCCTGACCTCAGGTGCTCCGCCTGCCTCAGCCTCCCAAAGTGCTGGGATTACAGGCGTGAGCCACCGCACCCAGCCGTACATAATATTTTTAAAGGAATCTTTTTTCTAAACCGTAGGTTCAACAGTGAGCTTATTCAGTAAACCATGCTGTAAACAGATGTACTGTCATCCAAATATGTTGTTCTATTTCTAGAGCATTGGCAGAGTAGATTTTGCATAATTCTTAAGGATGGTAGGATTTTTGGAATGGTAAATAAGCATTGGCTTCCACTTAAAGTTACCAGCTGCGTTAGCCACTAACAAGAGAGTCAGCTTATCCTTTGAAGCTTTGAAGCCAGGCATTGACTTCTCCTCTCTAGGTATGGAAGTCTAGATGGCATCTTCTTCCAATACAGTATAAGGCTGTTTTGTCACCCTTGAAAAGTCTGTTAGTTTAGTCACCTTCATCAGTGATCTTAGCTAGGTCTTCTGGATAACTTGCTACAGTTTGTAGATTCACACTTGCTGTTTCACATTGTGCTTTTATGTTATGGGACAGCTTCTTTCCTTAAACCTCACGAACTAACCGCTGTTAACCTTCATACGTTTCTTCTGTAGCTTTCTCACCTCTCTGGAGGTTCATAGACTTAAAAAGAGTTAGGGCTTTGCTCTGGATTAGGCTTTGGTTTAGGGCAATGTCGTGGCTGGTCGATCCAGACCATATCAGCAAAACTTTCTCCATATCAGCAGTGAGGCTGTTTTCTTTGTTACCATTTGTATGTTCACTGGAGTAGCACTTTTAATTTCCTTGAATAACTTTTTCTTTGCATTTACAATTCGGCTAGCTAATACAAGAGGCCCAGCTTTCAGCTTGTCTGGGCTTTTGACATGTTTTCTCACTAAGCTTAATATCCACTTTTTGATTTAAAGTGAGAGATGTGTGATGTCCTTTCACTTGAACACTCGGAGGCCATTTAGGGTTATTAGTTGGCCTTATTTCAATATTCTTGTGTTTTAGGGAATAGGGAGGTCTGACGTGAGGGAGAGAGATGGGGGAATGGCTCATTGATGGAACAATGAGAACAAACATTTATCCATTAAGTTTGCTGTCTCATATGGTGCAGTTTGTAGTGCCCCAAAACAATTACAGTAGTAATATCAAAGATCACATTTCGCATAACAGATGTAATAGTAATGAAAAAGTTTGAAATATTGGGAGAATTACCAAAATATGGCAGAGACACAAAGTGAGCACTTTGGAAAATGGCACCCCCAGATACGCTTGATGCAGGGTTGCCACAAACCTTCAGTTTGTAATAAATACAGTATCTGGGAAGCACAATGAAGTGAAATGCAATAAAATGAGGTATGCCTGTATTTGCCTTCGTTACTTTTAAGAAGTTGTATAATCCACCTTTTATCTAAACTTCAATTTAAAAATCAAAAGTGCGAGAAATTTAAAATACTAGATTATGACAATAGCAACATGTTTAATTTCCTGTTTATTCATAGGTTAAACTAAGAAAGAGGCCCTTTTCTGCCTCTTTTTCTTACCCCTCAGTTCTCAAATAGCTTCTCATTAGGGTGAATTAGTCTAAAGTCTAACAGTTGTGGTTCCTAAGTGTATCTTGAATTGGTCCAATGCTCTCCATAGTTTTTACTATTGCATTATCAACCTTCATCTGGTCTTCTGATAATCCATTCTTGTTCCCCTCCATTTCATTTTTATTGTAGCTAGAATGATTTTCACAATGGGAAATTTAATCATGTTACTAACCCTCTTTAAAATCCTTTAATGAATTATTTTCTTTACCTCACAAAGCCCTCCATTGTAGAGCCCAGTATGGGGATAGGGCAGGTCGCCTCACCCATAGAATGAGGGCCATGCAGTTATGTGGCAGTGAGACTACAAAGGAGGGTAAAGAATTGGGGCCATCATTACAATCTACCACACACTCCAGCCTCTTATCCCCACCTCTACACCTACACATGCAGCTTGTGTTTTGGCAGCATTGAACTTCTGATGACCTGCTCTAGCCATCACAGATATGCACATGTGAGAGATTTTTGTCTAATACTTCTTCTCTGTCTGGGTGCGGTGGCTTACACCTGTAATCCCACCACTTTGCAAGGCCCAGGCGGTAGGATCACTTGAGCTCAGGAGTTCAAGACCAGCCTGAGCAACATAGGGAGACCCTGTTTCTACCAAAAATAAAATAATTAGCCGCGTGTAATGGCATGCGCCTGTAGTCCTAGCTACTTAGGAGGCTGAGGCGGGAGAATTGCGTGAGCCCAAGAAGTTGAGGCTTCAGTGAGCCGTAATCTCGCTACTGTACTCCAGTCTGGGTGACAGAGTAAGACCTTGTCTCAAAAAAAAAAAAATTAGAATTAATACTTCTACTTCTACCCACTCTTGTCCTCCCAAGGGCACATTCACAGTAGATCCCAGAGCTAATGCTAAGAATGTTCTTAATTAGTAACATCAGTTCTCCCTCTGTAGAAAACTATGGATAAGTGTCATCTGTTCATTTTGTTATAAAATGTATAACTAAATATCTTTTTTTTTTTTTTTTTTGAGAAGGAGTTTCACTCTTGTTGCCCAGGGTGGAGTGCAATGTGCAGTCTCGGCTCACTGCAACCTCCACCTCCAGGGTTCAAGTGATTCTCCTGCCTCAGCCTCCGAGTAGCTGGGATTGCAGGTGCGCGCCACCACACCCAGCTAATTTTTGTATTATTAGTAGAGACAGAGTTTTACCATGTTGACCAGGCTGGTCTTGAACTCCTGACCTCAGGTGACCTGCTCGCCTTGGCCTCCCAAAGTGCTGGGATTATAGGCATGAGGGACTGTCCCTGGCCCTAAATATCTTTTTATTTGCTATTTTTCATATCTGAATTTATGTGCATGAAATGACCATTTAATTTATAATACCTAGGTCACAATGTGGAAATTACTTAATGAGGACTTGAAGTATTTAAACAAATTTTAAGGAACCAACAGTTGGAATACTATAAGAAGTTATCAGAAGTCTCAAAAATGTTCACTTCTTTAACCAATTAATTTTACTGGTAGAAATTCATTTGTACTTCCAGAATTTTTTTTTATTAATGAGAAGTTTATTGCATACTTAAACAGTGTTACAGCCACTATCTGAGGTACCAGAGTTACAGCAGTGAATTAATTACGTTGAAATCTCTGGTTCATAGAGCTTAAATTGTAGTGAAGGGAAGATTGACTAAGAAAGAAAACAAACAAAACTACCCCCAAAGTTAAAAATCGAATAAACATGGTAAGATCTGTGGAGAAAAATAAGCAGGAAAGGAGAAGAAGGGTCGCCTGTGGGAGTGGGATGGGTGATACAGTAGGGAGGCAGGAGGGCCCCCTACTAAGAAAGGGACATTTGAAGTAAAGAACAAGCTGTACTAAAATGACCAAACGTACACACGTATTGGGAAAATCCTTATCACATTGTTATTTATAGTAGTGGAAAATAAGAAACAGCCTGTTTCCAACAAGAGAGAAATGGGTAAATTATGGTATTTCTATATGAGAATACTATTGTATCTTTAAAAATTTCTATAGAAAAATATTTAGACTTGAGAAAATACTCACTACACAGGGAAAATACTCAATATACACACATGCACACATACAAAGTTTAAACAGCAGGATACAAAACACATGGTACTGTATGAAGCCAAACACAAAAGGAAAAAAGCATATGTAACTATAATACAAAGTTTACAAACTTTATATTGGAAATATGTGCATCTAGTTATAAAAATGATTATTGCTAAGTGATGTGTGTTTTGCCATTGTGGTTTTTCTGTAGGTTCTTAATAATCTACAATGAATGTGCACTGCTCTTATGGAAAGAAATTGAAGAGCTCCCCAGATAATGAATTTACTATCAGCAATGTCCCTCTTGAGTTATGTTTACTCCTGCGGGTCCTGACTATTTTATTGACCTAAGTTATAAGTTATATTGACGTAAGTTATAAGGTGTGATTTTAGGTGGTATCTGTGGTCTCATTTTCACACTTTGTTTTACAGGTTTGGTGTTTATGTTCCTCTTTGCTGTTTTCATCAAGATAGTAGAGCACATCTTCTTCTCACAGACTACAACTATGTGGTTCAGCACGAGGCAGTAGAGGAAAGTGCCTCGACTGTGGGAGGCTTGGCCAAATCCAAAGACTTTCTCTCCTTGTTGCTGGAGTCGCTAAAAGAACAGTTTAATAATGCCACACCCATCCCCACCCACAGTTGTCCCCTATCTCCAGACCTCATTCGCAATGAAGTAGAATGTCTGAAAGCAGATTTCAACCACAGAATCAAGGAGGTTCTCTTCAACTCCCTCTTCAGTGCCTACTATGTTGCATTTCTCCCCCTGTGTTTTGTGAAGGTAAGTGGTTATCTTACTTTTATGTGCTTCCTGGATTTGTGTGTGAATTACATAAACTGGGTATTTCTTGTTTAATCCCCCTTTTCTCTGTCTCCCCTTTGGCAGCCTGGATGGTGGAGTTCGGCTGCATCTGGAGTGCACTAATACCGCTCCTGGTTGGCGGATAGGTATTTCCATATATGTGATGCACCCGTGGTGGTTCCCTCTTTTTTTCTTTTTTTTTTTTTTTTTAAGTATTTTTAGTTTCTGGGGAGAATCAAAATGTACTTATAATAGAATCAGTATGTAGTAGCTTAAGAGGACCAAGGTTTCAGTAAAACTCAGCCTACTGTGGTTGATCTTAACATGGTTATCAGGAGTTTCCTTGAATTTAATCTAGCCCTTATCTAAACTTCAGTTTACTTTAATAGAAAAGAAAAATGGTCTGGATGTCACTTGGGCCCAAAATCTTTTGGTACATTTTAGTGCCCTTTCTTCACCCATTCAGAAGTACTTCTGCAGCTGGAATGGTCCTTCAGAGAACACTCAGTTCTTCTAGAAAGGAGACACTTAAAATATAATTGCCTCTCCCTCCCATCCCTAACTCATACAGCCAGAAAGTCAGGTTGAAGGATTGTGGAGGACTCTGCTCTTGAACTTTTCTGCACGGACAGCAGGACCACCAGTGCATGTGTGACTCAGTGTGGCATTTGTCTGCAGGGCATATGTACACCAACCCATCCCTGCCTCTTTTTACCAGTGCATGGATCATTTCTCTCTCTTCTGATCTCTTCCAGAGTACCCAGTACTATGACATGCGCTGGTCATGTGAGCACCTCATTATGGTGTGGATCAATGCTTTTGTCATGCTCACCACGCAACTGTTGCCATCCAAATACTGTGATTTGCTACATAAATCAGCTGCTCACCTGGGCAAGTGGCAGAAGTTGGAACATGGGTCCTACAGCAATGCTCCACAGCACATGTGAGTAAGCTAGAGGGTAAAACCATGTAACACTTTCTACATGCTGCTGATCATGTTTATTTGCTTTGTATGTCATTCTTGTTCTTGGCTTTGAACATTTAATTTTTAGTTTTTGTCTTACATGGATGCTTGTCATCATGCTAAACTGAATACAAGGGACATTAACTCATTTCCACCACCACCCCAGCTCCTTAAATGCGTTCTACCTTTCAGCTGCCCAGTCACTCTAGTGTGTGTAATTTGTCTCCCAAGCAATGCACTTGGCGTTCTCTTTCAATCTTACCCCTTTGCCCGAATTCAAAGAGTCATATATTTTATTTCTTTTTAGAAGACTTTAAGATTTGTCTTCTCATCTTCATTGCCACAGCTGAGTAGTTGCTAGCTATTCATCTCACACTTAGCTGGAATATGATTCTCTCATTTTTTCTTTCTAATACATGCAGTTTTGTTCTAGTAATTTTCCTTACCTGTACTTTTTTACTATTATTTTCTTTCTAAACTCTCTACTGAATATTTCCCTGCTTCTCCTGTGTTTAAGTGAGAACTGTGCCTGACTGAGTTCTTTGGAAGAATTTTTCTCATTGTGTCCCCCTTATCAGTCATTACTCCACATGGCTCCTATGATCCAAAATGGCTAACATTAGGACCGTTTTATTCTGTCACTTCTGAGTCCTTCATCATACTTTTCTTTCAGACCCAAACCATCTTCATCTTCCCCCTTTTGTAATTTGAACATTTCACAAATTTCATCTAGAAATTTTTCCCTAGTTAAGTGGGACAGATTGAGGTGACCTTCCCTTTCCCTCTCCCCCTGAGAGTTCTCCCTTCAATTATCTGCCTTGATGTCTGATACAGATTAGCACAGGCCTTCAAGCCCAGGAACTGAAAGAGATTGGGCCAGGCTGAAAAGAAACCCGACTGTGGGCAAAGGACAGATTTCAATAAAAATTGAAAATACAATCCACAGTACTAGTACTGTACATCTTCAGGCTACTGATGGCACATGGCCATGAGGTGTATCATCACTTTAATGCTGGTAAGTGTGAGCAAGGCCGGTGGAACATTTTCTGAACTGGGAAAGCTTTAGGGTGCTAGAATTTTTTTTTTTTTTTTTAATAACATATCTAAACTGCCTCCCAGTTCTTATCCTAGGAAACTAACCTTTCCAAAATCAGGAAGAGATGAATTAACTTAGATTTTTTTTTTTTTTTTTAAAAAGCTTAACCTGAAGATCCCTGTCCCCACCCAAACTCCATTATGCTGGAAAGAATGAAGCTGCTGCTTCTGTAACTTCTTTTCCCCCAGAGAAACCTCTATAAAAATAAACCATGAAAGCAGTGAAAAGTCTGTGTGTGTGTGTGAGATGTATCGCTGTGTTCTACTGTATATCTTCTTACAGTTGTGAGGTATTTGAATTGTGTGATAAGCAAACTGATTTCCTATAGTTTTTTGGGATGTAATTCTGCAGTAAATGTCATGCTAGATTGACAATGTGCTAATTTCTCCACTATTCTTATTACCATCAGCTTTCTCTTCTTGTTTGTTCCCTCTAGCATTTCCACCAGTAGACTCTGCTCACTTGGGATGGAGATGACAGTCACCCTGCTTACACACTGTTTTCTGGCTTACACATTTATGTCTGCTCATTCTTCTAAGCCTCTTAAGTCCTTTGACACTGAGTTAACTATATTTCTTTGCAACCTCTGTTTACTATATAGCAATGAAGTTAAAGTAACAAATCCTTTCTAAAACTACTCCAGTTTGACCATGGAATTACTGTATTTTCAGAATTCAGGCAGATGAAGCCTTGATTATTTAATTCCTTCCATAAAAATACAGCTGGCCTTGCCAGATGCTATCTTATCTGTAATTGCCAATATGCTAACATTGCATTTCTTTCTCCCTTAGTTGGTCAGAAAATACAATATGGCCTCAAGGGGTGCTGGTGCGGCACAGCAGATGTTTATATAGAGCCATGGGGCCTTACAACGTGGCAGTGCCTTCAGATGTATCTCATGCCCGCTTTTATGCAAGTACCGCTTATTTATTTTCAAACATAAGCTTAGGGGTAAGTGTTAGGAGGCCACTCTATGTGGAAGCATGTAGCATAGCATGTAGCACATACTAGGAAATTATTACATGGTAATTATTGCTACTAGCGTAACAGTGGTCCCTGTACTTTGGAAATGTCTTTTGAAGGGCAGTTTGAAGATCATATACTGTTATTCCAGTTTCAGTAGCTTAGCTGGTTTCTCTAGTTACATTGGTATTTGTCGAATCTAGTATTACTTGAAACAAGCAGGCAGTTATCTAAGACTCCTTTTTCATCTTACCATTTTTGTTTTGTAAGAGTTTGGTTTAGTGGTATTGTTAAGATATATTGTATCTGTGTATCCATAGTGACATTTAATATATTAATAGTGCGGTGGTTTTATTTTTAGGTATTTGTCATATATATTGTTTCTTTACAAAGGCTTTAGCTTCCCCTTTGGAAGTCAGACAAATGCCATGAAAAGGAAAAAAGCTTAAAAGTTAAAAAAGGAAAAAGCAATAGAAACCCACTACATTCCATTGAACTCATGCCTTCGGTTATGATCTATTTGGTCTTTCAGCCTTCCAGAAATTGTCTGTACAAGGCAAAAGTATATACTTATAAAAGAAAGGCCAGCTGACTAATGCAAGTGGGGAAAAGTAGGTGCCTGCAGGGGACTGTTTATAGTAAAAATGCCTATAGTGCAGTGCATTGCTTTTGAAAGGGGATCATATTCTAAACAAGAATTGGAGATCTTTTTTAAGATACTTGCATCTCTTTCTCCCTCTGTCCTTCTCAGTTCCTGTGAGGGTATATGGACTTTCTGGTTCTGCAGGTGTTTGTTATTGAGGGACACTTCAATTAAGTTTTGGGAACTTGCCCCTGGGCATGATGCTTATAAATACCATGGTAGGGGAATGCAGGGTGGGGCAGATTGGGAGGAACATGGGGAAGGTGGAAAGCCCTTGAGTGAGAAAACGACAAGCATCTCCTTCTTGACGCCAGTGGAAATGCCTTAAGGTGGAGGAAAGGACTTAAGTCACAAGTACATGAGCACTTGATTTCTATATAGAATATTTAATTCAGCCAGCTGAATTCTCTAGGCCATTAATGACTTCTGTTGGTCCTTGCTGTCTCCTTGAGACCTGTGATAGCGAAATAGTTCATTAGAATTTTCTGCTTGAAAATTAAGTAGTTTCCTTGCTAGCTTTGGACAGCTGAAAAATCGGGTGGAATCTATGGAAAAAAGATTAGGCAAGTTGATTTATTACTGATTTTGCAGGACTGGATAGACAGTTAAATCAGTGCTTCTCCAAGTGATCCATGGGCCACCTGCTGATAAATCACCTGGCCCACTATTTTTAAAAAGTGATTCAGGGCCCCTATATCAGACTTCTGAACCAGAATCTCTGGATGATCCCAGGAATTGGCAGCATTTGTGGATTTGGAAATGATTCTTAGGCACACTGAAGTTTCAAAACAGTCATTTAAAGTGTGCCTATTACCTATAGCTGTCAAACTCCAGGTTAAACATTTTCTTCCTCTTGAACCTGGAAACTTTTTAAAGCTGTCATGATAATTTGGCTTCATTCTGAGGTGTAAGCTCTTAAGATCTAAATTCCATCTAAATTAGTTATTTTAGATCTGATCACTGCTGTTACTGCACTCTTGTCTTCATCTAGATTTAGGATTAGACTGGTTAAGCTGAATTGTTAATGTTCTTTTACAACTTGTGGCCTATATGTTTGTATTCATAATAACTTTGTATTAGAAAACCAGAATTTAGCCTTTTAAAGTGGAGAATTTAGTGGGAGTAAATATAGTAGTAATCCCTATTTTTAGTCTAATTCTGACTCATTTTTCCTTCCTTCCTCCTTATCCTGTCTTTGTGCACCCTGCTTCTCAATATCCAGAAAAAAATCAGTAATTAAACACACAGGTATATGGTGTAGAGGATTTCAGTCAGTGACCATGGTGGGTAAACAGTTTAAGGAAAAACTAAGAAACTATTGTATTCATATTTGACTTGTAACCTCTCTTTTCCCCAAACTTGTCTAGTGTTGGTATTTATGTCTTAGTTTACAAGCCAAGAATGTTTTTTACATTTTTAAATGGTTACATAAGTACCTATGTAATATCCTTAATTTTTGCCTCTTGACTTACAAAGCCTAAAATATTTCCTGTTTGGTCCTTTATCCACCTCTGTCTTAGATGAATATACTTTTGTGTTTATCCTAAATAAAATATATACCTAAAATATAATCTAAGAAAAATGTTTATAAGTAGTTTTCTTTTGGGCATAATCTCTTTTCGTGTCTCAGGGGCATTGAAATAAAAATTATTTCATTATTTCTTGAGCAAAAAGGAAAAGGTTTCAATCTTTATAGCAAGAAATAGCCTGATTGATATTAAATAAACAGATCTATTTATTATTATATATGGGAACCTGTAAATGTTAAATTATTTTAGAAAAATCAATGCAAGAATAACTGTAGCCATTACTTTTCTATGAAATAATGTTTTACTTTTTTAACTTCCTTACAGTTCTTATTTCATCGACCATTAAGGCTGTTAAATCTGCTCATCCTTATTGAGGGCAGTGTCGTCTTCTATCAGCTCTATTCCTTGCTGCGGTCGGAGAAGTGGAACCACACACTTTCCATGGCTCTCATCCTCTTCTGCAACTACTATGTTTTATTTAAACTTCTCCGGGACAGAATAGTATTAGGCAGGGCATACTCCTACCCACTCAACAGTTATGAACTCAAGGCAAACTAAGCTGCCTCTCAACAATGAGGGAGAACTCAGATAAAAATATTTTCATACGTTCTATTTTTTTCTTGTGATTTTTATAAATATTTAAGATATTTTATATTTTGTATACTATTATGTTTTGAAAGTCGGGAAGAGTAAGGGATATTAAATGTATCCGTAAACAAGGTGATGTGATCTTTCATGTGTTAGTATATTCGAATAATATACATATGAGAGGTATGCCTGTCCAGTAAAGAGATTGATTTGTTTGTATGGCTCTGGAATAACTCATTCGTTTATGAACACATCTCATGTATTACTTGACACAGTACCTTTGGTATGTCTGCTTTTCTTTCAATCCTCATTATCTTTAGCCCTCAGCTGGCCAGTACTTATTGCTAAAGAAAGGGAGATCAATGGAGTTGCCTACCAGCACCCATTCTCTTTTAGTTCAGCTGGCTAATAGTATTGGAATACATTGGGAAAAGAGTGGGTTAAAGTCCTAGGTGGGGTTCTCTTTGTTGCCTACCAGGAGAAAGCAGTAGGCTTCCTTTCTAAGATACGGACTCAGCTGGTCTATTTTACCCTGTGACATTTAAATATACTTTTGAATAAGCTACTATCCTGAGGCTGAGGGTTTTGCTGCCACTTTTCCTGTGTTTCCACTTCTGCTTCCAAAGATTTTCCTCTTAGTTGTTTGAAATAATACTTTGCCAGACAGGAAGTCTTTAGACTGCCCACATTCATGAAGAAGATGATGTGTGGCTGGATCAGTAGGAGAAGCTGAGTGCAAATGCCATGTGGGCTAGAGTATGGGAAGGTTGAAAATTCCAAGTAACTGGGAGAGTGGGCAAGTCCTCAGCTGAACAATCTTGGATGTAGTCTAGCAGCAACCCACCTACAATGGCGTTATGTTTGGAGTTATGAGGGGAAGTGAAAGATAAGAATTACCTACAGCTTTGTACTCAGATAATTTATATCCAAAATTTGTGTTTTAAATTTCATACTCCAGAACTTTCATGTTTATGAGTATTAGCCTTTTAAGTTATGGGAGGTGATATACTTAGTCCATTGATGTTGTCACTTGTCATCTAAACTTATGAGACCTTGTCTTAGAGAATCTAAAATATATTGTCATATGTTTTCTGTGCTGAGTTTGGTTTGTTACACTGTGAAGCTTTTGGTGAAACAAAATAAGACTTATGAAGTAAAAAGACCAATCATGTCGTTGACAAGCTGGCTCTGAAAATAATTCTTGCAGAAGAGTTCCTGAAAGGCTTCACCAAGGGGAAGTATTGTGAGGAGTGTTTGTAAAACCAAGGTACCCAATATCAGTTTTATGTTTAAATCAATAATTGTTTCTTTAAATATTTTGATGTGTATACTTTTTTTTTAAGTTAACATTATTTGGCATTCAGTCTGAGTCTGTTCAACCATTCAACAAATATATATTAACCAGTAGGCACTATATTAGGCCCTGGGGATATAGCAGTGAATGAGAAATGCAAAGGTCCTACTTGCACAGAGCTTACAATATGCGTGGGGGTGGGGGAGTTAGGTGGTGCAGAAAATACAGCAAATAAATTTATGTGTAATATAACATTCCCTGGTAGTAGTGATAAGTGTAGCAAAGGGAAATCAGGACAAGGAAATAGTGGTAAGAATAGCACTGCTAGAAGGCATCTTTGAGGAGATGATTTTTAAGCAAAGAAAAAGCAAGACTGAATCATATAAATAGCTTTGGGGAGAATTCCATGTTACAGTAGCAGAAAGGGCAGTGCCCTGAGGTGGGGACAAGTTGGTATATTGGAAGAATAGCAAGAAAATATATTAGGTTAGTTGCTTTTTAAAGTAGTTCAGCCTAAATATAGTGGTTCTTGAGGTAGGGGTGGGAAGGGTAGGGAATCTGCCATCTTTCTATTCTTTCTGTAGGATCTTGAAAATATGCTTCTCTTGGCAGCAACATTTTCATGAGATTACTCAGCAGTTGAGAGCAAAATGGGTGGCATGGGCACAGAGATATCTCATCAAAATTGCCCCAACTTGGCTCCAGCTTGGGAAAGTAACCCAGAAAACCCTGATTAGAGATAACAGACCAGTCTTATGAACTAATATGATGCCCCTTCTGGCTTGATCTGTCTTGGTCCTATCCTAAGGGAATAGCACAGAACCAGATGCTGGCTTGGCTAAATAAGTAAGTGGATATAAGAAATAAATAAAAATTAATTTTGGCTAATGGAATTGCAAAGTTCCTCCTACCCTCACCTCCAGATATGGCAGCATACGGGGCATAAGACCGTTTAGTTCAACGTGTTCTACACATTCCAGCTGTTTTTTGTTTGTTTGTTTTGTTGTTTTGTTTTTGTAGGGGCCACGTTCATGGAAGAGAGAAAAATTACTAGTTACCCGGATATCCTATTATAGTTCATGTAACAGAAGGGACACTATATTTGCTCACTGATAGTAGAAAAATGTGTAATCATTAAAGAATGACCTTTTTTGTAATTCTTTGTTGGCAAGTTAAAATTGTTTGTGGAAAGCATGGTATAGCAAAAGTTCAGTTGGGTGAACTGGGATACTGGAAAAGGAAAGAAGATACTTGACTAGTCTGGGTGGTCTAAGGTGGGTAAATAAAGGAGTAGAGGAGGGTAGTTCACAGGAATGAGCATGACAGAAGTTTTCCTCAATATCCTGTTTACTCTGATTCCATGTTTATATTCCTAATCCTCCTTTCCTTCCTGTCCCTATCAGTCACCACCACTGCCACCTGTTGTGCCGTTTCTCTCTCTTTTTTTTAATTAATTTTTTTATTTCTATTAAGCTAGCCAGGCATCTCATTTCTATGTACTGGGCAATTATATGCCAAACACTGCTGGGTGCCGGAGATAGTGATGTTCGAGTTCATTAACTAATAGAAGACAGACAAGTAAACCAGTTGTCACACTAGGGTGTTCATTAACAGAAATATGTATGAGATACGTAATAGATATCAGATCTATTAACAATCTTGAGTGTGAAGCCCAATAAAGTGCTCTTTTCATAAGTACTTCAAATAAGCAGACAGATGTCTTGGAACTTTTGTAGACAGAAGACAGCTAATGAAAGATTATAAGCTAAGAATAACTTATGATCCACTGGTTTCTAGTTCCCAAAGTAATCTCTAGATCAGCAGCATCAGCATCACTTAACTGATCAGCTGACCCTTCTGGAATCATAGGATAGACTAAATAGTGAAGGTCTATCCCTTCCCAAGAACACCTGTAACGGCCAGAAGAGGGGGCTGTCTCCTCAAATGCACTGACAACAATACAAGAACATACAGATTATGAAGAATCAGGGAATCATGACACCTACAAAAGAAACTAATAAAGCTCCAATAATAGACCCCAAAGAAATGGAGATTTATGAAATAACTGACAAAGAATTCAGAATAATACCCATAAAGAAGTTCAGTGAACTATTAATATATACAGATAAAAAATTTAATGAAATTTGAAAACAGTACACTAAAAAGAAAGTTGACAAATAGAAACAATAAGAATGGGATAGAAATTCAAGAGACTGAAAAATTCAACAGAAAGCTTCAACAGCTGACTCAGCCAAGAAGAAGAAAGAATCAGTGTGCTGGGAGACAGAACGTTTGAAATTATCTAGCCAGGAGCAAAAAAAACAAAAGAATTTCTAAAATTAAAGCCTACAGATTATGGAACACCATCAAGAGACCAAACCTTCACATAATAGTGGTTGGAGAAGGAGAAAGAGGTGCCTGAAAAGCATATTTAAAGGGGCCAAAAAGCATATTTAAAGAAATAATGGCTGAAAACTTCCTTAATCTGTGGTATATGCCAACATCCAGGTACAAGAACTGCAGAGGTTTCCAATCAAATTCAACCCAAAGAGGAGTACACCACAACACATAATAAACTATCAAAAATCAAAGGCAAAAAATTTTGAGAGCATCAAGAGGCAAGAAACATAACACATAAAAAGGAGTGCCATACAATCATCAGCAGAGTTCTCAGCATAAACCCTCAGGTCAGGAGAGAGTAGGATAAATTCAAAGTGCTCAAGAGAACAACTGCCAACCAACAATACTTTATCCAGCAAAGCTGTCTTTCATAAATGAGGGAGAAGTAAAAAAAAAAAAAAAAAAAAAAAGAAAAGAAAAAAGAAAAGTGTGTTTTCCCAGACAAACAAAAGCTAAAGGAATTCATCATCACTGGACCTGCCTTGCAGGAATTGCTAAATGGAGTTATTTAAACTGAAACAAAAAGCTACTAATTAATAACATAAAACATGCACGAAACTCAAACATATAAATAAAGCAGAGCCCATTCAGAATACTATTGGATTGTAATGATGGTGTAAAAGTATAGAGTTATATGCAAAGTTAAGTTGTTATAAGCTTGAAATAGGTGGTTGTAAGTATAAGATGTTCCATGTAAGCCTAATGGTAACCACAAAGCAAAAATCTTCAGAAGCACAAAACAAAAATATCAAAGCATACTACCACAAAGGAATACAGCAAGAGAGGAGGAAAGAAATGAAGTATGTACAAAACAATCAGAAAACAACTAACAAAATGGCAGTAGTAAGTCCTTACCTAGCAACGATTGAATGTCAATGGATTAATTTCTCCAATAAAAAGACATAGAGTGGCTGAATGGATAAAATAAGACCTAATTATATGCTGCCTACAAGAGACTCACCTCACTTTTAGACGTAGACTGAAAGTGAAGGGATAGAAAAGAATACTCCACACAAATGGAAACCAAAAGAGAGTGGGGTGGCTATACTTATATCAGACAACATAGACTTTAAGTTAAAAACTCTGAAAAAAAAATAAAGAAGGACATCATATGATAAAAGGGTCAATTCATCAAGAGGACATAACAATTGTAAATTTATGTGCACTCAATGTTGAAGTACCTAAATATATAGCACAAATATTGAAGGATCTGAAGGGAGAGATAGATTGCAACACAAGAATAGTAGGGGACTTCAGTACCCTATCTCAACAATGGACAGATCATCTAAACAGAATTAATAAGGAAGCATTAGACTCTAGCAACACTGAACCAAACGGACATAACAGACATATACAGAACATTGCATCTAATAGCAACAGAATACACACTCTCAAGTGCACACAGAGCATTCAGCAGAATAGATCACATGTTAGGGCACAAAAAAAGCCTTGGCAAATTTAAGAAGACTGAAATTATATCAAATATCTTTTCCAATCACAATGGTATGAAACGAGAAAAGAATACCAAGAGGAATTTTGGAGAATTCACAAATACATGGAAATTAAACATTCTCCTGAACAACCAATACATCGATGAAGAAATTAAAGGGAAAATTTTAAAGGATCTTGAGACAAAAATGGAAACACAACATATTAAAACTTACGGGATGCAGCAAAAGCAGTTTTAAAAGTAAAGTTTATAGCAATAAATGCCTACGTCAAAAAAGAAGTTCTCAAAAGCTGCTTTTTTGAAAAGATAAAATTGACAAACCTTTAGCTAGACTAAGAAAAAAAGAATAGATCAAATAAATAAAATCACAAATAAAGGACATTACAGCTGATACTCCAGAAATACAAAGGATCATGAAAGACTACTATAAACAAATGCCAACAAATTGGAAAATCTACAATAAATGGATAAAGTCTTAGATGCATGTAATCCCAAGACCAAATAATGAAGAAGTAGAAAAATCTGAACAGACCAATAACAAGTAAGGAGATTGAATCAGTAATAAAAAGTCTGTCATCAAAGAAAAACCCAAGACTTGATGAGTTCACAGCTTAATTCTACCAAACATATAAAGAATACCAATCTTGTTCAAACTCTTCCAAAAAAAAAAAAAAAATTGGGAGAGGAGGGAGTACTTCCAAGCTCTTTTTGGAGGGCAGCATTACCCTAATACTAAAGCCAGACAAGGAAATTACAAGAAAATAAAATTACAGGCCAATATCCATGATGAACATGGAAGCAAAAATCCTCAACAAAATACTAGCAAACTGAATTCAACAACATATTAAAAGGATTATCCACAATGATCAAGTGGAATTTATCCCTGGTATATGAGGATGGTTAACAATATGCAAATCAATACATGTAACATACCACATTAACAGAATGAAGGACAAAATCTATATGATCATCTCATTAGATGAAGAAAAAGCATTTGACAAAATTCAACATCCTTTCATGATAGTAAGTCTCACCGAAATAAGGAATAGAAGGGTTGTACCTCAATACAGTGAAGGCCACATATGAGAAGCCCATAGCTAACATTATACTGAATGATGGAAAATTGAAAGCCTTTCCTCTAAGATCTGGAACAACATAAGGATGCTCACTCTTGCCATTTCTAGATTATACAGTATTGGAAATCTTTGCCTGAGCAATTAGGCAAGAGAAAGAAATAAATAGCACACAAATAGAAAGGAACCAGTGAGATTGTCAGTTTGCTGAAATGACATAATCTTATAGAAAATCCAACAGTCTTCACCGAAAAACCGTTGGAACTAATAAATACAGTAATGTTGCAGGATCCAAAATCGACACACAAAATCAGTAGCATTTCTATACACTAACAACAAACTATCTGAAAACAAATCAAGAGAACAATCCCACTTACAAAGCTACAAAAAGAAATACTTAGGAATAAATTTAACCAAGGACTTGAAAGACCTGTACCAAAAACTATAAAATGTTGGTGAAATAAATTGAAGATGATACAAATAAGTGGAAAGAGTTCTTGTGTTTATGGGGTGGAAGAATCAATATTGTTAAAATGTCCACACTACCCAAAGTAATCTAAAGATTTAGTGCAATCCCTATCAAGATTCTAATGTCATTTTTATAGAAATAGAAAAAATAATCCTAAAATTCATACAAAACCACAAACACCCCCAAATGGCCAAGGCAATCAAGCAAAAAGAACAAGTCTGGAGATGCCACACTACTTGATTTCAAACTGTACTACAAAGCTATAACAAAACAGTACAGTACTGGCAAAAATAGACCCATTGACAAATGGAATAGAATAGGGAGTCCAGAAATGAACCCACACATGTACAATCAGTTGATTTTACAAAGGTTCCAAGAATACCCAATGGGAAAAGAATAGTCTCTCTAATAGGTGGTATTGGGAAAACTGGATATCCACATGCAGAAGAATGAAATTGAACTCTTATCTTACACCATATACAAAAATCAACCTAAAATAGATTAAGAGATGTGAATGTAGGACCTGAAACTATAAAACCACCAACCCCGTCTCTACTAAAAATACCAAAAAAAAAAAAAAAAAAAAAAAAAATTAGCCAGGTGTGGTGGCAGTTGCCTGTAGTCCCAGCTACTCGGGAGGCTGAGGCAGGAGAATGGTGTGAACCCGGGAGGCGGAGCTTGCAGTGAGCCGAGATCGTGTCACTGCGCTCCAGCCTGGGCAACAAAGAGAGACTCCATCTGAAAAAAAAAAAAAAAAAAGAAGAAGAAAACACATGAGGAAAACTACATGACATTGATCTGTGCAATGATTTTTTGGATTTGATCCAAAAAGCACAGGCAACAAAAGCAAAAACAGACAAATGGGATTACATCAAACTAAAAGGATTCTGCACCATAAAGGAAACAATTAACAGTGTTACAATTGGAAACAGTTAACTGCACCACAAAAGGGAACAATTAACAGGAAACAATGAACAGCAGAGACAACCTATAGATGGGGAGAAAATTTCTGCAACTTATACACCCAATAGAGAGTTAATCTCCAAAATATATAAGGAGCTCAAACAACTCAATTGTAAGAAAATAAAAACTGAATTAAAAAATAGGCAAGGGATCAAAATAGACATTTTTCAAGGAAGAACTGCAAATGGCCAAGAGACATATGAAAAATTGCTCAATATTGTTAATAGAGAAGTGCAAATTAAAACTACAACAAGAGATCACTACACTTTTCAGAATGAGTAGGATGGTAGTTACAGAGGCTGGGAAGGTGATGGTCAAAGTGTACAAAGTCTCAGAAGGAATATGGTCTTTTTTTTAGTTCTATTGCACAGCATGGTGAATACAGTTAATAGAGTATTACACATTTCAACATTGCTGAGAATAAATTCCAAATGTTCTCACCACAAAAATTTTAACCAGTTCAATTTAATTAACATTATATTCAGAAATCTTAATATCAGTTTGTACCCCCAATAAAAGTATGCAATTATATACTTTCAATTTCCATGCAAGAAAAAATAGTGGTGAGGTGGGTCACCAGTGTGAGGGTGGTAGAAGCAGCTATGGGCATAAATAAGATAGTGCAGGGAAAGCATATGAAGTGAAAAGGGAAAGAAGGACAGAATTCTGGCAAATAATAGCTTTTAAGGAAACTTGTTTTAGGGAGACAGAGTCTTGTTCTATTGCCCAGGCTCAGGTGATTCTCCTACCTCAGCCTCCTGAGTACCTGGGACTACAGGCATGCGCCACCACGCCCAGCTAATTTTTTGTTTGTTTGTTTGTTTGTTTTTGTTTTTTGTAGAGATGGGGTCTTCCTGAGTTGCCCAGGCTGGTCTTGAATTCCTGGGCTGAAACAATCCTCTTGCCTTGGCCTCCCAAAGTGCTGGGATTGCAGGCATGAGCCACAGTGCCTGGCCAGGAAGAGGAAACTTTTAAGTGAACAAAGCTAAGAAAATGAATGGCCATGGAAGGAGGCAAAGCAGAAAGTTTCAAAAGAGGAATGATCAATAGGATCACATATAACAGGGAAGTCTAGAGACTGAGAAGTGAATGTTGGATTTGGATATTAGACTATTGGTGACGTTAGCAAGAGAAATTTTAGCGGAGCTATGCGGGCCGAGGTCAGGCTGCCATTGGTCCAGAATAGTGAATTGTAATGAAGAAGTAGAAATTGAGCATTGATGACACTGATGACTCTTCCAAGAACCTAGACACAAGGTGATAAAAGTGGACAGAATTGAGGAAGACTTTTGTTTAAGATAGAATAGGCTTTGGCATGTTTATATGCTGAGGGATTAAAGATCAAAGAGGGCAAGGCTCAATACATAGGGAAGAATAGTGGATTACAGGAGACTGGGAACACAGAAGCCTGGGAGCTCTTGGAAAGAGGGGTAACACTTCCTCTGAACTAGAAGGGAGGTTAGGTACACACATATACAGGTAAGGGGAAATAGCAGTGGGAGCTTGAATAAAGATGTCTGATATTATAAACTTATGAAGCAATAACAATTATTTGTGGGGAAGAAAGAGTTGTCTAGGAGAGAGTCAAGAATAGTGGAATAGCCATTGTGGGTTGTGGAATAGCCATTGAAGATTTTGGAAATGAGGCTGCTCTTGGGGTGGTGGACCACAAATATCTAAAAGCTTTTATATTGTGGTTTTATTATTTTCTCTGATCTAACCCATAGACACAGTTAAAGGGCAGAGATGTGTGATAAGAGTCCAGATTCCAGGTTGGAGGTTTGTCAAGCAGGTGTGGCTAAAGGACTAGTGGTTAAGGGAGTTAATGGTCCTGGTGAGAACAGTGGGGATGATGCACCTTAAGTCTGGAAAGGCTAGGGAAGGAATTATGAAGTGTGGTGGGAGTGCTGTCTATCAGAGGAGGTTGTGGGGGCAGGCATGGTAATCTTGCACAAATACAAGGAATAAAGTAGTAAGGCTAGAGAAAGTTCTGAAAAAGGAAAATGAGAATTTAGGATCACAAAATTCTCTATTGTGAAATAGCCTGATGTGTAACCCTAGAAGCAAATGTTCAAAACTGAGTAGAGGGAAAAAGCTGTAAGCAATTATGGCAAGGGTATTGGGTGGGCTTTCCTCTATAAGCAATTATGGCAAGGGTATTGGGTGGGCTTTCCTCTAGAACACTGAAGTCATCCAGGATGATGGTGGGACATGAGGTAGAAGGAAACAGGGAGATTGGTACCCAAGACTGGGGAATCTGGGACATTAACTATAACCATGGCCACAAATGATAAAAGTTAAAATAGTTGGATCCATACATTTTGGTAATGAGGGATTTTTGTATGGGATGGGAAGAAACAATGGTGCAGAAGTAGAAGTGAGGACCTGGGAGAACATCCTCTGACCGTTCGTACAAGTCTGCATAATATGGGCGCATGGGCACATGTTCAGCCTTTTGTGGAGGGAAGGAAGTGTTCTCACACGAGTTTTCTTGAAGTCCAGGAAGTGGCAACAACATTCAGTGAAGAGACTGGGACTGCAGGGGAGTTTATAAGGAGAAAGTGACTCCAGAGAACATGGGAAAGACTGGAAGTGAGGGGAACTGTGTGTTGGACTGGGGTTGGGGGAAGTTCAGGAGAAAAACCAAAGAGTGTGCGGATCGGGGAGTATATAGGAGAAAAAGGCATTTAGGGCAGTAGTGAAGGATAGCAGGAGCAGGCCTGAGTAGTGTAAGGTTCTAAATAGAAAGTTGTTGCCAAAATGGTAGTGTTTTCTTCCCCTTGGCAATGAAAGGGGAAATATCACTACAAATGTTTCACTGCAAATATCACTAGGTTGTGAACCTAGGTTGTAGGATTGTTCACCTCCCCCTCCCCACCTTTGTGGTCATATATATAACAGGATATATGCCAGGACAACAAATGTTTGCCTTTCCCCCTAGAGCATCATTAACATAATTACTCAAATAAAAGAAGAGTCCCCTTTGATTGATTCAAGTAATAGAAAAGTTGAGTTCACATCTGTGCAGGTGGACCCATGTGCCTCCATAAGCTGTGGAGTTTTGAGAAGCAATGAGCTTTTATTCTTCTCATTTTTCATTATGATAGCCTGGACTTACGCGGGGTTTCCTGAGTGACATGACTATGTGTCTGCAACAGTAAAAGGGTGAAGTTGCAGACATCTGGCAATTATTAGTACGTAAAATAACAAAAACAAGAAAAATATACTGAAGCAAATCATCACGGACTTTTTCTGTGAGATCAAACATTGAAGTAACAAAAAATGACATCAAACAGAACAAACTAAAACAATGAACCTGGTGCATATAATCTACTTTTCTGATTATTGATTTTGGTGACCCCATGTCCTCCTCTAGCTCATAGTTCCATCATAAGCATTATATTTTATATCATTTATTAGAGTATTTATTTTTAAAGCATAAAAATCTGTTTTAATTACTTAAATGTCTCTATGGATAGTTTTAATATTTATATTTGTAATGAATAGAATTACATCTTGATTATGTCTTTGGAAACGTATTTGTAGAGCTTAAAACACAGCTGAAATCATGTGGCTTTCCAATAGACTCCTTTGAAAAAGTGCTTTACTTTGCAGAATTATAAGCCAGAAAGTACTATGACATTAAGTTATTGCAAAGCATTGTGATTTATCCAGTAAAATACATGGCTATGGACCTTGTAAGCTTCTTATATTTAGCTACGTCCCCCTTACCCTCACAGAAAAGTAATCTCTGCATTATTAATGTACCTCAAGATTACTAAATGATCTACACAGTAGCCAGCCAATCTGTGGTGGCCCCCAATTTTATGCTATCTGTACTGGCACTGATTTCAGGCAATCACCCTTCCACCATTGCCCCCTCCTCTCCATGCTTGGAAAGATGCTTGCTCCCTCTTCTGGCCTTGTTTTGCTAGGAAAGGTTTTGGTAGTAGAGCACATATTCTTTGTCATGCCACATTTTGAGCTGACCTTCCTGCCAGACATGTCTAAAATCATAGTCTTAGCAACACTTAACCCCAATTCATGTGGTCATCAGATTGGACTGGCCGTGGTAGAATGTGGCCCAAATAAATCCTGGTGGGACTGGACTTACTGAGAACTTCTCCCACTCTAATACTGGACAAAATAATTGTATGCTCCCCAGTATCTCTTCATGCAGGAATGGAAGGCCTGTGTAGACAAATGACTGTCCCATCCAATTTTAGCCAAATGTGATTATCATATGCCAAACACTGACAAGAACAATTTATCTTGAATTGAACAGTTTATCTTGGGCCTACTGCTTCATCATTAACTAGGAGTTAATCTGCTTTGTGATGACAGAAGTCTCTAAAATCCCCTTTTCAAGCACTATGGAATACTGATCTTACCTGGCTCATTTGCAGAGATCTCACACTTCACCAAACCAATTATGACCACACGAAACCTCCGAACCTAGTTGCCACTATTCTAGCCTAGTTGCCACTTTCCAGTTTTCTAAATCAAGCAAAGTTCTCAAATACCCGAGTGTCTCACTGGGATGTTCTATTGGATTTGCAATTGTGTTCAATTTGATTATTTGGAGTCAGTAGGTCACTTGAATACCGTCAACTATCCTATTAAAAGATGCTTGTTGCCACACTTTTTCCCCTTCTGCTTTTGTTTGGCAACTTAATGGTTCTCAACCTTGCTCCTGGTTGTTTATGGGGGTGTTTTATTTGCTGCCATCCCTCCCCCTTTTTCACTAGACTCTTGAATGATTTGGGAGTGCTAAGGTACCCAGTGCACTATTACTAAGCTCCCAATAAATATTTGCTAAGGATGATGATATTTACATTTTTAATGTCCTCAGAGTCTAGACTTTTGACTTGGACAATATTTTGAATTTTAGGGTTTAGATTAGGTTAGGTGTCTTAATGGGGTTCTTGTTCAGATTTCTTCATATTCCAAGTGTAGCAGAAAATATAGGTTACTATTTTCTTAAGCAACCACTAATGCTGAAAGAAAACGTCAGTACATGCATGCGTTTCACTGCAAATCCATCATTTAACATCAGCAACCCCCATTTTGAGGACTGATAGCTGATTTGAAGGAGCCCTTGAGAATTTGATTGCATAGCCCTTTCTAGGGCACCAGGTAAATCCTCCTAAACACAGCAGCTCCTGTTCTGTCCCTCTCCTGAATGGAAGCAGACTATCTGATTCCCATCCAGCCATTCTCAGGGAGTTCATTTTTCGGAGACTCAAATGAGTGGTGAAATAGGTAATCCCAGAGCATTTGGGGGAACAATTTGTGGGGGGGAGGAATATGAGTTTTCTTTCTTTAGAATGGAATTTCATCAGTGCCAGGCTAGCCCAGACCACAGGAAGTTTATGAAAGCCTTTGTGATGGCTGGCAGGCTGGGTGAGAGTCAAAGTGGAGGTCCACACTTGAGCAGCAGGACTCTGGCTGAGAAGGTGAGTCAGCTTCTAAGGCCTTTTGGACTTGACTAGCAAGGAAAGCTGAGAGTAGGGACTATCTCCACAGCTGTCAGTGTGTCTCATGATGACATCCCCAGAACTGTGTTCCTGAAGGTGATGCTATAAATGTCAGAGTCTAAAAGATCTTGCAACCATTTTATAAATCCACACAGGCATCTCAACCCTTAGAACTGAAGTCACTTGTTAATATGTAAATGGTGGCTTCTCAGTCTATCCCCAAATAAAAATAGATCTTATAAATGTTACCAAACAAACATTTAAAATAATCATAAAATAGTTTACATATTCATTATTTGGCTCAGAGTTCTGATGGTGAAGCAAAGTGCAGCTCTTTCCCTCCCTCGCATTCTAACTGGAACATGGTCCTTATCAGAGCGTCGACACCGCAGGAGCACTGAGGCTGACATAAAACCTGTCTGACACATTTTCTGATAAGGCAGGAATGTACTTTTCAGATCTCTTGAACATGGCCTTTCTCATCTGTCACCACTGTATTTCTTCACTTTGCTGGCCTGGGGAAAAATACTATATTCTAGGACTTTTTTCTTACAGGTTCATATCTCGTTGGCTGTTGGTTCAATGTCTTCCTCACCCAATGAGAAGGCCAAAACACTGATGAAAGGCCTTGCTCACTCAGTGCTCTCAGAAGGCAGAACTCATCAGCTGACTTGCCAGTCACCCTCGCCACAGACACTGGCTTAAAAGGTACAGAACAAGATTTCAAAACTGTTTGTAAGGCTTATTGGCGGGGAGGGAGGGAGGGAGAGGGAGGAGAGAGATAGAGAGACAGAGAGAGAGAGGAATATATATCTGTTGCAGGGCATCAGCTCCCAATTTCTCATTGGAGGAGGTAACTTCATCTCAGCCCCCACTAAGCCCAGAACCAGCCTTGGTTGTGACGCCTACCCAGAGGTACTATCAGCCCTTAGAGAAATTTCTGCAATGACTGAGCTTCTGGGCAGAATTCAGCCAGGCTTGAACCTGAGAAGAGATGCCCTGTGAAGTCCTTTTTTGGGCAGCACCAAAAATCTGCCAGCAGGTATATTAGTTCTCCTTTCTCTCGCCAGCTGGAAAGGAAAGAACCATTGAAAGTTATAAATAATTGAAAAGAAAATCAGATTGGTTTATTGCTTCTGCTTGTATACAGAGTTGAAGAGCAAGTTTGAGTGAGTGCCTGGAGTGGGCGGTGGATGAGGGGAATTATGGAAGGGAGAGGGGTTCCTCAAGTCTGTTATTTTTTAAGAGATGGGGTCTCGCTGTGTTGCCCAGGCTGGTCTTGAACTCCTGGGCTCAAGCAATCCACCCATCTCAGCCTCCCAAAGTGTTGGGATTACAGATGTGAGGCACCGCACCTGGCCTCAAATCTGTTCTTGAGCAGTAGAGAGGAAAGGAGAAAGGAAGGGACCCACTGGCTAAAATAAAATACATTTTTAAGAAGGGCAACTCTCAGTGAGTGGTTGTGATGGCCGCCCTGCTAGGGCTCTTCCCTCGCCTCCTGGAGCTCCTCCCTTCATCCTCTCCTGTATTGCTGGGCCCAGCCTAGTGTGGAAGAAGAGTAAAGCTGAGCTAGAATATTTTCTGCTGGTGCCCCACCAATTTAAACACATTAAATTTGGAGTGTAGTTCTGCCTTTGTATGAGGCTTTTATCTATGGTGACATCCTGTTCTTGGACTCTGATACTGTAAAGAAAGCAGATGCCTTCACTTCACAATTGCATACCTAAATGAAGATTTAGTACATTTCATTATGGTAATCCTCAGCCCAGCCTCCACCCTGCGTAGCTACTGGATTTATAAATTACAGTCCAGTACAGTGGCAGTTGGAGTCCCAAATTACTAAAAGCCAGAGCCAGGAAATCTTCTTGGATTGTGCCAGTCTCAGAGTTTGCTCTTGATTCTGATTTTCTATGCTGGTATATGGAAATCATCTTGGACAGGTCTCCAGGGATTCCAGGGAAAGAGCATGGGTAAGAGTGGCTAAGCTCACCCACTTGGATATCTAAGTGCACGTTAGTTTGCATTTCCAAATCCGCTTCTAATTTGGATAGTACATTTTACAAAGCTTATTAGAAAACTGGTCTAAAAGAACACGTTTGAAAGAGCATTAAAAAGCATAAAGAGGAGGCCTTCTAACCCCAATAGCAACATTTTGAGGTTTGACACAGCAAGAGATTTTTCTTTCTTTCAAAGAACATTACTTCTTTCTTTCAAAGGACAGCCAGCTCTCAAGAGTAATAGATAATAGCAATAGGGGAGCAATCTGACTCACATACAAGCTCCAAAGTTCATTGGAGGCAAGCATTCCATCCTCTCCCCTTACCTAACCTTCTCTCACTTGCTCACATAGACTTAACTAAATTTCATCTCTCGTTTTTCCCTTGACCACTCTTCTAGCAAATGGACTAATTAATAAGTGGTCAAAAGGCTGAAGAAAGAGAAGTCAGAGGCCACAATAGGCCCAAACTTGATAACGTGTGCCTGGAATATGGCAAGCTGGCCCTGTAATAACTTCCAGATGAATCACGGTTTTTTTCAGACACCAGCAGGTGAACCGAAATCATTCTATTTGCCTCCCACTTCTTCCATCCAGAATTACTGATCTCCGCTGAGGCTGGTAAAAACAGCTGGTTGAGGTCTCTAGTCTCTGGCCATTCTTAGGGATGGTCATTTTATTCCTAAGTGTAACCCCTTCTGGTGTGACCCATGTGTTTTCTGCCAACTCTCCACAAAGAAGGCCAGGGGAAACTGTCTGGGTGGGACTTCTGATAGGGGACAGCAGGACCTTGGAATCTGTCACTGTGGATGAAGGGGGCAGGTGGTCCATAATGGGGAAAGGAGGACTGAATAAGATTAGGCTCTGAGGTCTTCCTGGCCTTGACCTGTGGAAAGGCTTAGAACCCCCAGATGGTCGCTCTAGTTTTGAAGAAAGAAGGTTGTCCCCAGATGGCTCTGTCTCTGACATGCGCTTTCTGCATTGCACTACTGCATCCTGGGTGGAGAGCAGGTTAGACGAGCCTGGTTCTGGAGAAAGGGTAGGTCCCTCGCACATGCAGGGTGCAGTGGCATCCACTGGTGAGGACTTAATGGCTCCGGGATCTTGCTTTGGTTTTTCTTCCTTTGAGCTTTCCAGGGAGGAGGGAGAATCATCTTTGGCAGGTTTCTGAGTGGTCCCACTGGTTGAGCTGGGTCCCTCCTGGCTCCTCTCCAGAGGCTGAACCCCATTCTCCCCTGAGCTCTGAGAGGGCAGGGGCTGTGGGATCTGGGTGTACTGAATCTTGGGAGGGATGACTGGGACCGCCCTGGCCTGGCACATTTTGACCATGAAGGAGGTTCTCACAGCTGACACACTCACAGGAGCTGAGTTACGGCGGCCTGTCAGTGCATGAGCAACAATGTCCAGGTCCTGGGGGTCCTGGGAGTAAACCCTCCAGGGGTCTGCTTTACAGTAAGATGAGGTCATCCATGTGACCTTTGGGTCTCCTGGCTCAGAGACCTGCATTCCAGGTGAACTAAATGAGGCCACATTCTCAAACCAGAAGAGGTCAGCAATGGGAATGGCAGGGTCCAAGTTGAGGGAAGAAGGCCTGTTTTTCCCTTTTGGGGGCCCACACTCTGTGCTCTTTAGCTGTAACTTTGCGGGGTGCTCTCCAGGCGAAGTGCTGTCCTGCACGCTGGGTGAACTCTCCTTGCTGCTCTCTGGCCCAGGAACACCACCTTGCCTAATCTGTGGACTGCTGTGCCCCAGGTGTGTCCCTAGCTCCTTTCCCTCTGCTAGGCTGATGGGGCTGGTTTCTGCTGGGTTGGGTTGCACACCACTTGGTCCCTTCTGGTTGGGAGGAGCCTCTGCCCCTTTCAGGCCAGAGAACTCTCTGAAGGACCTCAGGGCTTTCTCATCCCATCCAGTAATCTCTCTCCTGGGTGCCTGGGGCTGAAGAGGGTCAGAATTCCTCTCTGTTTCAAGATTAGCACAGCTGCTGGAGGAGGGAACCTCGAGAGTCCACTGGCTTTTAACCGTGGGTTTGCTATCTAGAGAATGGCTCTGGCGAAGGCTGGGCCTGTGGGAAAGCCTCTTCTCCAACTGGTGACCCTGAAGGCCCTGTACCTGGGCCTTGTGCGCGTCTTTCAGGGTGGGAGAGTGAAGGGGACTCGTCACCCACTGGGGTTCCTCCCAGGGCTCCACCATCTCCAGGCCATGCTGGGCAATGTCTGTCACAGTGTCATCTTCGTCACAGTCTGAAGGCTCCTGTACTGAATGGGTTACATCCTCCTCTTCTTGTGAGACGATCTCAACCTCCCTGGTTGGGCTTGGAAAACCACAGCCTTTCCCCTCAGAAGCAGCATTCTTTGAATTTTGCTTGTCACTGTGTCTTGGGGTTGCCTCCTCTCCCTGACAGAGGCTAGAGATCTCAGGGCTGTCTTGGGACTTCAGCTGGTCTATGTAGAGATCTGTCCTCAATTTCCTGGATGAGTCTTCTCTTTCCGGGCCGCCCTTTGAAAGCAGGACTGGAGTTGACTCCTCCAGAGGAGTTGGAGGGGGAGGAGCAGGTGGGAGTGGAGGAGACAGATTGCCTGGGCCTCCTACTTCCACTGTTGCTTGTGGAGATGCCTTCTCAAAAGGAACTATTTCCAGAGGAGCCAGGCTGGCGAGGTCTGGGTGCAGGCCCTGCTCAGGTTCCGGCTTCTCTCTGCTGGCTGCTGTGGAAGCCCCCTGTGTGCTCTGATTGGCTGGATCCCTAGTCCACACCTCCAGAGGGGTGGAGACTGGAGCAGGGAAGGAGCCACAAGGCAAGCTCCCAGGAGGCTCTGAGGGAATAAAGGGCCCCAGACTCGACTCGAGAATAGGCTGAATTGGGCTGGTCTTCAGAGCAGGAGGTGGCAACGATGAGAGCTCCTCCTCAGATTCAATGATTTTCAGCTCCTGTTGAATCTCAGGCCAGATCAGGGCATTGGCCAGATCATCTTCATCCTGAAAAACATCAATAAACTGATTGTCTTAGAACTAAGTACTCTGGGTGCTGACATCAGCGTTTCCAGTGAGAGGGAAGGGACTGACAGCACCAGCCTGTGCCAGTTCAGCAAATACAGGATGCAGCACCGATAATACCTGTGGCTATTTGAGTGCTCACCATGCACCATCACATACTTTAGCTGTATCTTGTGTAATTTTCCCAACTACTCTAGGAAATAAACACTACTATAATTACTCCCATTTTATAGATGAGAGGTGTAGGTTCAAATAGATTAAACAATTTATCTAAGTCATACAGCAGCACACCAGGATTGAAATCCAGTTCTGTCTACACCAGAACGTAAGTACCTAATCTGTATGCACTGTTGCCTTATAAAACAACAAAAACCCTGGTCTCATTTAACTTCAGGTTCATTAGAAGGCACACAAGAATGAGAGTCTTCCAGTGGAATGAAAATGTTAAGTCTTACCCTGACACCTGCTTTCCAAATAAGTAAATATCGTTCTTTTTTAATTTTCTTTTTTTTTTTTTTTTTGAGACAGAGTCTCGCGTTATCATCCAGGCTGGAGTGCAATGGTGTGATCTCAGCTCACTGCAACCCCTGTCTCCTGGGTTCACACGATTCTTCTGCCTCAGCCTCCCAAGTAGCTGGGATTACAGGTGCACACCACCACACCTGGCTAATTTTTTGTATTTTTAGTAGAGATGGGGTGTCACTATGTTGGCCAGACTGGTCTCAAACTCCTGACCTTGTGATCCACCCACCTTGGCCTCCCAAAGTGCTGGGATTAACAGGTGTGAGCCACCATGCCCGGCCTTTAATGTTATTTTTTTGAGACAGAGTCTCGCTCTATTGCCCTGGATGGAGTGCAGTGGCGTGATCTCAGCTCACTGCAGCCTCCACCTCCTGGGTTCAAGCAATTCTCCTGCCTCAGCCCCCCAAGTAGCTGGGATTACAGGCCTGTGCCACCCGGCTAATTTTTGTATTTTTAGTAGAGATGGGGTTTCACCATGTTGCTAGGCTGGTCTCAAACTCCTGGGCTCAAGTAATTTTCCCACCTAGGCCTCCAGAAGTGCTGGGATTACAGGTGTGAGCCACCACGCCCAGTCTCTTTTTTCTTATTACCAAGGAAATACATATTTCACATGGAAAAAAATATGAATACATATTAAAATAAAGGCAAATACAAAGACATCAAAATCATACATCCTTACTCCCCACAGATAACCACTGTTAACATGATGGGGATTTCTTTGTTGTGGTTTGTGGAACTGCCTACTCCTCCACCTTGCTTGCTGTCCTTGTCTCCCCTCAAGTCCAGCTTCCCTTTGTCCTTCTAGACTCCTCCCTTTCCCTACATAAGGCCCAAAGCTATAGACAGGAAAAGGATGGAAGGAGGCCTGCTCAGGGCCAGGACAACCAATTTCAATTTCTTTCTTTCTTTTCTTTTTTTTTTTTTGAGACAAAAGAGTTTCACTTTTGTCACCCAGGCTGGAGTGCAGTGGCATGATTTCGGCTCATTGCAACCTCCTCCTCCCGGGTTCAAGCGATTCTCCTGCCTCAGCCTCCCAAGTAGCTGGGATTACAGGCATGTGCCACCACACCCGGCTAATTTTGTATTTTTAGTAGAGATGGGGTTTCACCATGTTGGCCAGGCTGGTCACAAACTCCTGACCTCAGGTGATCCGCCCGCCTCAACCTCCCAAAGTGCTCAGAAAGGTGTGAGCCACCATGCCTGGCCCAATTTCTTTCATTTCTTGCCTCAAGGCCTAATTCTGTCCCAGGGCGAGGCAGCCGGGGGACGAATCTCCATCCTGGGATGGCACAGGCCTTTGTGAAAGTAATTTTTGCTGCTGACCTCTCGTCCCTTCTCACCTAGCTCTAATCACTTGTTGTTTCATATTACAGTTACTTTAATGCTTGTCTTATTATTCCCAATGGACTGTGAGCTTCTTGAGGTCAGGATTGTGTTTATTCATCTTTGATTCAACAAGGCCAAAAGGTGCCTGGTATACTGTGAATGGGGGCTCAATAAAGGGTCTGCTGAACTGTAATGGATTCAGTGTTTTCTTTTGGATTATTTCTTTCACATATCTCTGTGGGATTACTTTATCAAAATTAATCTGCTTCTACCACACTGCATTTATTTGTGAACATTTCTATTTTGCCTACTAGACTGTGCCCTCCTTCGGAGCGGGGACAGCTTCATCTCTTTACTCTCCTCAGCACCTACATTAACTGGGATATTACTAAGAAATCAATACTGAGAAACCATAAATTTAGATGAACAAATGAACATCTAAACTCCCTTCCACTTCACTCTGCCCTCTCAGTAAGTGGACCCACAGTGCATCTCTTTGCTCAAACCAGAAACCTATGAGGTGCCTTTGACGTTTCCTTCTTTCTCAGCCCTTATCTAATCCTTCAACAAGTCCTGTCCATTCTACCTTCTAAATAGTGATTGTAGCCCTTCATTTCTATCCCCATGGCCCCACACTAGTCTACACCTCCAGCTTTTCTCTCCTGGCTTACCACATACTCCCCTCCTGATGCATTCGTGCCTCCTTTCTTCAAGCCATTCTCCACACAGAATAGAATGACCCATTAAAGACAAAATTCTGAACACCTCATATGCTTTCCCATTGCCCTTAGGTTAAACCCCAAATCCCTTCCAAGAAGTCCTGGCTCCTGCATCCCCCTGAGTCTCACTTTCTCCAGCCCAGCTATCCCAGCCTTGCTCCCATTCCTTGAATGGGAATGCTCTTTTCTACCTTGGATTCATGGCACATCTTATTCTTTCTGCCTGGAGGTCTCTCCTTTCCTAGTCCACCCACTGCCCCTTTCTTCCATCTAAGTTATCTGCCTGAATATGCACTCTACAGAGAAGCTTTCCCCGACCCTTGTGGCATGCCTCCTCCCTCTGACTAGGTTGGGTCCTCTTGCTATGTGCTCCCATGCACTCCATGCTTCCATAGCACCCCAGGAATTACTTGTTCAATCTTTTCCCAACTAGGCTGTTAGCTCCAAGAAGGCAGGGATGGTTAAAGCCTTGTTCACTACAGTGATGCCAGTGCCTGGCACAAAGTTCATGTTAAATACATGTTTTGAATGAATGAATGAACTGATGCCTTTACTTGTTCCCTTGAATCCACCCGGTTCTCTTTCCAGCACTAACTTTACCTGCTTCTCAAAGCAATGCCATTCATTCCTACAGGGTCCTCCCTGTAATAATTCAATCAATCCCCATATGAATCTCTTCATCTTTCCCCTTCAACAAATGCCAATATATCTTATAGAGACCCTAGCTCAGCCATCCTGAGGCCTCCATGGCACTCCACTCTGCCCTAACTCCCAGCACATGGTTCTTTTGTGCACGTCCTGAAAATCAAGACTCTGGAAGCAAGTTCAAAGGCATCCTCCTTTCTGGTGCCCTCCTCTGGTCACAGAGCTGCCTCTCAAATGCAGGACTCCTCCTTGGGTATCCCTGGAAAACCTCCTCACACTTTCTATTGAAGGACATCCCATAAAAACCTTCTTGGAAAATTCCACCTCTAAAAAGTAGACAAGGTTTAGTCAGCTCCAGCATTGTATTTTAACTTCTCCAGAGCCCACGGAAGGAAAGAATGGATCCTGGAAATATTTATTGTTTTGGAAATAAGTGTAGACAACTGCCCATCCAGGATGTCCAGAAGAAGAAGGCTGGACTCTGTGACTGATCATGATATTTGGGACTGGGGTATGACAAGCAGGTCTTGTGCTGCTTCTGGGATTGAATGTCATTACATTCCAAAGACATGTTACTGGCTTATGGTGACCTCAGGTCAGGAATATTTAGAGTTGAGTCTGTATTAGGGAATCTGAACAGGATGTTTCCTCCCCATCACTGCAGGACTTCTGAAAAGTCCACTGCAAAACAAATCTCAGACCTTCATTACAAGTTTGTCTCTTAAAGTCCCTTTGGCAGAAACTGATTTTTCAAAAAAAAATTTTTTTTCAATTTACTTTAAATTGTACCAAGAGCCCTTGGGAAAAAATAACTCCACCTGGCTGGAGCAGGTGGAGAATGCACTTTACCATCTCATGGAGAAGCACAGCTTCGGCTCTGGCCCTGGGGCTCTCCTGCAGGGTGCTGGACTCCATCTCACCAGCCTCTCGTCCCTCCTCCACCACCTTCTCCGGATTTGGCCTCTTCTCTAATTCATTTAAATGTTGAGAGCTCAAGGAGCTTTCTGGGGTTTTCTTCTCCTCCAGGTGGGCGCCTGGCTCCTGGGACAGGCCTTTGCTGCATTCCACTGTCCCCGGTGCTTCAGGTACTGCCTTGGCATCCTCAAGACCTGCCTTCTTAGGTACAGAAGCTGCAGTGAAAATGAGAGTTATCAGTTAAAGGAGACTTCATTTCAAGAGAGACTCTTCCCAACACAGTCACTGTCCTGTCTCCTGGCCCTGTTTCAGAAGGATGGAGGGAATTCCCTCAGCTCACCGCCCCTTGCATTTACTCTTTTATCCTAGCAATGTCCTGGCCTGAGTTCCCAGAGTTACAGATTGTCAAAGAAGGAAGGGACCTCAAAGATCACCTAGTCCGGTGGTTCTCAACCAGGGACCATCTTGCTCCTACCGTTTTCTTCTTCCAGTGGACATTTGGCAATGTCTGGAGACATTTTTTTGGTTGCCACAACATTGGGGAGGGGTGAATGCTACTGGCATGTAGTGGTTAGAAGCCATGGATGCTGCTAAATATCCTCCACTGCACAGAACCTGCCCCACAACAAAGACTTATCCAGTCTAAAATGTCAGTAGTGCTGAAGTTGAGACACCGTGCTCTAGCCCAGTCTCTGACTTCTCAAATAACTAGTCAGACTTCGAGAAGTCTATCTAGGTGCCCAAGGTTACAAAAATCTATTATTCACATCTTGCTTCTTATAATTATGATTAACAGCTTCCTGTGTGACTCTTCCCAGGGGTTATCTCCTGTCAATTTGGATCTATCCAAAGTGATTAAGTTCTGTTCTTAAACATCTACGAGATCAGGAAGAAGCAGGCAGATCTCAAGTTTGGCCTCTATTGCTTTGCATGAAGGAAAGCCCCATTTCTTTGCATAAAGCTGTTTCCACACTCTGGATTAAAGACTGAGTGAGTACCCAGGACTGTGCTCGGCACATAGCAGGCCCTTAAGAAAAATTACCATTTACAGTGGTATTAAAGAAACCTGGGTTCAAATGCTAATTTCTCAATGAATCTTGTAATCTTGGTACAAAGGCATCATAAGACTTGCTTTTCAGGGCTGATGTGAGGATAAAGTAGACAATGGAGACAAAGCATATAGCAGTGTCTGGCACACAGCACAAGCTCAGAAAAGTTTGTTGGTTAAGATTGGTTAAGACCAAACCACTCATTGCCATTGTTTACACTGGTGTCTTCACTCTGAGGTGTCTCACCGCAAGGCCAGCCCAGCAACTCAGATCTAGTGACAGCATTCTGATGTCTGAACTAAAATGCTTCAGAATTCACAATAGTGGTATTTCCTTTTGCCCATCACTTTGCAGGCTTATTTCCTGAAATTCAGTTTTATCTTTGAATATGTAAAATATTTACAGAGTTCAAAAGTTAAAACTACAGGTCATTCCTTGGTATCCATGGGGCGACTGGTTCCAGGACCTCCCCCCAATACCAAAATCCATGTGTGCTCAAGTCCCTGATATAAAATGGCATACATAGTATTTGCATATAACCTATGCACATCTTTTTGTTTTCTAGGTTGCTTATATAATATGTAATATTATCTCTAGGTTGCTTATCTCTAGGTTGCTTATCTCTAGGTTGCTTGTAATATGTAATACACTGTAAATGCCATGCAAATAGCTGTTATACTGTATTGTTTAAGAAATAATGGCAAGAATAAAATCTGTACATGTTTAGTACAGATGCAATTTTTTATTCTGGAGAATTTTGATCTGTGATTGGTTCAATCCATGGATGTGGAACCTTTGACTGTCGAGGGCCCACTGTATATAAAAAGGCCCCTTCTTGCTGGCCCAGCCACATGTCTGCTACTCTACCAGTCCCCCTGCCAGGCCTTGCACTCTTCTGCTCTGGTCCTCCCTGTGGTTGGTTGCAATCTAACCCATTCTTCAAGACAAACCTAACAACACCTCTTTCAAGGCTTCCCAGACCAACCTCTCCTTGGTCACCCACCATGTGTTCATCCCTGTTGCTTCTGGTTTGTTCCACACTCCCACTGTCTCTTATAGATAACTACTTTTATTAGCTTATTGGTTTATTCTGCCAGAGTTTATTTTTGCATATGTAAACAGATACTTGCATATATTTTTGTTTCCCATCCTTAGTACACAAAATACACTATGTGATACAGATTGTTGTTTGCTTTACATTTTCTCACTTAACATATCTTGAACCAAGCCCATGCCATGTTAGTAGAGAGGGAGATCAGTCATTTTTTTTTCTTTTTTTCTTTATTTTTTTTTTCTTTCTTTCTTTTTTTTTTTCGAGATGGAGTCTTGCTCTGTCGCCCAGGCTGGAGTGCAGTGGTGCGATCTCAGCTTGCTGCAATCTCTGCCTCCTGGGTTCAAGTGATTCTCCTGCCTCAACTTCCCTAGTAGCTGGGACTACAGGTGCCTGCCACTGCACCTGTCTAATTTTTGTATTTTTTAGTAGAGACGGGGTTTCATCATGTTTGCCAGGCTGGTCTCAAACCCCTGACCTCAGGTGATCTGCCTACCCCGGCCTCCCAAAGTGCTGGGATTACAGATGTGAGCCATCGCGCCCAGCATGATCATTCTTTATGATGTGGCCTCATTTGGGTTTCCTTCAAAGCAGATCCTGAAATAGGGTCCTAGTAGCAGGTGGCTTATTTAGAAAGTGGTCCCAGGAAGAAGAAATGAGAAAGTGAGAGGGACGGAGGAAAAGTCAATAAAGAGTATTTTGTTGAGTTCATTCCCATTTTCAGCAACTGGGACTCAATCCCTGGTAACCCTAAGAAGCACTATGTAGAATGTGTCTTACAACAATCCCTCCAAACAATGAGAAGGTGTGTCATTTATCCACTGATTCCTGGCTTGTATTACTTGAGAGCTACCCCAGTTAATTCTCCATGCTTCTGGGCTGTCCCACGCAAAGGCTGAGTGAGCCAATCCCTTCATAAAATGCTCTGAGGCAGAAAACCAGAAACGCAAGGCAGACATCTGAGATAGGTGCCTTTCATGTGCACAGAAACTGTCCCCGACAGATTCGCTGGAGTTTGGGGGAATGTGGTGCAAGGCTCACAAAGCTATGGACTCTATAGAACTTCACTGTGTGGATGCACCCTAGTTATTCAACCAGACCCCTAAAGCGGGGCATTTGGGTTGTTTCCAGTCCTTTGCTATTACAAATAATGCCATGACGTGCAAACATCATTTTGTATTTATGCAACCATTTATTTAGGATAAATTCTTAGGAGTGAAACTTTTGGGTGAAAGGGTAAATGCATCCATAATTTTTAAATATATATTTTTTAACATTCTTCTAAATCTAGTAGTTGGAGGAACTTGCCAGTGTCCCTTTTTGTAGAGCTTCTTTCCATTGACCATGACCATTAATATGGACTCCTGTTTGAGGTGTGAAGGAAGGGCCCGTGCTAACCATGAGTTTGTACCTATCACTCACTCCCTTGCTGAAAACCCTCAATGGCTCCCTATTGCCTCCATTATGGCATGCAAAGCCCATCTCACTGTGGCCCAGCCACATGTCCTCTCTTCTCACACTCCCCTAACAGGCCTTGTTCTCCCCTGCTTTGGTCCTCCCAGTGATTCCAATTGAATCCATTCCTCAAGACATAAACCTAACAACATCTCTTTGTAGCTTTCCCATACCATGTCACTTAGCACTCAGTGTTATTATTTATGTGCTGCACAGTCCTCAGGTTACCATGATCTCTTTTCAGGTACATGGCTTCTATCCTTGGGTAAGTTCCTCAGAACAGAGGCAGTATCTATTCCTAAAAATTACCTGAAAATCTTCAACAAATTTTTGTTGGCTGACAGATTTGGTGGCTACTTGTAAACTACAAGAAATCTCTATAGCTCAAAAGGGAAGGGCATTGTCACGTTCCCAGCATGTGACACATTATACACAAAGCGGGTGACCATAGAGGCAGAGATTGATAATCGTTGCCCAATATCTATCCTCTTCTTTATTTGGAGCTAGAACCTCCCCCACCCCCCAGGTTTTAGCTGGGCACATGGTTTTCCATCTAGTGACATTCCTCAGCCTCCTGAGGGTAGTGTGGCTATGTGAAATATGTTTGGCAGATGGGAGGCAGTGGAAACGATGTGTGCAGCTTCTAGGTGACATCCTTAAGTGGAAGCTGCTTGGCTTCTTCCTCTAGCCCTTTCCCATGGGTGGGAATGTGACTGTGGGGGTGAGCCTACTCTGACCATGCAGACAAGGACAACACCCCTGGGTATGGCTGAAGGAGCCTGGAACCTCAGATCTCCTGCATCACAGTCACCTTATTCTGGACTTGTGTGTAAGATAGAAATAAACTTCTATCTTGTTTGAGCCGCTGTATTTTTTATTTTCTATATTATAGCAGCTTAGCCTGTACCTTAACTAATAGAATCAACTAATGAGTTTATAAGGTAGGCTTGCTCCTGATTAAAAAAAATAGGGCAAAACAAATTTTTGTAGGTGTTATAGAATCATATTTCAGATGCACTAAAATAGAACTAAGAGAATTCTATTGTAAGTTCTTTAGTAAAAGAATGGGGCAACTCCTAATATCTCTTAGGGAAATTCTGGATTTTCATTTATCAAGTTTCTGTAAAGCTATATGTTTATTCTGATCTTCCTTAACAAGCGTTTCTAGAAGGGGATGCAGAGAGTGTCGGTTGTAATTTTTAAACCAGCCCATAAGCTCATCCTTCACTTTCAGAAGGATTCGGTTTGTTGTCCTTTCTCCCCACCAGCTGAGGATGAGGTTAGCAGGACATGCTCTTGAATCAGGTAAAAGTCAGATAATCAACCATGATGATTACATTGATTAATCCTTCAATTTTTTCATTCAGAGTAATCAGTATTTACAATCATTTAACTTTAGTTAAAATGCACTACTTACTCGGTATCTCTACGCTTTGGGTCACACTGGAATTTCACTTAGATTGGCCAAAAGTGGGAGAGTTGGTTTGACCAGAGCAACTAAAAGTTTAATTGGGTAACCTGGAAAATTGCCTTTAATTCTTTTTCTTTTGCCCCCTGCTACTGCACAACAGAAAGAAAAATATTTAATTAATGAAGGTGAAGTTCTCCACATGGAATAATCATGGAAGAAGATAAGACACTGAAGTTAACCTCACCCCGTCAGAGAGCAGGGTGAGGGGACCTGTTGCCCCTGAGCCTCTCAGCAGCCCCCTTCCACCCTCAGTCTCAGATCTGGATGGCTGCCTTCCACAAGGCCCCTCTTTCTGCCCTGACTGCCCATTGGCCACAGGTAGGAAGGCAGGCTGGAGTCTCCATTAGTGTCTTTCCCAGACCAACTTAATACAAAATGTGTATTCTTATTTATAGAGAGGAGAGAGGGGGAAAAACGGATAACAGACTGTCTCTAAAAGACCCCATGGGGCCCAGAGACCTATTCTTCCAGAGAGGATAACAAATCTCACAAAAGCCTTTGGAAACACTGTTTTCCTCAAAGCCTTCACTCCCTCCCCTATCCCTCATCCTGCTGCCCATGACATCTTGCTGCCCATGACCCACACCAGCCCATGACATCGTTTTCCAGACAAGGCATCACTTGATACCCCGAGATTTGCTCATCTGCGTACCCATCCTGAAAGGAAATGGGAGGAAGGGACTAATATTTACTCACATCTTCTGTGAGCCAAACTATGGACAGGTATTTTATGGACATTTTCCCATTCAGACCTCACTACAGCCTTTGGGATAGGAGTCTCCCCAGCTTTGCAGATGAGAAACAGGCTCCAAAATTTCCCACTGCCAAACTGACAAAAAGCAGTAAAGCTAGCATCCGAATCAGCCCAGTTGGGTTCCAAAACCTACATACTTCCCACAACATGTAGCTGCTCAGAATGCCCTTTCTCTTCTTTTCTGCATGGAGAAACCCTACCCATTTATGAAGGCTCAGTCCAAATGTCACCTCTTCTAAATCTTCCTGGAATCCTCCTGAGAGGACTGTCTCTCCTTCATGCCCTTGCCATCTGTTAGGAACACCTCTTTCATGATGCTTTGGGTACCTAACCCCTCCCTAATTCCAAAAATCCTGAGGAGGCTCTTATGCTGCTTCCATAGGCTGACCCTGTGCTGAACTTCAGTGCAGAGTTTCAATTTCCCTTCTTAGTTTTTGAGCTCACTGTGGGGAAGGGATCATGTCTTAACAATCTTTTAACTCCACAGCCCATAGTGAACACAGGAGGGAGCGTGGTATAGTGTTACAAGCATGGATTTTTTTAAAGTCTGGATTAAAATCCTGGTGTTTCCACTTCCTTGCTATGAGTGATTCAGCAAATAAACCATTCCTCTTTAAGGAAATGGGGATAATAGTGACTATCTATATCATAGGATAGAGGGGAGAAATGAGATAATATTTGCAGGACACTTAGGAGAGTGCCTGACAACCTAATAGGTGCTGAAAATGACTAATATTAACGGAAAAGAAACATTCCTAAATCACAATAAACATTTGTTGGTTTGATTGTCAGCCACCCTTTCCTTTGGGGTTCTCCCTGCTTCCATTTTATGTGGCCCATGTTTGCTTGTTAATTAAAGAAACTCTCTTCACTCCAGACACACCCAGAGACTCAAGTCTGGCCAATCTCAGAACCCAATTAGCTGGAAACAGTGATTGGTCCAAGGCTGGGCATGGGACTCAGGCAGATCCAATCAGAATCCTTCCTGCATTTGATATCAGAAAATTGGGAGAGGGATGCTCTTTCTCGTTGCTAGGGTTGCTAGCCATGTTGTCTGCAAATATAAAGTAGAAATAAGGATGGGTGGATGGAAAGAGAAGGAGACTGGAAGAACTGAATCCCCAATTCCAGCTCTGCAGCTCTGCATTCCATTCTGTGAGTTTTTCTCCTGCCTTCTCACTCTGTGAGCAAATAAAATAATAATAGGTAATATTTATTATATACTTATTGTATGTAGACACTGTTCTGAGAGCTTCATATGTATTAAATAATTTAATATTTACAACAAACTTATGAAAAAGGTATTATTAACATAATTATTCCCATTTTACAGATTAAGAAACCGAGGCACAGAGTGGTTACATTAACCTGCTGAAGATCACGCAGTAAAATGGCAGAGCGTGGATTTGTACCCAATCGGGCTCTAGAGCCCACAGGCTTAACCACCGCACTATATTGCCTTGCAAACTCAAGCAAATTTAAGTCTGGTTTTTCTCTCTTGCAACGGAAAGATACCCTCTCTCCTCTACTTACCTGCAGAAGTCTCAGCTCCCAGCGGTTTCTCTTCTTCTGGCCAGCCTCCGCTCTCTGATCCATGAAAAGAAAACTCTTCCAGGCTGGAAAGAGACTGCAGCTCCTTCGGGGGTGTTCTGCACGGCGTGCTGTTGGTGCTGATGACTGCGGACACGCGGAGCGGCACAGATACCGCAAAGGGCTCGGAGATGTTCAGCGCCTTGCGCTGGTTACGCGGCGAGGGCTCCATCTGGAAGAGGCTGCTGGTGAAGACGGATTTGCTAGGGCTGTCGTTCGAAGTGTAGAACATACCCAACATCTTTGGGGCTGTTTGCTCGCTCTCCGGATCCTCAACAGGCCGGAAAACCTTCAGCTGTTCCGGTGGGGGCCGGGCCTGAGCGCCCTGGAGATGGCTGCGATCACTGCTCACATCAAAGCCACCCTCAGCCCCGGGAGGCATCCCCTCCTGGCCCCATTCGCCCTCCTGCTTGGTGAGGTCACATGAGCTGCCGGTGCCGGTGGAGTGCATCTTTGTTGCTGGAATGAAAAATCCACCGGTGGTAACTGTTCGATTGAAATTTCCCTTGGTTTCTTTTCCTAGTAAAAAGGAACAAGTGTATGGTCAGCAGCCGGGGCACACATACAATAGCAGGCCTTCCAGTAAGGGCAGGCACACGACATTTGAATACTAGAGAGGCACAGCATTCTAACAGGGGCATAACCGCCCAGATAAAGACAGGTAACATCTGGATGACAAAAGAGAAAGCACTTCCTCATATGCACAGAATTTCAGCATGATGCTTTGGTAGGTTCATTTGCTGTTGTGCCATACAGATCACTTTTAAACTTTGCAGGTAGAGCAGTTTTCAAAAAAAGATTACTGCTAAAGTTGCTAAACAGAGCCATCATCTACTAGGCATTAAATGTAGACCATGAAAAAATAAAGAGACAGATGGGAGGCGGTAGGATGATGTTTGCTCAAAATGAAGAAGACAAAAAGGAAAAATAAACAGAATCTTGTCTTATTTTAGAACTTTAAAACTTTTTGTTTTAAGTTTTCTCTGGCAGATGGACCCAGACAGGGGGGTTTGATTTCCCAGCAAGGAAACAAATGCTATTAACAACTAGACCTTCCCCACCTTTTCTCAGGCTTCTTCCTGTTGATTCAGAGGATGAGAAACTAGAAATGTAAATTAACTAACTGTTAGAAAGCACAGTTGTGAGGAGTGAATTTTTTTTTTTTTTTTTGAGATGGAGTACAGCTCTGTCGCCCAGGCTGGAGTGCAGTGTCGTGATCTCGGCTCACTGCAACCTCCACCTCCCGGGTTGAAGTGATTCTCCTGCCTCAACCTCCTGAGTAGCTGGGATTACAGGCACCTGCCACCGCGCCCGGCTAATTTTTGTATTTTTAGTAGAGAGGAGATCTCACCATGTTGGCCAGGCTGGTCTTGAACTCCTGACCTCAGGTGATCTGCCTGCCTCGGCCTCCCAAAGTGCTGGGATGACAGGCATGAGCCACTATGCCCAGACCAAGTTCTTGACTTAGAAATAAAGGCAAGGAAGAGAAAAGCCTACGTGGGAAGTAAATAAGCTTGGAGATGATACGCGAGTTGCCAGGAATCTAGAAAATAATTTCTAACTTGGTACTAAGCACTAAACTGGGCATCTTACATAACTGTATGCTTAAAATTCTTATGACCACCCTGTAAGGAAGTGTAATGATCTTTAACACATGAGGACATCGAGACTCAGCAGTTAGATGACCTAATACTCACATGCCATGTATATAAAAACCTATATGTTGAAATATTAACTCCTGCAAAACTGGGCAATAACTGCCAAGAAGTTTCCAAACCAAAGCAAATAGATGAATATAAAAGTAAGAAAATGCTGAAAGTATCGAGTTAACTTAAGAAGATCTCACTGAGTGTTATACAGGTTTAGAATTATTATTATTTTTTTTTTGAGACAGGCTGGAGTGCAGTGGCGCAATCTCAGCTCACTGCAATCTCTGCCTCCTGGGTTCAAACGATTCTCGTGCCTCAGCCTCTGCCTCCTGGGTTTAAGTGATTCTTGTGCCTCGGCTTCCTGAGTAGCTGGAATTATAGGCATGCACCACCACGCCTGGCTAATTTCTTGTATTTTTTTTAGTACAGAGAGGATTTCACCATGTTGGCCAGGCTGGTCTCGAACTCCTGGCCTCAAGTGATCCACCTGCCTCAGCCTCCCAAAGTGCTGGGATTACAGGCATGAGCCACCACACCCGGCCCGGGTTTAGAATTATTTTTAAAATGTTGTTCTAAAGATTTTCTGTATTGTTTTGGTCTGACCCATTTTTGAAAGAGAAAAATGTCTTGTATTAAAGGGGCTGGAAAGTCATGGGATAAGTATAGGGGAGTTTTAACAGTCTGTTGCCAGACAAGTCCTTTGCCTTGTAATTTGTAATGGTGCTTGTTGGTTACTTAACAGAAATAGAAGAGAGAGATACAGGCAAGTCAGCCCTGAAGGATACAGCTGTGAGAACAAATGTTATGTGTTATTTTGGTGGTCGGTGTTACCTCATGTGCAACTGTATACACGTCTACTCCAACAAAGGATATTGTGGTTTGCACATGGCTGATACATAGCTGGTGCCTAATTAATGTTTAATGATACATAATAAATGAATGAATAAATAGATACATGAATGAACCTACCAACTGAAAATCATGACTTGACACAAAAACTAGGAAGCGAAAGCATATGGAAACAGCCAAGTTCAAGATACATAGGCCTCTAGGCATAAAACCATAGGGCATAAACCAATGCTTGGCTCTTTCTTTCTGCCCAAAGGGGAAGACTCTTCTGCCTTAGGTTTCAGGTGTTGACCTTTTACCTGGTTCAGGTTTGAATGAAAAGTAGCCATGGACTTCAGCTGTGGCTAGAGGAAGGATGGGCAAAGAGGATGGCTCTTTAGGCCTAGCCCTGGAGTAAGGTAGGGGAGGTTATGGGGCTATGTGAACCCCTTGAGTTAGGGTAGGGTCAGTGAGGGATTTGGGACTAGGTAGTTGTGTGTGACTGTGACTATAGAGAAGCAGGCATGACAGCTTATAAAGGCAAGTGAGCTCCAGCCTCCTAGTTGTAATCTCCAACTCAGAAACTACTTGTAAAATCTTACCTTCCACAGGCACTGAACATAGTGAGTCCATGCTTTTAGCTGGTCGGATAGTAGCCTTTTCCACTAAAGACAAAAGAAAAAATATCCTTGATGAATGCATATTAACAGAAAGCATTCAGAAAAATAGGTCAGGCTGTTTAAGTACCCAAGACAAAATTCTTTAGGAAAGTTTTTCAAGTATAATTGATCCCCTTGGAAACATTCCTCTACTCCACCCTAGATGTTCCTACTTTCTTAATGCGACAGACCTAATAAACTCAGGGCAGTTATAGATCAAAGTTTTATTAATATTTTACAATAAAGGTAAATTGCAATTTTGTCAAATAGCTCATAGCAAATGAGGACTCCTGAGCTCAATTTTACTTTACAAAAAGTATTCAAGGATGAATCCAGGGGTAGAATCCATGAGGCTCCAGGGCATTCTTCGTATTCAGCAGGCCAGAGACCAGAGAGCTGAGACCACATCTCAGCTACTGCAAATTTGGTACAGCAGGTGAGAGGGCCCAAGGGAATTGGAGTTAGGTTTCTGCTGGATGCAGCTCTGTTCCTTGAGGCCTGCAGGCTGGGTGCTCCCCAGTGATCTCACCCATTAGCTTCACCCTGAACAGATTCCAGTAAAACCTTTTTTGCACACTTACTCTGTGACTGGGTATGCACCATGCATCTTTGTAAGCCACCTTAGCAGCTTTTTGGAAGAGTGTGGTTTAAATGAGTAAAAATTTATTCCAGGCATAGCATTACATAGATGCATTCACAAACACCATCTCTTTTCAGGGAACAGAACTGGCTGAAAGGTAGTTCCTTCTAGGTCGAGCTTGTCAGGAGGGGAAAGAGGGCACTTGGAAGCAGGAGGCCCAGGACTAGTAGCCCTTAAGGTAACTCTGAATTCAGAAACATCTGGGTTTGAATTCCAGCTCTGCCGCTTTTGGGCTGTGTGACCTCAGACAAGCAGCTAAACATTTTTTTAAATTTATTTTTATTTATTTATTTTTTTAAGACAGGGTCTTATTCTGTTGCCCAGGCTGGAGTGTGGTAGAGTGATCATAAGCTCACTACAGCCTCAACCTCCTGGGTTCAAGCAATCTTCCTGCCCTAGCTTCTGGAGTAGCTAGGACTATAGGCACACACCAACAAACCTGGCTAATTTAAAAAAATTTTTTAGAAACAGGGTCTCACTGTGTTGCCCAGGCTGGTCTCAAACTCCTAGACTCAAGCAATCCTTCTGCCTTGGCCTCCCAAAGTGACAGCTAAACTAAACTCCAGTTTTATCATGTGTAAAATGAGAAAAAATAGAGTTGTTGTGAGGATTAAATGGGTAATGGCTATAAGGTAATTATATTGTACTAATCTGCAATAGAGTAAGTACCCATTAAAAAGTAATAATTATTGATTGTTGTTGCTGCTATTCAGGATGGATCAGGGCTCAGCAACAAAAGGGAAGACAGGAGAAGGTTCTATGAGAAGCAGTTAGAGTTGGCTTTAACCAAAATTGAGCTGTAACTCAAGCTTGTTTTTGTCTCTTGTTTAAAGTTCCCCTGTTCTTCCTCCTTGATCCAAACCTGCTCCTTCTGGGAGGTTCTGAATTAGCCCCTTGGTCTCCCAGCTTGAGGCTTCTCTCTTTCTGGGGCCCACTGTGGGACGCCCAGCCACCTCCATGCAAATCCTTTGCAAAGGCAGAGATTGCCTTTCACCTCCTCACTTCCAATGTGCCCCAGAATTCTTATCCTTTGAAGATCTGCTATTTCCACAAATCTATAAATTGATTTACTGCCCTGAAACTACCTGGTCAGCATCCCTTTGTTTGTGTATTCTAGGACATGCACTGCCTTTGTTTTCCAGGAGCTGTATTTCTGGAATTTCTCTGGTTTCCACATGTCAACCTTGATAGGCAGTGACCAGGCGCCCCTGACTGTGTCACAGAGGCCGGGTAGCAGCTCTGTCTGTAGGTCCATCGGTGTCCACCTTTGGTGTTGAAGCCTCTTTCTCATGATGCAGTTCCTTGTGGCCTTGCGGAGCACAGCAGCACATCAGAGATGTGGCTTGGTGGACAGTCCCCAAGCATTCCCTGCCCTCCTTTCTGGAGATTAACTAAGAGCTCAGGCTCCTGTGGCCTATGACTATATTTATATTACATGTTTCTGTCTGGGACCTTGGCCTGGCCTCACAGAGGTGTACTCCCCAGTTTTCTGGCAGCCTTTGTGTCCTTGAGTCCTCCTCTCTTAGCTGCGTTACTCAGAGGTGAGCCTGGACCTGCTATAGCTGTATGGCTTTGAGATTTCTCTGCTCACAGTTCATTTTGGAGGGTTCTCTGAACTCTTCTTTCTCTTTAATAATGTACAAAAAACTTAAATGGAATCAATTAAAATACACATATCTGGAAGGCTCTAAAGTTTGTGCATCTTAATTCAGTTCTCCATTTTTTCCTATACTTTATTTCTTACCTGTTTCATTTTCTAGATATGGTTAAACACCCCCTCACCAACTCCTCCCCACCCAAAACAATCCCAATACTATTCATAGTGAATTAATTTTTTAAATGTCTTTATTTATGGAATTTTAAAGCATATATTTACATATGTTAATCCACTGGTTCCCCTTTTCACATGCATATTTCAACAGCAAGCTCACGTGCCACTTACAGAGACCACACTGGTGGATTACATTTGTTACAGGGTTCAATGGCCTAACTTTAATCACAGATTCCACTAAAGTTATGACCATAAAGCCTATTGGTCTTTATTTTCCAGAGTTGCCAGCAATATTCTTCTGGTAAAAAGAAACCACTTCAGGCAATAGTTAAGGCCACAGGGAGCCACTTATATTGACACTGACAGTTCTTGAATTTCACCGCTGCATCCAGTTAGTGAAGATCTGATTAGTTTGTTCATAAGATCATAAGCCAGTGACTTTCAACACTGACTGCATATCAGAATCACCTGGGGAGCTTTTAGAAAATTACCAATACTCAGACCTCACCACAGAACTTCTGAGGCAAAATTGCTATGGTGTGATCCACTCTGTGGGCGATTCTGAGGTCCAGGTGTGAGAAGCCCTGGCCTGTGAGTTTACCAACATTTGATCCAGTGCCTGGGAATTGTTCTTTTTGAAAACCACATGGGGGTGGAAATCTTCCTAAGATCAAAGCAAACCACTTATTTCCTTTTTGTTGTTTTGTTTTGTTATTTTTTGACTTTTCATTACTGGTGAACCTCTTTCATGGCTGTACCACTGATTCTGCAACTGAAATTCTCTCTTTGACGTGCTTAAGCAAATCTCTTTTCATAGATTAGGAGTTTCTGGTCAGGTACTCTTCTCCCCAGTTTCTCCCTTAAGAATCCTATTTTCTGATTTGCATCTGTCTTGCCATACTTGTGGCAACCTGTCCTCTTCATTCAGGCTATCTTTCCATTTTGTGTAAGCTGAGTTTTGCCATACGATGATTACAGATGCAGACCCAGAATCCATTTCCCTTCTGCCCTTCGCACATAGCTCTTGTACTTCTTGGGTGTAAGTCCCATTCCTCATGCAAGGGGTTGGCTCAGGATCCCAGGCTGAAGCCAATCAGCACAAGGCACACCATTGACAACAGGGACCGAACCATGTGGCTCAGTGAAGGATACCGAGACAAGGGGAATTTTGATGAGGCCTTCTGGAAAAGAAGGGTCCCTGCTCTTAGGAGCAAGCTACCAGAAATGTTCTTTCTCCCTCTGGACCTAGTGGGATAGTCAGAGGGAAAGCCTAGAACTACTACAGCCACTTTGCCACAGCAAAGGAAGCCAGTCTGGGGATGAAGCTGACCCAAAGGGGGACACAGCTGGGACAGCTGGGGAAAACATGGAGAAATCATGACAGAGCCCCTGTATTAAACCCCCTGAAGCCTTCCCTCTATCAGGGTGTTCAACTGCAGAAGCCAGTAAATTCCCTCACTGCATAAGTTGATTGAATTGATTTGCCATTATTTACAGCCTAAATCGTTGTAACTGCTGTACTGTGACACCCCTCCTTACTCTAACAGGCAAACACGAAGGTTTCTAACATCTGGACTTCCTGATCCTTGGCATGTGATTATCACCGGGTTTGAGGAAAGTCGTTAAAAATATTATCTCACATATTTCCTATAGGAATTAATTTTCCCCCAAATCTCTATTAAAAATTTCAAACATTTAGAAACCTACCACCCTTAAACTTACCACCTTAGTTTTGATAATTATTGACATTTTGCCATATATTTGCATTATCTATTTCTATATTGATATTTATCTACCTACCTATAATTTGCTAGTTATTTTAAAGTGTCAATATTTTGCTGCTTCATCCTTGAATACTTTAGTTTTAGTATATGTCTCCTAAGAACCATTAGCATACTATGAAAATTTATAATTCCTTAATATCATTTAATATCTTCTATATCCACATTTTCCCTCTTTGTTCCCCAAATTGTCTTTTGTTGTTTTTTCTTATTTTTGTTTTTTAGAGATGTGGTTTTGCTATGTTCCTCAGGCTGGTCTCGAACTCCTGGGCTCAAGTGATCTGCCCACCTCAGCTTCCCAAAGTGTTGGGATTACAGGCACGAACCACTGTGCTCGGTCAGCTCTTTTTTTTGTTTTTTTGGTTTTTTTTCCAGGATCCAGTCAAAGTTTGCTCACTGCATTTGTACATTTCTCTTTTACACCTTGGTTTCATAACTATTGCCTCCATTTTTATCATACTTTCAATCTATAACACTAAAGATCATTATGAAAAATTTCCTTGGTCTTCTCTTTCCTGACATAATATTCAGCTGCATTGGTTAAATTCCCCACTATATATGGTTCCCTCAGTTCCTTCCTGTATCAATTTCTATGCACTACTCAGAAATAAGTCCCATGGGGTAGCATCCTTCTTTAAAAATCACGACCCTGGGGGAGAAGGGACAGGTCTTTTCAGCAGAATTCCAATTAATAGAAAATCATCATTTAGCAAATGCCATAGGAATAATTGTTACATCCAAGAACCATCAGAGGATCCTAAAATTCATGACAAAGAGCACTTTAACCAAGGGATCACAGTTCTCTTCACACGCAATAAGATATTGACATCATGTACCTCCTAATATAACACACTGAGTCTGGCACAGGATCACTTCTGTAGGATTTCTGCAAAAATTCCTAACCTCAGTTTAACCATGAGAAAACACTGGACAAACTCTCCCTGAGGTATATTCTACTAAACAAATGGCCAGTACTCTTCCAAGTTATCACGGTCAAAAAGATGGAGGAATTGTCCTAGATTGGCAGAGGTTAAGGAAACATGACAACCAAATGTAGCGTGAGATCCTGGATTGGATCCTAGACCAGAAAAAGAACAGTAGTGGGACAGCTGGCCAAATGTGAATAAGATCTGCAAATTCATTAGGAGTATTGTATCAATATTAATTTTTGGCTTTGATAACTTATATAAGATGTTAACATTGGGAGAAGCTGCATGAAGGGTATACAGGTTCTCTGTGTACTATTTTTGCAATTTTTTTGGTAAGTCTAAAATGTTTTGAAAAAAGACTCCTCTTCCCCTAGTTAATTTATAAGTTTCTCTTTCAGAGCTAGTGTGTTTGATATGATCAAACCAAAGACTTAATAAGCAGAGTTAGGAAACAAATATTTGTATCATAAAACAATTGCTGTTGATTCTTACCCGAGAGCCTCTGTCCTCTCACAAATACACTCCCATTTCTACTCAGTTTTGATTTGGAGTCTGATCCAGAACGTCCCAGGTTAAATATTGATTTCCACTTCTTTGATTTACTGGAGAGCTTTCGCCTAAAAGAACCAAGGCATAAGGGGTTAGTTTGTTAACTTGTCATTTCAAGGGGACTTTTAAATTGAGACCAAATATTCCAGTTATGTCCTCAGTTATGAATGGCTCTGATATTTCAAGAAATTCCCCTCTAAAATCCAAGGTAAGCTTGATTCTCACCTTGTCTAGAGATGCCCCAGGTGACCAAGCAAGGCTTTCATGAGTCACAGCAAACTGTATTTCCCAGGGCAAGAGGTAAAGGTGTGCTATTAAAGGCAGAGGTGGGGGCAAACAGATGCAAGAATCGGTAGGAATCTCAGTGGTCACAAGCAAACACACAATTCTGGGAATTCTGATAAGCACTTTTGTTCTGGAATTTCAAAGACACCATTCATTCATTTTATTCATTTATAGAGATGGGGGTCTCACTATCTTGCCCAGGCTGGCCTTGAACACTTGGACTCAAACCATCCTCTCGCTTCAGCCTCCCAAGTGCTGGGATGACAGTACTGGGCCACCCACCACACATGGCCAGTTTTTATACAGGAGTAAACACTAAAGACCATATGCACCTAGGTCCTGTTGGGCTCCTGCACTACAGCCACACTGCTGGGACATCCACAGGCAAAGAGAGGGCTGGTGAAGACTTTCACGGACTGAAAAGGGTTGGATGAGAAATCCGACCTGGAAAAGAGTCTGGCCTGGTGAGGCTGAGGAGAGTAGCAGCCTGCAGTGTGTGGTCAATGATCACTGCAGAGAAACGCAGAGGGTAGTCAGTGTGTCTCTGGCTTAGCCTCACACCAGGCTGCTTTGGTGAGATGGGGAAAGAGGAGCACTAGGCTGCGTCGAGACAGCCTGGCACCCCAGGGGTCACCATGGAGGCCTTGCCCTGCTGTGGCTCTGCCCAGCCATTGGAATGTATGAAGTTTCAGGATGAAAACCTGCAATCTGTGGGTCCCACAAAGGACCTATTCTCCGCAGGGCTCTCGTGGAACATCCAGATCTCAAGCCCACCATGTTTGTTGTTGTTGTTGTTGTTGTTGAGACAGGGTCTCGCTCTGTTACCCAGGCTGGAGTTCAGTGGTGCAAACAAGGCTTACTGCAGTCTTGACCTCTTGGGCTCAAGCAATCCTCCTGCCTCGGCCTCCCGAGTAGCTGGGACTACAGGCACATGCCACCACACCCGGCTGATATTTTTATATTTTGTAAAGACTGGGTTTCACCATGTTGCCCAGGCTGGTCTCAAACTCCTGGGCTCAAACGATCCTCCCACCTTAGCCTCCCAAAGTGCTGGGATTACAGGTGTGAGTCATCATACCTGGACCCAGGATGTTTTTATGATCCATCTGAGATAGCTTTGCAGTGCTTGGTGGTTTCCTCTGGACTTGGCCCACATTTTGTCAAGCTTTTATCCTTGGGTAATATTTTATAGGGTAGCGTACCTTTGGGTATGGTGCACCCGAGATGTGGTTGAAAGCACAGAGAAAATGCATTTGGTAGTCTTTCCAAGGTATTCTTCCTGATCTCTGGAGGATCAGGGAGAAATGAGACTTATTCTCCAGGGACTTAGGGAAAGGAGCAGTGGGGCTGAGTCTCAAGAAAACACGATCCATATATTTTCCAGCACACAGATGGGTTTCTCACCAGGTGAGTTCCAGATATGCCATTCCTATAGCATGCAGCATGACTGGCATCTCCTAGTTGTGCAAGGTGGCAGCCTGTGCAAGAGGTGCCTGTTTTCATACCTGTTTTCACTGACCAAAGAGTGGGAATGACACCTTCAATGGAAAGGTTGCCTTTCAGCCCCTCCACCTACAATCTGCTTAGAATTTAGGACTCCTGTTCAATCCCCGCTTCTTTCTACTATGGGATATGAGTGACGGCGGGGGGGAGGGGGGGGTAGAGACCCAGGTGGCAACAGAAGAAGTGACAGGGAGAAATGAGGAAAGAAAATATTCTACCAATGAAAACAATGCTTGATTTATTTTGGAGATGAGGGAAGGCTCTGACAGACTCTGACAAGGATGCCAGGTTTGCATGTCCCCAACTGCTGCTCACCCAGAGCTATCAGCCTAGTGACACCATTTGTCAACCCTATGCTTTTTGTATCGTCACGTGGGGATGGAGGGTCGGGGAGGGGGTCGAAGTTTTGTTTTTAGTAAACTTCCTTTTGTAAACACCAAGCCTGATTTGTCTACACTAAAAAGACAGGAATTTCAGTCATGACTTGTGATGTGACCCCTATAATACTCTCCCAAAATGGTGCTTGATCAATGGGAGATCAGGGGTCTTGTTAACTTTGGGGCAGTGCATGCATAAAGGCATCAACTGCTGGTGAGAGAGTTGTAGAGACAGCTCCCTTCTCTTCTGGAATGTTTCCTTAAACCCCAACCCAGACGGTACCTCCAACCCACACTGCCATCTTGGTCCTGAGACTGTATACCTCTCCTCCTCTTTCCTCTTCAACCACACATCTCCTAGAATTTTTTAAAAGAGTGCCACTTACTTGTTGTCTGGTAACTCAAGGACAGTGTGGAAGAGGGTGCCCATGGGAGGGACAATCTCAGGCAGGCTGTTCTCCCTCCTTTCCTTGCGAGCAGGATGGTTAGTGGCCAGGCTGCGGGCTTGAGCTTCCTCAAGGCTCACCAGCTTCATGGGCAGGGAGAGGGCTGGCAAGGTCAGGCTCTTCATGATGGGCCGGTTTTCTGTAAAGGCAATGGAAGAGCTCAGTGTTGGAGGAGGCCTGCCCATCACATCCATCCAGATTCCCCATCCACAGTCCCTCCATTCTTGATCCTATGATGGGGGCTGAGTGCCACCCTGGCTTCTCTTGGGCATGGTGGGGCCTGGGGCTGAGGCTGCACACCGGAAACTGATGACTGTCCTGGCCAGACCTGCCAGAGGACAAACAGGGGCTTCAGGAGGTAGCTGCACCTTCCATACTTTTCAGAGAGGGACCACTCACTCATCCATTCATTCATTCCTATAACAAACATTTATTGAACACTCACTGTGAGCCAGAGTGACAACAATGAGTCTTTACTCCTGAAAACTCTGCCCAGTGCTTCGGCCAGATGGGAATATGTCTGTCCAGCCACAGAGATAGCCTAACTGCCAGAGTAGGGCAGGAGGCTGCCTCTCCTCCCCACAGCTGGACAGCACATGCTCCAAGGCCATTTCAAGTTAGAACCTCTACTTTTCAGATCATCTAGGCTTATATCCCTGCCACAGGAAGATATTTTACAGCCTATACTATTTCCTGTGGTTTTTTTACTCACTACCCAGTTGTCTCCTAGTGTATGTAGCTGATCCTTTCCTATTCTATGGCATTTTTTTTTTTAAAGAATGGAAGTGATGATGACAATCGCTGATGCACAGGATTATCTCTTTTCTCCAAGTCAGTGGTTCTCACCTTGAGGTGATTTTGTGTACCACTCCCCTCCACACCCAGGGACATCTGGCAATGTCTGGAGATATTTTTGATGGTCATCAATGTGTGTGGCAGTGCTACTGGTGTCTAGTAGGCAAAGGCCAGGGATGCTGTTAAGCGTCCTGCAATGCACAGAGCAGTGCCTCACAATAAGAATCATCCAGCACTCAATATCAATAGTGCTGAGGTTGTGAAGCTGATCTAAGTTAAAAAATAGTCTAAGTTTGCTTCTATTTAGTTTTTGGTGACCTTGCCAGTTTTCTATGACTTCTGAAATAGTAAAAAGACTCAAGGATAATTTAGACCAATTGAAATTACTTTTGGTGGAGGACTCACTGTATTTTCAGAAAGCAGATTGATGGCACTATTTCTCTTTGCAGAGCATGACCCTCTGTGGGTGGGAAGAAGTAAAACCATTGAAAAAGGGCCTCACAGAAAATGAAGACAACTGTTATGTGACAATGGGGTGTTTCTGGGGAGGACTAGCATGGATGGCACTAATTCAGTAGGACTACTGTTAAATATAGCCTGGGATCCTGAAAACTTTTCAGTAAACTTTCTGACTTTAACACAGTCTTTTGACCCGATCCAAAGAGGGTTAAAAATATTTAAATTTAATCTACTTTGAATATTTGTTCAAAGACTCTCACATATTCTAGATTATTTGTGATTATGTATTTGCTTAAAAATACATAAAAATAAATACATACATTAACTCACTCTGGGAGCAACTGCAACAATGGGAAGAACATAAACTGCAGGGTCAGAAGACCAAGTTTAGTGCCCACCTCTCCTGTCAGCTCCAGGCTCCTAGGACTAAGGCCCGCTTAGTGTCTCTGATTAGATGGTTTTTTTTGTTTGTTTGTTAGTTGGTTAAGTTTTTGTTTTTTTGTTTTTTTTAAACGGAGTCTCGCTCTGTCGCCCAGGCTGGACTGCAGTGGTGCAATCTCGGCTCACTGCAACCTCCGACTCCTGGGTTCAAGTGATTCTCCTGCCTCAGCCTCCTGAGTAGCTGGGACTACAGGCACCCACCGCCATGCCAAGCTAATTTTTTGTATTTTCTAAAATAGTAATGGGGTTTCTCCATGTTGGCCAGACTGGTCTCGAACTCCTGACCTCAAGTGGTTTGCCCGCCTCAGCCTCCCAAAATGCTGGGATTGCAGGTGTGAGCCACCGCGCCTGGCCCCTGCTTAGGCATCTCTAACTTTACATTTTGTAACAGAGCTTGCGATCTGTGCTCCTCTGCTCTACTGTGGTACCTCCTCTCATCTTCTTTGTGTCAGTAGGTGGCACCACGGACCACCCAGTGCCCAAGCTAAAGCCTGGGGTTGTTATTTCTTATTTATTCTTTTCCTTAATGCATCTCTCCTTCCATAGACAGCCTATAAGCAAGGCTCGTAACTCTACCTCCAAAATACATCCGGAACCCAGCCACTTTCCTCCTTCCCACTGCTAAGATGCTGGTAGAGGCTGCCATGATTTCCCATCTGCTTTTGCCATAGCTTCTTAACTGGTCTCCCCGCTTCCAGCCTCTCAGCCTCTCCTCCACACAGGAGCTGGAAGGCTTAGATCCTGCACTGGCCTGCTCAAAACCCTCCAATGCTTTCCCAAGGCACTGAGAACAAACCCGTCTCTTCGCATGACCTAAAAGGATATTTCATCTGCTTCCCCTTTCCTGTTTGCCCACTGGCCCAGTAGTCTACAAAAATATAGCAAACATTTTAAAATGTGTACATATATATATATATATAAAAATTATACATATACATATTATATGTATACATATATGCCACTGTGTGTCATGCGTAATAGCAAATATATAAAAAAAATAGAAATTACACAGTATAAGACAAAAATAAATGGAAAACAGAAATTTGAACAGTTTCTCCCAACACCCATAACTCATTACTTTGGTCTTTGGTACCCACCAGAGTGGGGCACCCCACTTTGAAGGCCACATTGGTTCCAGCCACATTGGCCAATGTTCTGCAACACTTCAAGCTTTCTGCCTCAGAGCTTTTACAACCTCTGTTCTCTGTCTTTGGAACATTTGCTCATAGATCCTCACATGCCTGGTTCCCCATGTCATTCAGGTCTCACTTCAAAGATCACTTCTCTAGAAACCTTGACCACTCTGTCCCAAAATTATACCCCCAAGTCACTGACTATTGCCTTACTCTGCTATGTTTTCTTCTTGGTATTTATTGTCTTTGAAGTGATAATATATTTATTTGTAAACTTATATATCCTTGTCTTCCCAACCAGACCATAGTTCTATGCCACGGAGTTTCTGTCATTTTGGGCACTGATGTGTCTCCAGTGTCTAGAACAGCACCTAGTTCATAGGAGATATTCAATACACATTTATTTTTTAGTGAATATTAGAGATATCACAATCTCTTTGGCCTCAGTGTTCTCATCTATCAAATAAAAGTATTGGATTCAATGCCTTCTGCTATGCTGTGAATGTTTCTGTCCCCTCAAAATTCATATGTTAAAATAGAATCCTCAAAGCTGTGGGCGGCAAGCCACCCAGGCACCGAGGCAAGAGACAGAGGACACGAGCTGTTCCAGTATAATAAAATATAAAACAAGAATAGTTATACCAGATATAGATCTTAGATATGATTATATATGAATATCATTAATCATTAGTTTGTAGCAATTACTTTTTATTCCAATATTATAATAATCCTCGCTCTATAATCATAGCCTAGGAAAAACCAGGCCATATAGAGATAGGAGCTGAGGGGACATAGTGAGGTGTGACCAGAAGACAAGAGTGCGAGCCTTCTGTTATGCCCGGACAGGGCCAGCAGAAGGGCTCCTTGGTCTAGCGGTGAAGCCAGCGTCTGGGAAGACGCCCGTTACCAGGCGGACTGTGGTCCAGCGGTAGCAAAAGGTGTCAAGGAACAACACCCACTACTTAGCAGACCGGGAAAGGGGGGTCTCCCTTTCCCCGGGGGAGTTTAGAGAAGACCCTGCTCCTCCACCTCCTGTGGAGGGCCTGACATCAGTCAGGCTCGCCCGCAGTTATCTGGAGGCCTAACCATCTCCCTGTGATGCTGTGCTTCAGTGGTCACACTCCTAGTCTGCCTTCATGTTCCATCCTGTACACCTGGCTCTGCCTTCTAGATAGCAGTAGTAAATTAGTGAAAATACTAATAGTCCCTGATATGCAGAAATAATGGCATAAGCTGTCTCTCTGTCTCCTCTCCTTCTCTGTCTCAGCTGCCAGGCAGGGAAGGGCCCCCTGTCCAGTGGACACGTGACCCACGTGACCTTACCTATCGTTGGAGGTGACTCACATTCTTTACCCTGCTCCTTCTGCCTTGTATCCAATAAATAACAGCGCAGCCCGACATTTGGGGCCACTACTGGTCTCCGCACATTGGTGGTAGTGGTCCCCCGGGCCCAACTGTCTTTTCTCTTATCCCTTTGTCTTGTGTCTTTATTTCTACACTCTCTCGTCGCCGCACACAGGGAGAGACCCACTGACCCTGTAGGGCTGGTCCCTACAAAAGCAATAGAATTAAGAGGTGAGGTCTTTAGGAGGTGATTAGGTCATGAGGGTGGAGCCCTAATGAATGGGATTAGTAATCTTATAAAAGAGGCCCAAGGGAGCTTGTTTCACCTTTCCCCATGTGAGAACACAGTGAGAAGGTGCTGACTGTGGTGTATGGGCCCTCACCAGACACTGAATCTACCGGCCCTTGGATCTTGAAATTCCCAGCCTCCAGAAGTGAGAGAAATAGGTTTATTGCTTATAAGCTAACCAGTTCATGGTATTTTTTTTATAGCAGCCCAAATGGACTAAGAAAACTTCTAAAATCTTTTCAGTTTGAAGCAGAACTCTGTCCAAATCTAAAATTCCAGAGAATAGGGCTTATTCCATTTTGTGTAAATATTAAGTATGGCAATTTATTGAAGTCAGTAAGAATTTATAATAAGAACCTTTAAATGAAATGTATGTGAATAATAAGCACTGGAGGCAATGAAGAGTTAAAGGCTAAAGAGTAAACTGGATTTTAATATGCAGGACAAAAAGATGGTTAAGGCAATAGCCATAAAGAGAAAAGGCATTTTCAGGTTGGAATTAGGAACAGCCTTAACATTAACAGTCATGGATGGGATTTGCTGTCCAGAAGAACATTTCCCAAAAACCCTAGTTCTCCACAATGATTTAGTTATCTATTTTCATATTCTTTTCCTCACAGAGGCAGAATAGAGTTAAGGAAAGAGCATGGGCTAAAAGATTTGGGTTCAGTAGTCCACACGCAGCGAATTACTTACTAGGTGGCTTTGGGAAGTTACTAAGCTATTCTGGTTCTCTGGTTCTTCATGTATAAAATAAGGTTGATAACAACTTTATCATGTTTGCTGTAATAAATCAATGAAATGCTGCATGTGGAATACCTACAACAGTTCCTGCTGTAGAGTAAATCCCCAATAAATTTTTTGTGGGCTCAAAAGGGTGAATGAATAAATGTATGCATATTACTTCTCTTTTACTTTCAAAAAGGTTTTTATATAGTTTAAAAGAAAAAAATCTATAACTGGAGAGTTGAAATAAAAAAGAAAGGCCAGCCACTCCTACATATATAATAAAGAGAATTGAAAACGTATATTCAAACAAAAACGTGTATGTGAATGTTCACAGCAGCATTATACATAATCACAAAAAGCAGAAACAACCCAAACTAAGGAATGGATAAAAATGTGGTATATCTATACAACTGAATCTTATTCAGCCATAAGAAGGAATGAAGTACTGATATATACAACAAGATTGGTAAACCTTGAAAACATATGCTAAGAAAAAAAAAACAGTCAGCTAGGCACAGTGGTTCACACCTGTAATCCTAGCACTTTGGGAAGCCAAGGCAGGCAGATCACTTGAGGTCAGGAGTTTGAGACCAGCCTGGACAACATGGTGAAATCCCTTCTCTACTACAAATACAAAAAAAATTAGCCAGGTGTGGTGTTGGGCACCTGTAATCCCAGCTACTCAGGAGGTTGAGGCAGGAGAATGGCTTGAATCTGGGAGGCAGAGGTTGCAGTGAGCCAAGATCACGCCACTGCACTCCAGCCTGGGCAACAGAGTGAGACTCCATCCAAAAAAAAAAAAAAAGTCACCAAAGACCATATATGGCATGATTCCATTTATATGAAATGTCCAGAAAAGGCAAATCCATACAACTAGAAAGTAGATTAGTGGTTGCCAGGGCCTGTGGGGGAGGAAAATGTGGAGTGATTGCTTAATGAGCATGGGGTTTGTTATGGTTTGAATGTGTCCCCCAAAGTTCATGTGTTGGGAACTTGATCCCCAATGCAACACTGTTGTGAGGTGCGACCTTTATGAGGTGATCAGGTCATGAGGGATCTGCCCTTCTAAGTGGATTCATGTCATTATTGCAGGAGTGAGTTCATTATTGTAGGAGTGGGTTTGTTATAAAACCAAGTTCAGCCCTCATTCTCACACTCTCTTGACTTTCCATCTCTCACCATAGGAGGACGCAGAAAGAAGGTAAGGCCCTCACCAGGTGCTAGCCCCTTGATTCTGGACTTCCCAGCCTCTGGAACCATGAGAAATAAATTCCCTTTCATTGCAAATTACCCAGTCTACGGTATTCTGTTATAGCAGAACAAAACGGACTAAGACAGGTTTCTTTTTGGACTGATGAAAATAGTATGGCATTAGACAGCGGTAATGGTTGTACAATTCTGTGAATACATTAAGAACCATTTTACACATTAACATGGTTAAAATGATGAATTGTACGTTATGTAGATAAAATAATTTTTTAAATGGTCATAAACTACATAGAGGACAGGGTAGAGATGGGAACAGTTATACCAGGAATCAAAATTTGATACTAATTGCAACTGATTATTCTGATATCTGTTTTTTCCAAAATATTGGATGAACTGGAAAGGAGTTCTTTGATCAGCTAAAAAATATATTGCAGATATGGTTTTTTATGCACCAGTGATTCTCCAAGTGTGGACCTGAACAGCAGCATCAGCATCACCTGAAAACTTGTTAGAAATGCAAATTATCAGCCACACTCCAAACATATTAAAGCAGAAACTCTGGGGATGATGTCCAGTAACCTTGGTTTAACAAACTCCTCAGGTAATTTCGATTTACACTAATGTTGGAAAACCACTCTCATGCACCAAGCTTCTTGGTCAGCTGGATTTCTGGTCTTTACCAACTGGGTTCAAGGGAGTTTAATTCACTCCTAGGGCTCATTATATTCATTACAAGATGCCCACAAACACAATCATTTTTGTATGCCTACTGCCTGGCATAGCGCAGAACAAAGCACTCAAGAAATTCTTGAGAAGAGAATGCATTCTGAATATATGTGTGAGTATGAACATGCTGCCTCTTAACTTGTTCCTCTAAGACTTCAAAGTGAAGGCATAAGGGTCTTCTGAAATACAGTGAAAGTAAAGATGAAGTCTAACAGTCAATGAGAAGAATGCTGGCAGTACCTCTTTTGGAAAATAACCTGGAGTTTAAGAACTCACTATAACTAGTAGAACATTATTCTACTTCTATTTCACCATACCACATTCACAGGATAGGCCATGTATGTAACTGATTAGAAACATGCTAAAGCCACATGCAAACACACCATAGCTTCACTCCACATTTACAGATGTATATATGCACGATCCTCAGACACTGACACACAGTAGTCAGCATACACACAGCCAACACTCAGAGCTAGAACTAAGCCCACCCTCACTTTCTGTTGAGTCCCACCACTAGTTGCAAGAAAGAAGGATAAGCTGGTGGAGTGTATGCTAGGAGGAGTCCTTACCATCATTCTCCAGAGACCCAGGTGCACCGTTGTTAAAGATTTGATCTACATGATTCAATATGAACTCAATCACCACCTGCTGGACCCGGACTGCAAGGAAGGCTGCATCTCCATTGCAACCAGTGGCTTCAATTTCTTTAGACCTACCGTGTGGAAGAAACATATTCAGTTAGTGAGTTTGCCTTACAACCTGAAGCAGCAAGAGGAGCCAGTGGGCCTTTTGCACAAGGCTCATCTCCTAAATTGATACAGTTCATAGAATATTTTAATTATTTAGGGCCAATTAAAGGAACTCTCCAAAGGCTGTGAAGCCCAATAAACTGAACAAATTTGAAACAGTTACCAGGTACTCTACATTGCAATACTATAAACACTATCCTGTAAACATACAGAAATTGACTTTTGTTTCCTTTATAGTATGCCTTTCCACTCCCACCTAACTGTTCTATGGAGCAGGTCATTATTTATGAAATCATATGGAGCAGCTGATTCTGGTTGTAGCCAGCTGTGACTCCACCAAAACAAGGCAGTGAGCCCCCAAAACAATAAAGGCCTTTTCAAGAAATTTTAACATACAGACCCATAAGTTCAGCCATATTGTAGCTGTAGCCAAAAATGTCTTCAGAACTCAGAGTTTCCAAGTTAGCAGGCAGAGAGCTTAGGCTATTATCACCTAAATCACCTTTAATTCATATGTGCTATAAATGACCACTTAAGCCACAGATTTGTTTTAAAGGGGCTTCAATTTGAAGAATCCAATCTTCATTTCAATCGGGGGCTGCTCTGAGCCCCCTGGGCTGGTGACAAGGGGAGGGTAGAGTGGTTACCTGAGGAGGTTTGGCGCCCACACCAGGGCCAGGTTCCGGGCGTGCATGTTGGTCTTGCTGCTGAAGGAGGCGATATGGGCCAGGTGTCGAATCAGGTATTCCAAGGTCCTAGAATGGTTTGTTTTTTGACAAAGTAAGAAACTTCAGTGCCCGTGTGAAGCCTGACATATGGAGATAATTTCTAAGTTTGGATTTAAGAGACTCTAAATATTTCTATTTTAATGAATTGACATTGGAAAGATGTCAAGATTGACAGAAGTAATTTTCTTGGCCCTAGGCACATTGACTCAGGGTGGGGAAGGGGGTCCATTTTGTCAGATGTAAGCAGAGGACCCTGGAGCACCAGTCAGAGACAGAACTAGAGAATCACAGCACCTCAGAGCCTGAAGGCTTTTTTTTTTTTTTTTTTTTTTTGAGACGGAGTCTCGCTCTGTCGCCCAGGCTGGAGTGCAGTGGCGCGATCTCAGCTCACTGCAAGCTCCGCCTCCCGGGTTCACGCCATTCTCTGGCCTCATCCTCCCCACTAGCTGGAACTAAAGGCGCCCGCCACCACGCCCGGCTAATTTTTTGTATTTTTGGTAGAGACGGGGTTTCACCGTGTTAGCCATGATGGTCTCGATCTCCTGACCTCGTGCTCGCCCGCCTGGGCCTCCCAAAGTGCTGGGATTACAGGCATGAGCCACCACACAGGCCGCCTGGAGGCTCTTAGTGGCCATTTGTTCGTCCTTTCAACCAGGGCAGGATGGCCTCCAAGCAGTTTTGAAATAGGCTCTCATCTAGGCTCGTTTTAATAAAAATTCTCCCAGCTACAGGGATCTTGGTACTTGTTAGGGAGCTAATTTCATGGATAAACAACATTTATTATTGCTAGGAAGTTCCTTCTTATACCACATCAAAATCTGCCCCCTTGTAAAAGATGGGCAGGCATAGGGAACACTGGGAAAGGTGGCAACATTAGGGGCTAAACTGTGAGAATGAAATGAAAGGGTGGGGGATGATGGTAGGGATGGTACTAATGAGCAAATAGAACAATCAGCCAATGCTCAAGAGCCCACAGTCAACCCCTGTTGAAAAGCTATCTTGGTTGCCATAGATTTGGTTATGCTACAAATCTGGGTATGAACCAAGAATGCCACCAAGAGGCTAGTATGCATCACTGGAATGACTTCCTGAGAGATTCTGAGGGGTGTTCTGCAGGTGATTTGGAGACTGGCTTCTCCTTGCTGCCAATGTCCCTGGTCAGACACCAACTCACTTTGATAATAGTGACCTGTTCACCAACTTCAAAATGCCCTTGGGAAAGCCTAAACTTGCTACTGTCCACACATTGTTTCCTTTCCATGATGCCAGCCTGTCTCTTTGGTATTACACTGCATTGAGAGGCCACACGTTTCTTTTCCCAACCATTCTTACCTATAGTGGGATGGAGGAAGCTCCTGGATAACATTTTGGATTCGGGCCAGTTGGCCTTCTTCAGGGCAATGCGACACTGCCTCCTGTGGAGAAGAACACAAGGCAGCCTGGTGAGTGCTTGAGAGCAGGGACAGCCATCTGCATGTGCTGGGATCACTCAAGCCCTCATACTCCAGCCTCACAACCATGCCTAGAGATCATCCTTCCAAGAGGCATGCTTTACTATGAAAACAACTATCCCACTACAGTTTCTGTTGGTTCTGGATGTGTGTGCAGGGTCTCACCATGTGTGCACAGCAGGCGGTGGGCTGCCTGGGACTCTGGGCATCCTGAGATGGTTGCTAGGCGTCTGGTAAGAATGTGTAGAATCTCGGGTGTGTCTCGGGGGTAGAGAGATACAGAGACTCACACACAGAGAGGTAAAGAGATAGAGATAGGCCCAGCATGGTGGCGCATGCCTGTTATCCCAGCTACTCAGGAGGCTGAGGTGGGAGGATTGCTTGAGCACAAGAGTTTGGATCTAGTCTAGCGACATAGTGCAACCTGTCTCTAAAACATGAATGAATGAATGAATGAATGAATACATAAATAAATAACAAGCAAGTAAATAAATAAATGAGACAGATACAGAATGAGATGGAGATGACAGGGCATTACCAAGTCCACTCAGCCAGCTGTCTTTCTGGGTGCAAACAGCTACTGCCTACCTAGCCCGTGACTACCCCATGACCTCAAGGACTCAGCTGCTGCCTGTCCTAGAAGCCAGGAAGCAGGGAAGATGTGCTTTCCTTGGCAGGGATAAGAGCGTTGTCCCTGAAACCTGGTGGCCTTGCCCAGACTTGCTCTCCAGTTATTTGCTGTATGGGTATTTTGTTCCCCCATCAGCCCAAGTGCCTTCAAGGAGAGGCAGGAATAGCAATAAAGGCAGTGTGATTACAGGCTGGTCCACGTCCATCTCTCGAATGCTGGGGGTTGCTGCATGATGCAGGCATCCCTGGGCAGATTCCCCTGGTCCCAGACCTGCACCCATGTTCTGAGAATCTGTCCTGCTGTGCTCACGGCCCCTCCCACTGCAGTGTGAGTGCTCATGAACTGCCAGCATCTGAGCAGTGCCTGAACCTGAGGTCCATGGTAACCACAGCTATCTTTCCTTTTTCACTGAGATATAATTTACATATATTAAAAATGTGCAGATCTTAAGCTATAGCTCCATGAGTTTTTTTCATATGTATACACCTAGGTAACCCACCTAGATCAATACATACTTTAAAAAGGGCTCTAAGATCATGAATTCACAGGCACACATCACTTAGTCTTGTATTTCCTACCAGTGCTGGAAACTTGCTTTAGATTGATACATAATGAAAGGTACAATTATGGAATATCTTAATTAATTTGATAAATATTGCCCTTTGCCATACAACCCAAAATGAGATCCTAACCGTGGTGATGGTTTTCTTACGTTGCTCACCTCTGTTCAACCTTTAGCTGCCGTGTGCATGTTGCATGTAAATACTGAATTTCACACTGTCAGTAATGAGAATTTTTAGGCACAGAAAAGTGGAAGGGAATTAACTTTACCAGCATCTTCAGTTCCTAGGACACACTAGTTGAGTGTGATCTGTTTTAACCTAGAGGAGACCACTGAGGTCCTGCTCCAGCCTGGGCCTCCCAATCCCTCCCACTTTTTCCCCACAGGACTCACTGCCATTACACTACAAGAATGCACTTATTTATTGGAGTTATTGCTTATTGTCTGTCTCCCTTGCTAGAACATAAGCTCTGTGAGTGCTGGGACGTGATGAATCCCTGTGTCCAGAACAGTGCCTGGCACACAGTAGGTGTGAGACAGCAGGCCAGGGCTTTGCCCACTAAGTTTTTTCTTTTTCACCTTTTTTATTTAATTGAAGTAAAACAAATATATAGAAGACCACCATTTTTTAAGGCAATCCAACTTCTCTATGTGGGAATCTTGAGGTCTCGCATTTGAAGCAGAAGTGGGGAGAAACGTGGGACTGGGAGGATTATAGTCATAGGTGTCCCAGTCTTCTGGTGGGTTTGCCAGCCTGAGAACAGGCCAGCCTAAGCAAGATCACTGCTGCAATCCTCACTTTATGAGATATGCAGGGTGAAGGGTAGGGGCAAGAATGGGGCTTCCAGTAAGCCCCCTGACACCTCCCTTTTCTTCCCTGGGGTTGTCATTTGGAAAACATGATTGTGGAGAGGACCCTGGCTCTGCAAGGCGGTGAGAACCTCACAATGGGGAGCTGGGGAGCCGGGGAGCCAAGGGAGAGAAGCCCCGGGGGAGGGAAGGGCTGAGGGAATGCTCTGTGGACTCTCCCACATTCTGCTGTGCACACAGGGAGGGGTGGGGAGCTTCTCTTCATCTCTCTGCAAAGCCGGAATCATGCTTCACAAACGTTGTACCACTAACCCCACCCTCCTTTAAAAAATGTGTCTGGGGAATAAAGGTGTAGGTCAATTTAACAACCCTCATGGAAAGTTCCTTAATATTTTAGGAAGCTGTTAGTCATCTTTGTTCTCCAAGAGGCGGGGCAGGCTCATCCCTGGAGGCCTGCAGGTCCCATTTGGGACTGGTGTTTATTTCATTATTTGCAACCTCTCCCCATCCTACCCCAACCCTCTCCAGAAGCTTTCTAAATTCATGTTTTCCTTCTGGAGGGGCCCGGCCACTGCAAACTTATTTCGAGCTTCTCTATGTTGTCCCATTAGGACCACAGAACCCACAGCTGGGGCAACTGGGGGATGGGAGTGGAAATTTTACCTACCCCAGTTTTTTGCCTGTGAGAGAATTTCACTCAGCATTAGCCAGGCCAAGATGGCTAATGGTTAAATCTTAAAAGATCTAGGATGAATCTGTGACTATTTGTTCTTTTCAAATCAGTGTCAGTAAGGCCAGCTTCCTGCCCTTGGAGGACGCTGGCAGAGGCTGGGCTCTTGTCCTCTGTGGTAGGACCCTAACTCTGGGTTTCTGTTTACTCAAAGCCACCACAGTCCCTGAGCTCAAGTCCTGCTGCCCGGGCAGCCCTGTCACCAGGGTGGCCCAACGCAGACAGTCTGAGGCTCTCCCTTCCAACTGCACCCCAGCTGCAACTTTAACTTTTTATTCATTACTTTAAAATTATCAAACCATTTTTATTATTTTAAGGTATTTTAAGCTATTTACTAGACCTTTAAAAAGTAATTCATGCACATAATTAAAAAAAAAAAAAAGGAAAGCATCCAAAGGAATGTACAAGGAAAGTTAACCTTCCTTCCAACTACAGACTCCAGAGGAACCACTGTGTGTCCTTCAGGGCAGGCTTTATAGCTATGTCTTTGTTACACCTGTGGAAGCAAGCACTCCTAAGTGAGCTGGTCCCTCTGCAAATTCCCCTGCTCCGTCTCCCGTCATTTCCACCTGCCTTGCTCCATACAGGCCACACTGGCCTCCACATGTCCCCTAAGCAAGCTCAGCGTGTCCCCGCTGTCCCCAAAGCCTTTGTACCTGCTGTTTCTTCTTGGCACCCTGTTTTCCCGGATACTTGCAAAATTTGTTTCTTCACTTCATCTTTGACTCTGTTCAAATGTCACCTCCTAGAGACCTCTGATTATCCTATCTAAAACAGGAGTCCCCATCATTCTCTCCACTGTGCCCTGCATTATTTTTCTTCATAGTACTTATCAAGAGTTCTCATTATAGATCTATGTCTTACATTTGGGTATCATCTGTCCCTTCCATTAAAATGTAAATTTCACAAGCACAGAGATTTTCTCTGTTCCATTCACCATTAAATCTCCGCACCTAGAACTGTGCCTGCCAAATGTATGTAGTAGATGCCCAATAAACACTGTTGAATGGAAGGAGTAAGTGAATGAGTCAATATTTTGCTTTGTGCTTGAAAAAGCTAAACAGCCACATTTGGGCCACACTTCCAGAACACTGCTATCCTGGGATCATTACCCATAGTGATGAACACCAGCATTGCAGAGGCAGCTCCTTTTCACTCTGGGCTCCCAGTAGGATGACCAATATCCTGGTTTGCCCAAGACAGAGTTTTCCTGGAACATGAGATTTTCGGTGTTGAAACAGGGAGAGTCCCTGGAAACCAAGACAATTGGCTACTGCACCCCTTTGCAGCTGTCTTGAGCTCACAACCAGCCTGACTTTGCCTGTTGCAAGGTGTTAGTTGTCTGCCCTAAGTGACACTGCCTTTTTTTTTTTTTTGAGACGAGTCTCACTCTGTCACCCAGGCTGGAGTGTAGTGGCACAATCCTGGTAGTGTAGGGCACAGGGGAGAGAATGATGGGGACTCCTGTTGTAGATAGGATAATCAGAGGTTTCTAGGAGGTGACATTTGAACAGAGGCAAAGATGAAGTGAAGGAACAAATTGTGCAAGTATCCGGGAAAACAGGGTGCCAAGAAGAAACAGCAGGTACAAAGGCTTTGGGGACAGCGGGGACACACTGAACTTGCTTAGGGGACATGTGGAGGCCAGTGTGGCCTGTATGGAGCAAGGCAGGTGGAAATGATGGGAGACGGAGCAGGGGAATTTGCAACCTCCACCTTCCAGGTTCAAGCAATTCTCCTGCCTTAGCCTCACGAGTAGCTGGGATTACAGGCGCACACTACCATGCCCGAATAATTTTTGTATTTTTAGTAGAGACGGGGTTTCACCATGTTGGCCAGGCTGATCTCAAACTACTGACCTCAAGTGATCCGCCCACCTCAGCCTCCCGAAGTGCTGGGATTACAGGCGTAAGCCACCAAGCCTGGCCCTAAGGGACATTTCAAATGATAGTTGCTAGTCAACAAATCTGTCAGTAAATATTTCCTAAGTAACAATTACAACATTTTCCAGAAGCTAGCAAGCAGGGAAACACAACAATAAATAAAATAAACACAGTTCCTGTCCTCGGGAAGCTTACAATTTAACCAAGGGAGACTGACGCGTCAAGACATTATTTGGGGCAGGGCTTGATGCATACGCCTGTAGCTCTAGCTACTCCAGGGGCTGAAGCAGAAGGGTTGCTGGAGCCGTGGAGTTTGAAGTTACAGTGAGTTATGATTACACCACTGCACTCCAGACTTGAGGAACAGAGTAAGAGTGCATCTGTAAAAATAAATAAATTTCAAAAAATTTAAAAAGATACTATTTCAGTATAAACTAAATATACATTCTGACAGGTGACAAGTTTAATTAAAAAAAGAAAAAAGGCAAATACATAATTTAACACCTCTAAATGGCCTTCTCTAAAAATCTCAAGTCAGCAAAATTTTCCTGTTTTGGGTGTAATAGTTTTAGCTGGACCGATCTGAACAAAATTGAATTTTTCCTAAAATAAATGTTGTTGTTATTTTCTGATAAAAATGAAATACAGTAGGTTGAATAATTGCTCCCGACGATATCAAATCCTAATCACTGGAACCTGTGTTACCTTATTTGGAAACGAGTCTTTGCAGATGTGGTTAAATTAAGGATGTCGAGTGGGGACATTATCCTCGATTATCTGGGTGCGTCCTAAATGCAGTCATGGGTATCTATATAGGAGCAGGGCAAAGGGAGATCTGACACAGACAGAAGAAGAAAAGGCAATGTGGCCCTGGAGGCAGAGACAGGAGTGAGGCACCAACAATCCAAGGAACGTCAGCAGCCATCAGAAGCTGGGAGGAGCAAGGAACGGCTTTTCCTCTAGAGCCTCTGGAGAGAGCACGCCCTGCTGAAACCTTAACTTCAGCCCAGTGAAGCCGATTTCAGACTTCTGGCCTCCAGACCTGTGAGGCAATAGGTTTCTGTTGTTTAAGTCATCTAGTTTATGGCAATTAGTTACAGCAGCAACAGGAAACTAATACATGTACTCACAATTAAAGTAGGAAATCTGCAGAAAATAAAAAATCCCCTATTATCACATCACCCAGAAATAACCACTACTAACCTACTTATAGGTGAAGAAAAACAAAAAGCAAAACAAAAAAAAAAGCAGTTTGATCAGGGCCTCCAAGCACCAAACATGAACACTGGCTTTATTTCCTGTTTAGTTACAGATACTGCTTTTTTCCCCATTTAACTTTATATTATGGTGTGTTTGTCTGTTTTTGTGTCACTATAAATGAATACTGTATTAGCCCTTTTTCACATTGCCATAAGAACTACCTGAGACTGGGCAATTTCTGAAGAAAAGAGGTTTAATTGACTCACAGTTCCACAGGCTTAACAGAAAGCATGGCTAGGAGGCCTTGGGAAACATAATCATGGCAGAAGGTGAAGGGGAAGCAAGCTTGCCTTACCACAGCGGAGCAGGAGTGAGAGAGAGAGAGCTAAGGGGGAACCGCCACACACTTTTGAACCATCAGATCTTGTGAGAACTCATTCACTATCATGAGAACAGCATGAGGGAAAACTGCCCCCACGATCCAATCACTCCCACCAGGTCCCTCCCTCAACATGTGGAGATTACAATTCGAGATGAGGTTTGGGTGGGGACAGAGCCAAACCATACTGAATACCTAAGATTGGGTAATTTATATAGAAAAGAGGTTGAATTGGTTCATGGTTCTGCAGGCTGTCCAAGCATGGTTCCAGTATCCGCTTCTGGTGAGGGCCTCAGGAAGCTAACAGTCATGGTGGAAGGCGAAGGGAGAACAGGTGATGCTACGTGGTGAGAGAGTGAGCACGAGAGAGCAAAGTGGGAGGTCCCAAACTCTAAGCAGATCTCACATGAACTAAGCGAGAACTCATTCATCTCCAAGTGGATGATGCTAAGCCATTCATGCCACTCATGAGGGATCAACCCCCATGATCCAGTCACCTCCCACTAGGACCCTACCTCCAACATTAGAGATTACACTTTAACATGAGATTTAGAGGGGACAAGCCTCCAAACCATATCATATGGTCAGTAAACATTTTTCAAAACTGTGACTTTTCATGGCCACACAGTTTTAACAACAATAGATTTATCATTTATTTAAATCATCTCTCACTGTTAGACATGTACTCTCCAAAATGTTGATATTGTATATAATATTGCAATGGACATACTTGTACATCAATTATTTGTGTGCACATCTGATTGTCACCCTAGAATGGAGTCCTAGAAATAGAGTTACTGGATTAAAGAATATGAGCATTTGAGTATTCTTGATAGTAATTTCATATGACTTTCGGGGACGTCCAACCAATTTATACTTCCAACAGAAAACTATAAAAAAGCCAGTCTCAGCTGGGTGCGGTGGCTCACGCCTGTAATCCCAGCACTTTGGGAGGCCGAGGCAGGTGGATCACCTGAGGTCAGGAGTTTGAGACCAGCCTGGTCAACATGGTGAAACCCTGTCTCTACTAAAAATACAAAAATTAGCTGGGCATGGTGGCGGGTGCCTGTAATCCCAGCTACTCAGGAGGCTGAGGCAGGAGAATTGCTTGAACCCGGGTGGGGGAGGCTGCAGTGAGCCGTGATCGCACCACTGCTCTCCAGCCTGGGCGACAGAGCAAGACTCCATCTCAAAAAACAAACAAACAACCAAAAAAGCCAACAACAACAAAAAAAAAAGCCAGTCTCACCATGGGCTTGCCAGTGTGAAATGATAACATTAAAAATTATTTATTTAATGTGCAACTATATTATTCTAATATATTGATACTTTTTAAATAATTCAATTTCTTTTTTTAGGAATTATCTATCAAGGTCCTTCGCTTACTTGTTTATTGAGGTATTATATGTTTTACTTCTTTTTATTGATAGCTTCCTTATAATTAAAGAACATTAATCCCCTGTCATCTTTATTGTAAATAGTTCCTATATTTAGTCATTTGCCTTTTAATTGTGTTAATATATTTTTATAAAGAAAAATAGTTTATATGTAGTTCCATTTTTAAGTTTGTTTTTTGTGACTTTTTTCCTTTGCTTTTATGGTTAGGAAACCCTTCTCCACCCTGAAATCTGCTAAATGGTAAAGATGAAACTTGATTTCCTCATTTTGCAATAGATAGCGAATTTTCCTAGCACTGTTTATGGCATTGTTCCTTCATTACTTTATTTCATATTAAGTTATTTAATACCTGAGCCTTAATTAAGTGTTGTTAACTCTACTTTCAAGTAGTGTGGGAGTTATGAGACAGAACTACATCTTTACCTCCACCTACTAGCTGTACCACCCCAGGCAAGAGTCACCCTGAGCCTCATTTTAATGATCTGTATAACAGAGACAATAAAACCTACCTCATAGGGTTATTTTGAGAATTAAATGAAATAATATTTATAATGAGTTTATCATATAGTAAGCACTCAATTATTGACAGCTATTATCATTATTAGTATTATTAGTCCATTAATATTTTTTCTTATTCTCTCATCATTCCATTAAGATATTCTTCTATGGCTATTACTAAAAAGTCAAAAATAGGCCGGGTGCGGTGGTTCACGCCTGTAATCCCAGCACTTTGGGAGGCCAAGGTGGGTGGATCACCTGAGGTCAGAAGTTCAAGACCAGGCTGGCCAACATGGCGAAACCCCGTCTCTACTAAAAATACAAAAATTAGTGGGCGTGGTGGCGAGCGCCTGTAATCCCAGCTACTCAGGAGACTGAGGCAGGAGAATAGCTTGAACCCGGGAGGCAGAGGTTGAAGTGACCTGAGATCACACCACTGCACTCCAGCCTGGGTGACAAGAGTGAGACTCTGTCTCAAAAAAAAAAAAAAAAAAAAGTCAGAAATAACAGATGCTGGTGAGGTTGGGGAGAAATGAACACTTATACATACACTGTTGGGAGTGTAAATCAATTCAACCGTTGTGGAAAGCAGTGTGGTGATTCCTCAAAGAGCTAAAAACAGAACTATTATTCGACCCAGCAATCCCACTACTGGGTATATATCCAAAGGAACATAAATTGTTCTACCGTAAGACGCATGCACACGTATGTTCATTGCAGTGCTATTCGCAATAGCAAAGACACAGAATCAACCTAAATGCCCATCAATGGCAGATTGGATAAAGAAAATATGGTACATATACACCACGGAATACTATGCAGCCTTAAAAAAGAATAAGATCATGTCCTTTGCAGGAACATGGATGAAGCTGGGGGCCATTATCCTTAGCAAACTAATGCAGGAACAGAAAACCAAATAGTGCAGGTTCTCACTCATAAGTGGGAGCTAAATGATGAGAACACATGGACACAAAGGGAGGAACAACAGACACTGGGGACTACTTGATTGGGAGTAGGCTTAGTACCTGGGTGACAAAATAATCTGTACAACAAACCCCCGTGACACAAGTTTACCTATATAACAAACCTGAACATGTACCCTGAACCTAAAATAAAAGTTAATAAAAGGTATTATTCTACTTTAGCTGTGCAAGTAGGTTTGAGTAAACTATAGGGAGAATGTGTGACAATGTAACAGAGCTATTTCCATACCCGTGAAGGTTTACTTATATTATCTGTGATCAAAGAAATCTATTAAATGATACATTCTCCAACATAGTTAACTTCACTAGATCCTATGTATATAGAGTTAGTTGTCATAACAAAACATCCCTGTTTTTTAGTGTCAAATAAACTGTTTAAATACAATGTCAGATTTCCTTCAAATCTGAAGACAGGTTGACAAGCTGCCTTGGTATTTTTCAGTTGCTGTGAGAAAACACAATGATTAGCAATAACAGGGAACAGGAGAGGGGAGAGATAAATACAGGTTTCATTCTGAGCCTGTAGACAAGGGCTAAGGAGAAATTGTATTTCTAAAGTTTCCAGACAAAGAATTCCTATCTACCCCCAACTATAATAGAATGAGATATTAGTTAAAAGAAATAAGACTGATTCAGTTCATTAACATAATGATATTCCATTCTATCATATTCAAAGATGATAATATGGTACTGATAAGAGGATTACAACTATATTGAAAACAATAAAGTCTTACACACAAATTAAAGCAACAATAAGGTATTATTTTTTGTTGATTCAGGTCAACAAATAATTTAACCAATTGGAAATACCCAGGGTTGGAAAGTCTGCAGGGAAAAGAGCATTCCTTGTCTTTCTGGAGGACAGACTGGTAATTTGTGACAAAATTTTAAACAAGAACTTTCTACTCAGCAAATCTACTTCCATGATTTTTCTCTAAGGATATAAACAAACAAAAAATAGTGTAAAAATATAGGTGAAAAAATGTGTATTATAATGTTTATAAAAGGAACGTCTTGAGAAATGAAAAAGCTAAATATCCATCAGTGGGAGCTTGGTTTCAGAAATCATGGCACATAGAGAGAATGCTGTAAACACAGTGTCTTCCCGTATTTCTTAACACACAAAGATGATCACACTGTTGAATTAAAAGCATCCCCCAAACAGCAATATGTAGTACTGACAAGTGAGTGTGTGTGAGTGTGTGTGTGTTGAGATCTGTTAACATCTATTACTACAGATATAGTTAATATCTGTTCGATCTGTTAACAGCAAATATGCCTGGAGTGTGGAATTTCAGGTGATTTGAGATTTATACTTTCTCCTTTATACATTTCTGTATTACTTTAATTTTTGCAATAAAATTTTATTTTGATTTTGGAAAACAAAACACAAACCACAACAAAAACACTATGGAAAGAATACCCACAACATGTTAACTGTAGTTGTCTTTGGTCTTTAAGGAGACAGATCAATGGTTCCTTTCTACTTTCCTTCATTTTTCATAATGTCTTTTATTAAATAGGATTACTCTTAACCAAATACTTACATATGGTGAAAGTGATTATAATCTGACAGACCCACATGAAGCTCACACCTTTCTTCTTGGTTCCTAGGAAAGACACTTCTGTGGTTCCATGGGTAGGGGATACCATTATTTACAACTTACCCATGCAGATAGGAGGCTTCTTTACCTTCTGCCTTAGATCTAAAGGAGAAGGGCCCCATAACCAATGACAACTCTATGCCAGCTGGTACATGTTGACTTCTCTAGAGGTCAACATTTATGCCCATTTTTTAATGTGCTTTGGACTATTTTTTTCTTTCTTTTCTTTTTTTTTTAAATCTTCATTTCTCCCCCTATTTCTTGATTTTGTTTTTCCTTTTTTAAATTCTTTAAGTATATATAACCAGAAGATGGTTTTGTTGTTGTTGTTGTTGCTTGCTAAAAGCTAATATATTTTTAGTGGGCAAACTTATGAAAGTTAAAGAAACAAGAAAAACTGTCTGAAATCCCATCACTGAAATGAACAGTTGTTAGTCTTTTAGTCTTTTGAACATCTTTCCTTTTATTCCTTTCTTAATATACAGTTGTGCATTTAGTTTTTCTTCAATTAGCATTTGAGTATTTCCCTGTACCACTGAAAACTCCTAAACATATTTTTACAGCCCAAGCCCATTTTTAAGAAATAGCATTCATTTATTCCTGTATCATTTCAAATTGAAGAACCTTTCATATACTCAAAACAAATTTATTACAGGAGCCATGAGAAAGGTTCCCTCCCACTGTTAGTGACTAGATCTGGTCCTTACCCAAAACTGTAACCTCGCCATAGTCTCACTTTCAAACATCCCTCTCTAACTACCATACAGTCCACTGACTTCACTGGGATGATCTACTTTTACACTGTTACTCAACTACCTTGTGCCCTCACTTCTTTTCGTATCTACACTACATTCCATGGTAAATTGTTTCAATGCCCCCAGCACACGCTCTCATCTCCCTCATCCCTCTTTGCCAACTGAACCCCAACCTTGGTTAAACCCAGCCCTCTGCCTACTCTACACCTTCTCCCATGCAGCCAAATGTTCAAGCCATGTTTTTCACGCTATCTCTACAGTCACCCTTTAAGCATTTATTCTTCTTTCTACTTTCCTATGGGTGTGCCCTATTTGGTGACCATACAGCTGCTACTTAGGTGTTTTGCTAATGCCCATCCATCCTCTCCACCAGTCCAACTCACTGCCTATCCTGCTCTCCCTCTTGGCTGTTTTTCTCATATTCTTTTCTCTTCCCAGCTTTCTGACACCTCTTGACATTTGTTTGTTCCCTCTCCCCTCTCTACCCACCCACCTCTTTACCCAACCTACAAAAGAAACACAGAGGGAATGGTCTGATAAAAAGGCTAGCAGTGGGTGTAGCATGAGGAGTCTCAGGTTCCTGTCCTGCCTCTGCTGTGTGACCTTGGGCCAGACACTTTACTTCTGGGGTTCTCAGTTTCCTCCCTATACAATAAGGCACATTCAGTTGAATAAACATGGAGATAATTCAACCCAGCTCTTAAAACAAACAACATGATTCTGAAAATTCAAGAAAGAAAAATTTAGCAAACAATTCCACCACCCTATTTTCCTTACCATATTATCCTACTTCCCTCACCACGCTAAGATAATGTCAACCATCTGGTGAGTGTTATTATTGTTATTTTAGTGCTGAAACTCTTCTTGGCCCATCCATGCATCCCACCCAGTAACCATAATGGAAATCCAAACACTCACCGTGAATTTCTCATAGAGCTCATAAGTCAGGAGGGGGTTGGGCAGCTCCCTAAAGTAGAGCTTGCAAAGCGAGCCCACACAGTGGATGTCCTGGAGGTACACTTCCCTTGTCAGATCTGGACATTGATCTGAGCCAAACTCTTGCCTGAAACAACACAGACGGAGACATAACAATCCCAGGGAGTGTGTGTTCCATGTCAGCAGCTGCTTGGCTGCTTAGGGGTAAAAAGACCCTAAACTGCTGATTCTGACTATATTTTTGACCTTAATTCAAAAAGATCTTCTACTCCAGGCCCTAGGAAGTCACAGGAAGACTTCCACTTCAGGTCTGGATCTTCTTGCAAAATCTGCTGTGATTAGAAGGACATAATGCTCATTTACAAATGGATTACCCGTGGCATCAGGTCTGCAGTCTTGGTTATGAACATTGGGGAAATATCAACATAATTTGCCAAAAAGTCCTATTGAGATTTCAGTTTTTCCAAAATATTGTTCAAAATGAATTTCCCTTTCTTACAGGAGAGACCGAAACTAGGGTAGGTCAGGTTGTTGTCGCTCATCTCCATATATCTGTGTCAACAAACTTGTTTTATCTGAAGACTCAAACCCAAAGCTTGAGAACTTTAATTGACTATCTTTTTTTTTTTTTTTCTTTTTTTTGAGATGGAGTCTCGCTCTGTCACCCAGGCTGGAGTGTAGCAGCACAATCTTGGCTCACTGCAACCTCCGCCTCCCGGGTTCAAGTGATTCTCCTGCCTCAGCCTCTGAGTAGCTGGGACTACAGGCGCCCGCCACCATACCCGGCTAATTTTTTGTATTTTTAGTGCAGATGGGGTTTCACCACGTTAGCCAGGATGGTCTCGATCTCCTGACCTCGTGATCTGACCACCTCGGCCTCCCAAAGTGCTGAGATTACAGGCGTGAGCCACCATGCCCAGCCTAATCGACTATCTTTTTGGTGCTCAACAGAACCTTCTAGGCTGCCTGATGGTGACTCCTACAGGACAGATGAATTCATAAATATCTTCTTAAACAATCTATAGTGGGATGTCTTGGACATCATCCAATTCCAGGCCTGAAAAACATTTAGAAAACATTTCCTAAAAAGGTTACATGAATATACTGCCTCAAATAGTATGTATTAATACTTATAAATTAAAATCTGCTTAAAAATGATAAATTGGAGCTTTAATATAGAAGAGAAGTTAAGCTTTTTGAGAGTATTCACTTAGTCATCCAACTGGTGACAAAGTCAACAGTACTCTCAGAACCAGCATTTTTGAAACAGCTCGCTGCCCATTCTCCTGTTTTCTGGGCCTACCCCCTTAATGAAGGGTAGGGAAATCCCTGATACTTTCAGAACCTGAAAGAAACTGAGTGGGGCTTTGAAAAGAGATCTATGCCATGCTATTTTTTTTTTTTTTTAGATGGAGTTTCACTGTTGTTGCCCAGGCTGGCACAATCTCGGCTCACTGCAACCTCTGCCTCCCAGGTTCAGGCAATTCTTCTGCCTCAGCCTCCCGAGTAGTTGGGATTACAGGCACCCATCACCACACCCGGCTAATTTTTGTATTTTTAGTAGAGACGGAGTTTCATCATGTTGGCCAGGCTTGTCTCGAACTCCTGACCTCAGGTGATCCACCCGTCTCGGCCTCCCAGAGTGCTGGGATTACAGGTGTGAGCCACTGTGCCCGGCCCATGCTATGTTTTAAAAGAGAACTATGCCATGCTATGTTCTCTTGGCATAGTTCTCTTTTAAAAAGAGAATGTTTTTAAGAGAGCAGAACAAGAGCAATCTAGAGCTTATTCATTTATTTAGCCAAAGATTTCTCTTGTCAAGGATAAGGTCAGTGCTGAAATAAAAAATAATTCATTACTACTGAAGTGTCCTTCCGGGATGCTACCTACTGTGTGGTAGGTACTGTGTGGTATATTTCCAACCACTAAGAAGTATTTGCCATTGAAACTCTAATAAATGGAGTACTAGTAAATTAGTGAAATTATGTAAACACATAGATTCATTAAAATCTATGGCTGCAATAAACCAATTATTTTTTTTAACAGCTATGACTTCTCTAGGAAAAAAAAAAGATGCTCTATTTTTTTGGTATAATTTAATTACAATCCAAATCTGGAGGAAAAGGGCAGAAACCAAACAGGAGAAAGAATATGAAAACTGAATTACCTGCACAACTTATTAAATTTTACATATTAGCCTTGTAATAAGAATTTTTTTTGTTTTAAAAGCCTACATTTATAACTAAAGAACATATAATAAATATAGGTAATAATAAAATGTTATAATTAAAATAACATTAAATTATGTTCCTTTTGGTGTTAAGGAACAATATGCAAAATATGTAAATCTATTGTTTAAGTTATGTAAAATTATACATATATACTCTGTTTTCTATATACTCTCTGTATATATATAAAACACACACGTACCTGTGTTTTGTATAAAATGTTTTGCCCTCTTTATTTAATGTGATAGAAATTTCTTCCAAATATTTAGGATAAATACATAGAATTGGAAATAGTTCACCCATCAGTAATTTATTTTTTATTTTTATTATTTTTTATTTTTTTCACCCATCAGTAATTTTTAAAATCCTAGCATCAATTAGAGACATGCACAATCATATAGGCTTCTGATTTCTCAACCAGACAAAACATCAAATTTGAGGGTGTGCCAGCAGAAAAACTGACATGGATCTCTGAACACTAAGTAACAGGAACCTAGTCTAACTGAGCTTTGGGCAGGCCAGCAAATGATAATAAATCACGTTTTCCTTAACTTGTAATTTAAATCATTTGAGTTAAATCAAATTCACCAAAGAAGAATATATCTAGTGCAAGACAAAGAAACAGAATGAAAGCCTTAGGAGCTTTTGTTGGAAAGAATTACATCAGGCTGGAGGGTTTCCTGATTAGATTAAGAACAGTCAGGCATCTGAAAACCACTGCATCTGATCTTCGGTGCTGCCACACTTCCCTCAGTTCCTTTGGGTTTTTAATACTCTGGACACCGATGGACAGAGGCATGGACACAGGAGGAATCATGGGAGAATTCTTTTAGGGCTATTCTTTTAGCTTACCTTAGCCGTTGTATGTTTGAGGTGACTCCTGAAAGCCGATAGATTCCATCCACGATGCCGTGAGTCTCTATAAATTCTGCACAGCTCTTCAAAACGTATGGAACTATGTAAAAGAAAAGAAAAAAACAATTAAGTATTAGATGTAAGTCTGCCTGTCTTTTAAAGATATCCTTTTAAAAATCCAGGTACCTTCAAAGAGATGTAAGTATGGAACTCATATGACTTACAAGTGGAAACAATTTCTTGTAAGTGGTAGGTGATGTTCCTTTCATATTAAAAAAAAATCATAGGGCTTTGCTAAAGAATTGTTTTTTTGTTTTGTTTTGCTTTTGAGACTTGCTCTGTTGCCCAGGCTGGAGTGCAGTGGCGCAATCTTGGCTCACTTCAACCTCCACCTCCTGGGTTCAAGCAATTCTCTTGCCTCAGACTCCCGAGTAGCTGGGATTACAGGCACCCGCCACCACGCCAAGCTAATTTTTGTGTTTTTATTAGAGAACTGGGTTTCGCCATGTTGACCAGGCTGGTCTCCAACACTTGACTTCAGGTGATCCACCCGCCTTGGCCTCCCAAAGAACTGGGATTATAGGTGTGAGCCACTACACCTGGCCAAGAATTGTTTTTTTTAAAGAATTTAAAAAAATATTCAAAAACTTAGATTTTGAGACCAGTGGTGAGCTTGGACATTCCACAACTCGGTCTCTTCATTTCATTGTTCTCCAAGTATGGTCTTCTGACCAGCAGCATCAGCATCTCCTGGGAAGTTGGAAATGCAAATCTTCAGGCCCCACTCCCAACCTATTAACTCAGAAATTTTGGGGTGGGGCCCAGCAATCTGTGCCTTTTAACAACCCTCTGGGTGACTCTGATGCATGCAAAAATTAGAGAGCCACTGCTTTATTCTAAACATGAGGACATCAAGGCACAGGCAAATTTACTTAAGTCACTCATGATTACTTGTTGCTTGTAAAAAATAATTAATACATTGGAAGATGCTTACAATTCCATTTTTTTAGAAGAAAAAATCTTCAACAAATTGAATATACATTGTAAATTCAGTTTAGATTTAAAAAAATTCGAAGGAAAAAAGACTGGAAGAAAATCTGCCAGAATGTCGAAGGTGATTTAAAGGTTAAAGTGATAAAGTGTTTTTTTTTTAAAGGTAAGAACGGCCCCCCCACCTCCATCCCCCCACCCCCAACCATGGATTGAAACCAGTCATTGATTTAATGGACAACATAAAAGGGACCGACAGGGCCTCCTGAGTTCCTGCCTCTCCAGAGGTTCAGTGCCCTGGTAGAAGGGTCTGGCTGTGCTGTTCTCTCCGGGCGGCTGACTTTGAGAGAACCAGCCAGCTCAGTGACCAACAGGGGCAGATACAGGCCTTCTGGATGGTACAGAGAGAGCAGCAGATCACTTGCCACTTTGGTCCCTGGACAGATGCACTTGAGTTCCCCTCTGTGAGAGGGTTGTGAATGGTGGTTTGGGATAGAACAACCTAACCCATCAAACAACCCACTGAAGGCTCTGAGGTCTTCAGTGGCTTCTCGAGGCTGCCACAGTGATGTGGGACCTCCGTGAATTAACACTTGGGCTATTATTGTGCTCACACTTCCAACACATACTCAATCCATTAATGCTGTAGATTACATCAATGCTAATTCATTAATGCTTATTACATATACTCATGCCTACACACAATTCTAAGCTGGACTGGATCTTTATGTGGGTAGACGCAAGGCATTCAGACTCAACATTCTACCTGAATTCCCTATTATGACGTGCTCTAAGCATTCCTTTCCCTTGTGGCCTTCAAGTAACTGTAATTTTAAGTGCTCAATAAAGTTCACCATACTTATTCTGCTGCCTCTCAAAGGCTGTGCATTCCCAGAGCATTCCCCTCCAGCATACATCCATGGTTTGCCCCTCAGGGAATGGACTTGGAATTGGAAACATTGAGGCCAGAGACCATAGAGGTGGAACCACTTCCTAGGAGTGAGCACAGCGTGGGAGTAGGGTGTGATGGGGGGTGCTGTGGGTGTGGGCAGGGGTCCAGAGCCTCTGCCTGTCTTCAACCAGAAGAGCTATGATTTGATCTGTTTTATAAAATAGGGTTCTTGGTGAGATTTTGTTTCCCATGCTCATGCAAATAGATAGATAAATGAAAACAGTTCCAATGATACTTAAAGTCTCCCTCTCTATCTCTCTCTCTCTCAAAATCCCTGTTGTGAACAATGACGGTTGACTCTTTCCCCACCACACCTCACTGTTCGGTAACCTGCCACCACACAGTCTATGGTTGAGAGTGCAGATTCGGATACCAAACTGCTTTTGTAACCTTGGGCAAAATATACAAGGGTTCTGTTTCTTAGTTTCCGTGTGTGTAAAAGGACAATAGTGATACTAATCTTGTAGCTAGGACTGAAATAATACTTACAAATATTTGGCACAGACCCTGGCATATAAGAAGCATTCCACAATGACCAATATTATTTCTACTTGTAACTTATCTATAATATAAATGTATAATCTGATTTTCTTGGTGAAAACACAGCTTGCCTCTTCCCATCCAATGGGCACTTGAGGTAGATGACCAACCTCGTACAGGTCAAAACTCATCTCTACTCCACCCCCCGCCTTTTTTTTTTTTTTTTAGACAGAGTTTCGCTCTTGTCACTCGGGTTGGAGTGCAGTGGTGTGATCTTGGCTCACTGCAACCTTGGCCTCCCAGTTTCAAGTGATTCTCCTGCCTCAGCCTCCCGAGTAGAAGGGATTACAGGTGCCTGCCACCATGCCCAGCTAATTTTTGTATTTTTCATAGAGGTAAGGTTTCACTATGTTCGCCAGGCTAGTCTTGAACTCCTGATCTCCGGTGATCCACCTGCCTCAGCCTCCCAAAGTGCTAGGATTACAGGCGTGAGCCACCTCGCCCAGCCTCATCTCTACTTCTTAGAATGGCTGTTGTGTCTTTCTTTAGCACATTTTTTGATTTGAGAGTAATTTTGCTTCCATGGGATGTCTTTTCTGTGCATGTAGGAATATCTTTGCAGCACAAAGGCAGTAGGATCTAACAGTGTCTGGGTTGTGAGTTAGCAGTCTGGGAGCTGTGCTTGGCCCTCAGGGTGTTCTGCATTTCAAGTCTGTACCACAGTGCATGGCTGCTGTGCTGTGCAGGGCACAAGTGGACTTAAGAACTCGGAACACTCACAAGGAGGACTCAAGCACAAAAGCCTTGGACTCTAAGGACCTTGATAAAGAACACTCCACAAAAGGGGCAGTACAGGGTAACCAACCTGTTCCAGCCCGTTCTCAGATAGGGACCTCCCAGTACCATAGCTCTCAGCTGCAGCACTTCAGGCTCCATTTGTCTCAAAGGTGGGAAAACACATTCTGAGACAGAGCCTCTGCCATAAATTTATTCTGGCTTTGGTACAAAGGCCTTAGAACCTATTGTCCATGGCTTTGTTTAAGTGGGAGGCAATGTTAAAACAACCCAAGGAAAGAGGTCATGGTCCCAATCACTGTGAAGTGTTAGCTTTCCTGGATTTCTCATCTTGGGCTGAGTTGGAAGATGTAGGAATTCTCCATCGTTGTTACTCAGTAATGGGAAAGGACTCAATCTCTGTGTAATCATCCAGCTCTAGACATTAGAGCAGCGGTTCTCAGACTGTGGTCCCTGGATCAAGTCCTGCAGCCCGGCATCCTCCGGATGATTCTGATGTACTCGAAAGTTGAAGGACCGCTGGGCACAGTGGCTCACGCCTGTAATCCCAGCACTTTGGGAGGCCAAGGTGGGTGGATCACTTGAGGTCAGGAGTTTGAGACCAGCCTGACCAACACTGTGAAATCCCATCTCTACTAAAAATGCAAAAATTTGCCAGGTGTGGTGGCGGGTGCCTGTACTCCCAGCTACTTGGGAGCCTGAGGCAGGAGAATCACTTGAACCTGGGAGGCAGAGGTTGCAGTGAGCCAAGATTGCACCACTGAACTCCAGACTGGGCGACAAAGCTAGACTCTGACTCTGTCTTAAAAAAAAAAAAAAAAAAAGGAATGTTGAAGAACCACTAGTCTAGACCAGGGCTTCTCACATACCTTAATGTGCATAAAATCACCTGGGGATTTCACTGATATGCATATTGCAATTCAGTAGGGAGGCAGGTGGTAGGAGTGTTGAGAATTTGCCTTTCTAACAAATTCCAGGTCATGCAGGTACTGCTAATCTGCAGCTCACACTCAGAATAGCAAGGGTCTGAAAATAGCCCTGGAGGGTAGTGTTGCAGTGGCTATTGTTAAGTCTCAAAGTCTCAGAATTCTTTAAACTATTGTCCCAGGGGTCCTATCAGATTGGGGACACCCTAGGATTCTGGACAGGGTAGAAGCTTGATCAAAATAGCTGAGTAGTTATAGACAGAAAGAAAGCTTCTATTGTCGATTTAGGCATGGGAAGGACTGACGCTGGAGGTCAGAGTCACAGAGCTCATTCTGTGGGATTCATCCTGGGCCCATAGAACTCTGAGTCTCCTCCTACAGAGGTACACATAGTTGCTGCTGATGACATAATATCATAGCTTCTTAGAATCATTTCACTTATGGCCCTCTAACTCCCTTGTTTTGTTTTGTTTTTCCTAGATCAGTTATCTTAAATGTTAAATTTTAATCTGAGCACAAAATACAACTTGAAGAGGTTTCTGAGGGAAAAGAAAATCTTGCCTTTGATTTATGCTTTACAGTTCATAAAATATTATACAGTCCTTTGTTTTATTTATTTCCTACTAACAGATATTTTACACTTATAAATAACATGGCATGTTTTCCTCATGTCCTAACCTCTTGAAGGGTTTAATGCAGAAAAGGCCAGAAGTCAAACATTTCTCGAAGTCACCCCCAGAAGTCATAACACTGCTAAGCTGCCTCAGTTCCCTGTGTGCCTGGGACCTGATCAGACCTGGAGACAGAGATTGAAAGAAGCACAGTTGTATTTGGTCATTTACGTGGTTGTGGTGGCCACATTCTTTCATAGTGCAAATGGCATTTGTGTTTTAGGGAAACAGGCACTCCCCCATCTCCATTCTGGATTTTGTTAAGGTCTTGACTTGGTCAGATTTCGTCCCCTCTCTGGATCCTGCATTCCTGACCTTCAAAGTAAAGTCTAGTGGTGTGTACACACAATATAATATACTCGGCAACAACAAGGAGTGATAAAGCCTGTGAGTGCAGCTCAAAGACACTCGGCTGGGTGATAGAAGCCAGACTATGAAAGACTACATAGGGTAGGATTCCATTTATGTAAAACTGTAGAAAATGCAAACTAACTTGTAGGAAGAGAAAGCAGGGAAGAGGCAGGAGGGAGGAATGACAAAGGAGCCGGAGGAAACATTTGGGCGTGATGGATATGTTCATCATCTTGTTTGAGGTAATAAAAAGGACCAAGAGCTGCCGGTGGGCAAAGAATAATGATACTTGAGGGAAGAGGGTAAGATAATGAGGGAGACAAGACACTGCACAGGAAGAAATCCTGTAAGCATCTGTTGCGATGCACACGGGAGAGAGGGGGGATTTTTAAACAATTTTGCTGTGCTGTGAATGGGCCCCCTCTTCAGCATTTTCCCAAGAGACGCAGTAAAGATTTACATTACTTCCTCATTTCTCTGGGTTGTGAGTACAGAACTTCCTAGGCGTTTCCCCCCCAGAATCCAAGAGCTCTCTCTGCCAGCCTCTGTTCTTTGTTCCTGTCCCATCCTTTCCCCATCCCTGTTCCACTCCTCTGTCCCATGCTCCTCCCTGGCCTCTGCGAGGCTCTCCCTGCCTGGAGGTCACTGCCCACCCCAATTTTCCCTCTGAGTCTCCTTCCTCCTCCCTGTTTTAACTTCTTTCTACTCTTTTCTTCCTGGCTTCATGTGGAATTAAATAAATGTTGAAAAGTTGTGGTATTTATTTAACAAAGTATAATGTGTTCTGTTCTTTAAAAAAAAAAACAAATGAACCACTTTCTAATTTTCTAAGAAAAAAAATTTAAAAATATGTTGAGGCTTTGGCTTGTCCTCCTTGGAGAAAAGTTTCCTTTTAAGCATTTTATTTTTTCTTTTTAAACCTGAGATATAGGCCAGTCACAGTGGCTCAGGCTGCCTATAATCCCAGCACTTTGGGAGGCCAAGGCAGGTGGATCACCTGAGGTCAGGAGTTCAAGACCAGCCTACCCAATACAGTGAAACCTCGTCTCTACTAAAACTACAAAAACTAGCCGGGCATGGTGGTGCACGCCTATAATCCCAGCTACTCAGGAGGCTGAGGCAGGAGAATCGCTTGAACCTGGGAATCAGAGGTTGCAGTGAGCTGAGATCAAACCATTGCACTCTAGCCTGGGTGACAGAGTGAGTGAGACTCTGTCTCAAAAAAAAAAAAAAGTTAAAAACAAAAAAACTGAAATATAATTAAAATACCATATAATTCACCCTTTAAAGTGTACGACTAAGTGATTTTTAGTGTATTCACAAGTTAAGCAATCATCACATTAATTCCAGAACATTTTCATCTCTCAAGAAAGGAACCCATATCCATTAGTAGTTACTGCCCATTTCCCCTTCTCCCAGCTCCAACAGCCACTAATCAACGTTCTATTTTCTATGGGTTTGCCCGTTTTGGACATTTCCTATAAATGAGATCTTAAAATATGTGGCCTTTGTGACGGACTTCTTTTATTTAGCATAGTGTTTTCAAGGTCCGTCCATGTTGTAGCATGTGTCAGTATTTCATTCATTTTTATGGCTGAATAAAATTCCAAATAAAGCCTTCATTTTGTTTATTCATTCACCAGTTGATAGAAATTTGAGTTATTTCCACTTTTTGCTATTAGGAATATTGTTGCTATGAACCTTTACGTACAAGTTTTTGTATGGATATATGTTTTCAATTCTCTTGGATATATATCCAAGGGGTGAAATGGCTAGGTCGTATGGTGACTCTACATTTAACTTTTGAGGCACTGCCAAACTGTTTTCCACAATAGTTGTGCCATTTTACATTCCCACCAGCAATGGATGAGGGTTCCAATTTTCCATATCCTTGTCAAGACTTGTTGTCTATCTTTTTTATTGTCATCCTAGTAGTTGTGAAGTGGTATCATTGCAGTTTGGTTTGCATTTCCCTGATAACAATGTAGAACATCTTTTCTTGTGCTTACTGGCCGTTTGTATATCTCTTTTGAAGAAATGTCTATTTGGATAATTTGTCCATTTTTAGTTGGGTGGTCTTTGCTGGGTTATGATTTCTTTATATATTCTGAATACTAGACTCTTATTAGACCTATGATTGGCAAATATTTTCTCCTATGCTGTGGGTGGTCTTTTCACTTTCTTGATGGTGTTCTTTGAAGCACAGAAGTTTTACATTTCAGTGAAGTCCAATTTATCTATGTTTTTCTTTTGTTGCTTGTGCTTTTTGTATCAGGAGAAAAGCTTCTTATTTCTGATTTATATTGTCCACATCCTTCATCATTGGTTATTGGAATAATGGTTCATCATTATGCACATGCATAAAGAGTGATGTTATAAGTAATGCAACTGTTTCTTATTGTTATAGATGAGAACATATAAATCCAAAGCAGCACTATCCTTTGAGAAACTAGACCATTATCTGGCTCAGAACATTTTTGAAACCACCCTTTGGGAACGGTTAGTTAGAAACTATATACATTTAACTCAAGTATAACCTCCTTCCAGGAGAAAAAGAGGAAAAAAAGAGTGAGAAGTGTTTATACTGTACTTCTCATTTTCCCTACAGGATTCAAAGCGATTGTTTTATTATTATTTCACTTTCGAATTTGTTTTGGGTAGAATGGGCTTTAGTTCTGTTTTCTCTTTAGTTCCTACAGACAGGGAATATATTTTATCTTTTAAAAACTGAGATTTGATTTAGAGGGAGGCCTAGGAGGTTTTCCACAATCTGGCCACACTCCCCCCTGCCAGTCTCATCACCGATTGCTGAGCTTTCCCTCCCTCTCAGCCCCACACAGGAATGCGGTGTTCCAGCCACGCTGGACAGCCTGCCACTTCCTGAATATGCTCTGCACCTTCACACCTTCCTGGCTTTGCACCCGATACTCCCTCGTCTGAGCCCATTGCCTCTTCTCCACTGAGAAACTCCTCCTGCTTATCTTTTGGGATTCAGCTCAAGCCTCAACTTCTCTATAAAGCCTTCCTCAGGCAGAACTAGGTTCTCCTTCCTCCGTGTTCTTATCTCTCCTGTGCCTCCTCCCTTTGTGGCACTTTCTAGAATTATCTAAATTCAATTCCACTGCAAATTAAAACTGCACTGATATATCATTTTTCACTTCTCAGATTGGCAAAGGTACCTAAGTTTGTTAACACACAGTGTTGGCAAGGCTATGGGAAAACAAGTACTCTCATGCACTGCAACTGGCAGGGGAGATTGATACAACCTCTGGAGGGCAATTTGACAATATCTGTTAAAATTATAAGTGCACATAGCTTTTGACCCAGTCATTCTTCTTCTAGAAATTTATCCCACAGATATTCTTGTACATGTGACATGTAAGGTATGTGCAAGGCTATTCATTACAACAGTTTTCATAATTGCACAAGATTGTCATCAACAGCAGGTTGCTAACATAAATAATGGAAGATTCACATAGTGGAATACTATGTGGTCACTAAAAAGAATGAGAAAACTTTTATGTACAGACATAGAGTGGTCTCAGATATATTGTTAGGCAGACCAGAATAATGGTATGCTAGCATCTGGTTGTTTTTTCTTTTTTTTTCTTTTTTTTTTTGAGACAGAGTCTTACTCTGTCACCCAGGCTGGGGTGCAGTAGCACAATCTCAGCTCACTGCAACCTCTGCCTCCTGGGTTCAAGTGATTCTCCTGCCTTAGCCTCCTGAGTAGCTGGGATTACAGGTGTGTGCCACCACACCTGGCTAATTTTTGTATTTTTAGTGGAGACTGGGTTTCACTATGTTGGCCAGGCTGGTCTTGAACTCCCGACCTCAGGTGATCTACCTGCCTCGGCCTCCCAAAGTGCTGGGATTATAGGTGTGAGCCACCGTGCCCAGCCATGGTTTTTTTTGTTGTTGTTGTTAAGAGAGAATGAAAGATTAAATATGCACATCTATTTATATATGCATTCAATATCTATGGAAGAATACATAAGAAAGCAATAATTTTAGTTGTCTACAGGAAAGAAACTGGAAGCTGGGGCTAGCCCTTTGAGTAAGAGAGAGACTTCTCACTGTATATTCTTTTGTACTTTTGAATTTTGAACTATAGGAATATATTACCTTTTCTGAAGAAAATTGTCGAATAAATTTAATCCTGCAGATATTTACTGCAAGCCTACTCTGTGTCTAGCACCAAGTGTGAGGTGTTGCTTGTTTCTGATTCATCTCCATTACTAAGTTGTGAGCTCCTTGGGGACAATGAGGACAGTCCCGTGTCTTATTCATCTAGAATAGCCTTGAAAACAGAAGTACTCTCTATTCACAATAGCAAAGACTTGGAACCAATCCAAATGTCCATCAGTGATAGACTGGATTAAGAAAATGTGGCACATATACACCATGGAATACTATGCAGCCATAAAAAAGGATGAGTTCATGTCCTTTGTAGGGACATGGATGAAGCTGGAAACCATCATTCTGAGCAAACTATCGCAAAGACAGAAAACCAAACACCACATGTTCTCATTCATAGGTCGGAATTGAACAATGAGAACACTTGGACACAGGGTGGGGAACATCACACACCGGGGCCTGTCGTGAGATGGGGGGATAGGGGAGGGATAGCATTAGAGATATACCTAATGCAAATGACGAGTTAATGAGTGCAGCACACCAACATGGCACATGTATACCTATGTAACAAACCTGCACGTTGTGCACATGTACCCTAAAACTTAAAGTATAATAAAAAAAAAGAAATTAAAAAAAAAAAAAAGAAAACAGAAGCACTCAAAATGTTTTCCTGAACAGGAGCTTGGTCATTTTTCTCCAGATGGATTTTCTGGGCTCCTTTGCTATCTGGATTCCTCAAAGAAAATAGTTACTAAGTGTCAAGCATGGCTTTAGGTGGGTTTTTATTTGTTTGTTTGTTTTATAGCATTCTCCATTCTATAACTGTAGACAACCCATGAAACAGACAAAATGATCTCCATTTTGAAAATAGGAAAGTTGATTCTCAGAGAGAATAGATAAATTGCCCAATGGCCTGGAGCTAGGAAGTGCCAGAGTTGGGATCCAAACCCAGGTGTGTGTGCTGCCAAAGCCCATGCTTTTTCTGTGATACCACAAGTGATGAAGAATAGAAAAAGCCCCAAGCTACACCTACCATGGTTCAAACACTCCCCAACAGGAAGGCAGGTCCTATAGTGGCAACTTTGGAGGTGTGATTTGAGGAGAGTGGATTGGCTCCTTGCCGTTGACTGCCAAAATGCCTGAAATCCTACCACTACAGGTCTGATCTTTAAGTGTTCAACAGCTCATGGTTAATATCTATTTTTAAGTTCCTTTTGAAAAAAAAATAGCAAAAAAGTTTGAAAAATTAAAATTATATATAAATATAGAGTACAGAATGTCTCTTTAAAAACTACCTCTTCCCCAGTATATTAAATAATAAAAAATGACACACAATGGCAGGTGGATCACCTGAGGTCAGGAGTTCAAGACCAGCCTGACCAACATGGTGAAACTCCATCTCTGCTAAAAAATACAAAAAAAAAAAAAAAAAAAATTAGCCCGGCATGGTGGCGGGTGCCTGTAATACCAGCTACTCGGGAGGCTGAGGCAGGAGAATCACTTGAACCCAGGAGGCAGGCGGAGGTTGCAGTGAGCTGAGATGGCACCACTGCACTTTAGCCTGGGCAACAAGGGCGAAACTCTGCCTCACACACACACATAAAAACCACACACACACACACACACACACACACACAAACCACACACACACACTGAAATGTTAATAGTAGTTACTGCTAAGTGGTAGAAAATCAATGATTTTTGCTTTTCTCTATTTTTAATTTTGCTTTTCTAAATTTTCTGTGAAGGGGATATAGTAAAAGCATTTTTTTTAAAAGAAAGAAATGGGATTTTACAAAACAAGTTTCATTTAGGAAGATGGAGGGGCTTCTGAAATCAGTGACCCAAGTTCTAAATGTTTGCTGAAGTCCTTTCCAGTGACCCTGTTGAGGTTATTACCCCTTGTGAAGCAGAAATATTTGCCCAACCTGCTGGCCTGGGATGGCTGAGGACTAGCTCTGCTATCCTGCTGAGCAAGGCAGCCTGGAGCCCGGTTCCCCGGGTGGGGGTCCCTGCCCTCCTCATTTTTAGGCTCTCAGATGCCAAGCCAAACCAGCACTTTCCTGCAGAGGTGTCCAGGTCCTCCTCTGGTCCACTCTGTGACTTATCCCTGCCGGGGCCCTCAGGTCTCTGCTGTCAATGCTGTCTCTTTCCCAATGACAGCGATTCTCCTTCTACCAAAGCAGATGCACTGAGGGCCCATCTAGAGGAACAAAAGGTAATAAGATCTTTGCCTTCAAGAAGCCAAGAAGGGAATGGGTAATTATTGTGAAACTAGTATGCAGTGGTCCCTGAGCTACACACTTTTTTTTTTTTTTTTTTTTTTGAGATGGAGTCTTGCTCTGTCACCCAGGCTGGAGTGCAGTGGTGCAATCTTGGCTCACTGCAACCTCCGTCCTTCCAGGTTTAAGCAATTCTCTGCCTCAGCCTCTGGAGCAGCTGGGATTACAGGCCCATACCACCATGTATTTTTAGTAGAGACAGGGTTTCACCATCTTGGCCAGGCTGGTCTTGAACTCCTGATCTCGTGATCCACCCGCCTTGGCCTCCCAAAGTGCTGGGCTTACAGGCGTGAGCCACCGTGCCCAGCCTAGCTATACACTTCTTATCCATTATTTGTACCCAGTGCAATCCTCACAGTCACCTTATGAGGGAGGTATTTATCTCTGTTTTGTAAATGAAGAAACTGAAGCTCAGAGGTATTACGTCACTTGGCCAGTATGAACATATCAAACAAAATATGCTAAGGGCCCTAGACAGGCACAAAAATTGTAACAAAAGTTCTTTTAAAAAGATTACAGCTGGTGGGGAAGTCAGGCAGAGCTTTTAGATGTTGAACAAGAACAGGAAATTGTGTGCGTTTTTAGAGAGCCAGCTGTCTTGAGAGGGACCACGTTGGGGAGTGCTGAGACAGGACCCTCATGCTCAGGGGCTCACAGTGTTGTGAGCTAAGTGGATAAACAACCAGTCAAGGTGCTGCAATAAGAACTCTGACACTGGTGCAGAGGAATGATTTGATATGATGTGAGATGCTATCATATGATGTAATTGACGTGACGCAATATACATTACAATACATGCAGACCGCTCATCTAAGTGCCTAGCATATAATAAGTACTTAGTAAATGTCATACACTTTCTTTTGGGGCAGGAAACAGAGAATAGTATAAACAAGGTGAAAGGCAAGAAATAATGTGGTGAATTCCAGGAATGCTGACTAGACCAGTCCAGTGGAAGAGAAACATTAGGGAACTTGGGGGCATTTTTACTGACTGTCTGGGAAGATTGCATTCTATCTTGATCTCTACTTCCAGATAAATCTTTCTAAAACACTACCTTGATGATAAAGCTCCCCTACACCAAAACAATCAATAGCTTCCCATTGCCTGTAGAATAATGTCCAATACTGGCAGCTTTGGGACTAGACCTTCAGCTTCCTCATCAGGGCCAACCCTGAAGTTCTTCCCTTCAAAGAAATAGGCTTTTGTGTGTGTGTGTGTGTGGGAAGAGGGAGGGGAGGTAATCTAGAAGAAAAGACTTGCCACAAAAAGAAAAAAATAAGGAGTCCCTTTAGGGTCAGAAGGGACAACCTCTCGTGGTTCGTCAACGAAAGGGGAAGTGAGAGGACTCACTCTTCTCTAGCTGTTGCCTGAAATTTCTTTAGGAAAGGTAAGAGCCTATCTGACTCACACATAAAAGACTGGTTGAGAGTGATGAAAGTGTCTGGGTCCACAAGTCATCAGTAGCGAATGAGCCAGTGGGGAGAGCTTAAGAGGGACTCCCACAGGGTGCCTCTGGGTGTGTGTGTTTGGGGTGGGAGTGGTTGTGGCTGAGGAAGGGTGGTGCTGAGTAGAGAAAAAGATTCAAATGCTGTGAACATAGAAAACAAACCTGCAAGACATCCCCATGTGACCTTGGTCTTAGAGCTGGCCCTATTCATCTTGTACATAGAAACTGTACAGAAGGGTTTTGTCCCATTGATGAAGCTGCTGTGCTTTGTGTAATTGATAAAGGCTTATGTGGTTCATCCTTTCTACTGTCTGTGGAGAAAGCTTTGTTATTAGGAGATTTGTAGGGGGAGACATCACTCACTCCATGGGGCTGCTGATGGAGGACAGAAAGATCTCAGTCAATCCCCAGCACATTCCTAGGCAACAACAACTCATTTAAAATCATTTAAATCCTCAGTTTAACTGCATAAAGCACACATCAGTGGAATCACCTGATCAAAGTTTTATTTACTGGATGAGCAGCTTTCTTGCCACCTGCTCCTTGGGATACCACTGGTGGAGGCTCTTAAGTGCTAATGGATACAGAGAACGGCCGCATGTGCCTGAGAGTGAGCCCCAGGGGAGAAGGTCGTGAACTGAGCAGATTAATGAGAGAGAAGCAAACTTGTTTCTTGAACTGTATGCTTCACTAACACTGATCATCTTAAGAATGAGGACAATGTAAATTTTTTTCTACTCTGAGTGTGTCCAGGCCACCTCTCTTTTTTTTTCTTGCATACCTCATGGGTGCTTATGGGGATGAATTAACCATCATTATTTCATTTAATTCTTAAAACTCTGAGATGTAGGCATTACTACTCCTATTTTCAGATGGGAAGCTAACATTCTGTATGGTTAGACAACTTGTCCAAGCTCAAACAGCTAGTGGCAAACTGGGGTGCAGTTATAAGTCTGTTTGAATCCAAAATTCATGCACTTTCCAGTACATTTTATAAGCATAACCTCCACACTAGGGAAACCAAGTCACAGACCAAGAATGAGGAAGACCAGAAAGCAGCAGAAGGTAGAGACTGACTTCACAACTAAGTGCAACTTGATGAGAGAGAACGACTTAGATAACAAATTAAGAAACATGGATTCTTGCCCTAATCTACACGTATGAGATTCTTGACCTTTTAGGAGAGTAACTTTCCTCTTCTTTGAATTCCCCTAGGTATCTTCCAGGCAGTAGGTGCTGGGGTACCCAACAGTTACAGCAACATGAACCAGTTGTATGTCCTCCAGCAAATCAGCCACTGCCAGCCTCAGACTTTCATCTGTGCTAGAAACAAGTTCTGGATCCAAATGATTTCTGGATCCTTGTGTTTCTTCCAGGTCTAACCTCCTTCTAGGATCTGTCAGCTTCTTGGATGACACTGGGAGGAGAGGCTGGGCTGGAAATTAAGAAGGCAGATTCGGTTTCTATCTGCCAGTGTTCAGGTCCTGACTCCTACCAGCTCTGGTTTACAGCTAGGTCTTTCAGGACAAAACATTAGGGTAATTTTTTGTTTGTTTGTTTTGTTTTTGTTTCTCATTTGTACTGTTAATGGTTCCCCAGCTCACTCCACCCATATAAACGGAAATTTCTGTTAAATAAAATATAAACTTCAATCTCAAGAGGTTTATACATATCTCCTTTGCTATGGCTAGACTCCCCTTAACCCCAAGGCTATTTTTATTTTTACGGGGGCTGGAATCCTCCAGGGACTTAGCTCTAAAAGACGCCTAGTTCATCTGAAGGTCCTCTCTGCACTGATCTCACCATGCCCTAAGAGTGAGAAATCCCTTTTGCTTATTGTACCCTCTGGTTTCCCAGGCTGTAGAGCTTCCTAATGGTTTCCAGACCTACGGCACTATGGGGGCTTCTCGTTTTTGTATTTTTCTAAAATCAATTTTACTGACGGGAGATGGGGAACATTTATAAAAAATGACGTCATCTTGGGCCAGCTACGACTATGTGAAGAACAGCCAGGTAAAGCTTATCAGTTCCTCGCTGTGCCCCAGCCCCCACACCAGCATCCTTTCATTTCCTGCCCAATATTCCCGAGCCACAGGCAGCCATTGTTTCCAGAACCGCTTTGCTTGGAAGCCTTGGTACTGAGGCCTCCCAGCGCTTCCTGTTGTTACCAGGCCTCTCTTTCCTGCTGAAAACAACGGCACTTCCCTGCAGTTTGTAACCCTTTTCAGGCAATTCATTTCTTCCATGAGCTTGTTCAGTGTTTGCAAATGCAGAGTGCTCATTACATTTATTTTAGTTAACAGTTTTCTTATTCTACAAGTAGTGCAAGTTAAAAATAAAGATGAGCAAAAGAAAAAAAATCACCAAATCTCATCCCCTTCTATTAGCACTGAAATCTCTTTGGTGTTCATGCTTTAAGATTATCCATCTATGTAAAGAAAATTTACCACAAGACTCAGGGCTTGAATAGATGACCATTCTCAATAGTGGAAATGGAAGCAGGGAAGCCTGCCCAGAAAGCATTCTCCTGGAGGTTCTCATATATTTCTGAGCAAAAGGGCCTCCCAGGAGCTTAAGAAGAGTGCAGACTCCAGGAGATTCCCCTGCAAATTCTCAGGACTACACTTGGAGATCTTCTTTAAATAGTTTGTTAAATTTGGGAGCGGCTCATGGGGCAATTGAAGAGGTCAGGGAGGAGGGACAGCCCATTGTTATCAGGACTCCAGGAATCTCTTCAATCCAGCTGCCTGCCAGCTGCTCCAATGAGCTTTTGAAAACACAGATCTAATTGTTTGTCTATAGCAAGGAATGCTAAGTTCTTCGTGACCCCTCCCCCAACATCACCCTCTCTAATCAGGTAAACTCCTCACAGTTCTCTTCAGAACACCCCTTCTGCCTTTGCATTCTCCGTCCAGGATGTAAATTGTCCCCAGGAGATGCTTCTCTCCTGCGTTCTTCAGAACCCAGCCCAGAGAAGTCCTCCCTAGGGCTTTTACTGTAACCTCAAATAGAATAACTCACCAAAAATGGGACACCAAGCTCTGCTGCAGTGTCTAGGTTTCTGGACACTATTTTATGGTGCAAATCAAGATATCTGAATTTCTATGAGCTTCTGTTTTGCTCCAGGGAACATACTTGAGGGATAAGATGTAAAGTATTTTAGAGACTCACATTGGCCTCTTCCTCAATTTTCTCTCCATATCTCTGACAGATCCCAACAAAAAGATATGCTTTCTGCAGAGAGACTACACTTTTACCTTTATAGATAATATATTATTCCTTATATAAAATCAGGCAAAAAATAGTAGCAATTTGTGGTTTGTTAAAACAGCAAGGGGTGATGATATTCAAGCTTTTATCCTGAAGTTTTGCAGCTCAAAAATTACTTAGTATTCTCTGAAATGCCTCCTATGGGGAACCAGCATTCATTTCAGAGGCCAGATATTGCAATTATCCAAACCTGCTTACTCCTCTTCTCACTCACAGTTGTTATACCTCTGCTCTCAGCACTGTCTTTAGAAGTAATTTTCACCAGATATACAGTCAGACACCCATATTTGTGGGTTCTGCATCCTTGGATTCAGCCAACTGAGGATTGAAAATATTCAGAAAAAAAAGGATGGCTGTGTGTGTACTGAACACGTACAGGCTTTTTCTCTTGTCATTATTCCCTAAACAATACAGTGTAACAACTATTTACATAGCATTTATGTTGTATTAGATATAAGTAATCTAGAGATGATTTAAAGTATACGAGAGGATGTGCATAGATTACATGCAAATACTACACCGTTTTATATCAAGATCTTGACAATCCATAGATTTTGGTATCCATGGGGGTCCTGGAACCAATTCCCCTTGAGTACCAGGAGACAACTCTTTTTAGGATTAAGGCTCAATGTGAAGATGATACGAAGGATTACTGTCAAATATGTGGGCACCTCCTTATAGGAGGAGGCAGTCATAAATAATATATACAGCAGTGGTCCCAGACCTTTTTGGCACCGGGGACCGGTTTCGTGGAAGACAATTTTTCCATGGACCAGGGTCAGGGGGATGGTTTTGCGATGATTGAAGCACATTACCTTTATTGTGTACTTTATTTCTATTATTATTACATTGTAATATGTAATGTAAATATATGTATATGTTATTACATGTAATATATGCAGTGACAGATCATCAGGCATTAGATTCTCACAAGGAGCCTGCAACCTAGATCCATTGCCTGTGCAGTTCATGATTGTGTTCAGGCTCCTACAAAAATCTAATGCCACTGATCTGACAGGAGGTGGAGCTCAGCTTTGCTGGCTCGCCCGCCAGTCACCTCCTGCTGTGTAGCCCAGTTCCTAACAGGTCACGGACAGGTGTTGGTTTGTAACCTAGGGCTTGGGCACCCCTGATATAAAAGACACAGACAACTAGCAAAGAGAATGCTAGTTTATCATACAGACACTCTTATTCCTAGAATTAGAGAATCTGAATATCAAACAGATCTCTTTTGCTTTTAATTTCTAACTTTTTCTCTCCTCACCCTTTAAGAGCTTCAGAATTAGAATTTTCAGTTGTTTGCTACTGAAAATGTCAGTGGTCAGATCTGATTCAAGAGTAGCCCAGGGATAGTGAGCTTTCACAAGGTAAGGCTCATATTCTAATCCCTTTTCTTGGGTACACAGAAGGTGTCAGAGATATATCCAGGGCACTCTGGGTACCCAAGGACAACAGCCTGTCCTGGGAGCAACAGCCAGGAAGAGGGTTCAAATGGAGACTGAATCTCTACTTGAGCTTGTACCCAAGGAGGCCACCGTAAAGCTTCCATGAAGACACTGGTGTTTTAAAAGCTCTGTCAGGATCATGTAGAGACAGAAAGACCCTCTGGGAAGTGATCCAGGCATGGGGTGACCCATCTCCTGGTCACCTCCTCTGGGAAGCCTTCCCTGATTTCCAAGAGTAGGGAATACCTGATACAGTCTTAAATCAATGGGTTCGCTATTAATACTTAATTGAGTTGTTTTGTTTTAAAACATCTGCCTTTCCTCTATTCTGTAAACTGTATGCAGAGCTATGTCTGTCTTACTCAACTTACAAGACACTGCCCTTGGCCACAGTTTATAGTCCGGTAATTTCCTTGTCCCTTAAGCAGTGCCAGGAAGAAGGCAGAGCACATACATAGAGGAATGAGTGGAAGAAAAGGCTGGGCCCAGGTGCATGGGCATCAGCTGGACACCATGTAGGATGTGACAGATGACACCATCTTAGTGAGCGCACAGTGAGCCTTTGAAGGGATGACAAAGTGTACCCTAGTCTGTAGTGCTTTTTGTCTCTTCCCAGATCTATATTTATTTTCTCCTTCCCAGCAACACCATCCCGGCCCCCAAGTATTCACTCCATACTCTATCCCTGCTCTCCACTTTTTTGTCAACCAGAATTCTGGAATGTCAGAGTTGGAAGAGACCGTCAGATCATTGTATTGAACCTGCCTGATTCAGCACCAGGAAATTAAGAACCCACGAAGTTTAGGGACCTATCCAAGGTCACCCAGCTTGACAGCAGCAAAGCCCTAGAGTTGGAAAGAGACTGAGACAAGGGGACCAGAGTGATTTGAAAAGTGATTAAGATTTCCTTTTTTCTCTGATTTTCAGGATTAGGGCTTAAGTACCTGGGCTTCTTTCTGCCCCAGACTAACTAGCACTTTGGTGTCAGAAGTAATTTAGAATATTTAAGCTTAGACACACCCTTAGCAGTCAGCTCAAATTAATTATGTTTATTGGATTCCCACAAGTCAAACATTGTGCTAGACTTTTGGGATTCAAAGAAGTAGCTTATACTTATAAGACACTGCCCATAACCTCAGTTTACAGTCTAGTTAGTTCAATTACATGCAGTTAAATCATGGGTGGAACAAAAATGCCAGAGAGAACCCTTCCTTGTTCATTCTACAGCTGTCAGGCAGGAGTCACTGGGTTTAATGATATCTTTCTGGAGAGAGGGGACAGCCAGCTGCCAGAGGCTGTCTCTCCCCTTCTATAAATTTGCTTTCTCTTCTTAAATAGCGAGTAGCTGATCCTCAGCAAGAAGGAGGGGTTTGTTTATTGTTCTAAAGATCTCATGATTCCTGTTTAAAGAGGGTGTAGGCTTGCAGTAGATTGTTGCAGGCTTAAATTCACTGAAGAGATGGAAGTAGCAGGCTTTGTGGGTGCAGTCAGAGCTGCTGGGAGTGGGTAGCCTCAGGCTAGGGCCCCTGGTGGGAACACAGAGGAAAGCAGTCCTGAGCTGGTTAAGGAGATGGAAGTTGAGGAGACTTCCCTGGGGGTCAGCTCATCCAGAAGACAGTACCACTGGTGCTACAGGACCCAATAGAGGGCAGTCAACTGGTCAGGATGCAGGAGATGTGACGGATTCTAAATCTATAGGATCTGCACTGGAGAGGACAGGCAGTGAGCATCTGAGTGTCCATGTAAAAGAGTTCAAGTCAGGGCTAACAGAGCCCGTCATGACTTAGTTTCTAGAATAGGTGTCACCTTTTTATGTCCCAGAGATTTGGTTTGCAGTCATGTACAGAGCTCATTGAATGGCCCTCTCTCACTGATCCTGCCTCAAGCACCTGGGAAGAGGGACAGAGCCAGGAAGAGAAAGGGGTCCCTGTCCAGGTCCGCTCCATTATTCAAGCTCTGCTCATATTCTACCCTCTCCATAAAGGCTTCCCAGCTTCCTTTGCTCATCAAGTGCTTTTTGGCACCCACGCTATGCTTGGGTACTGGGTGCTGGGTGCTAGGTTCCAAGGACACAGTGGGAAGCAAAACAGGAGGCCCCATCCCCAGGAGCTTAGCATCCAATGGGAGGAAGTGCCTGTTGATCAGTCTCCTCTCTTACTGTTCCTGATTAAGGGCATGAGTTCTGGAGCCATTCTGCCTCGGTTCAAAGCCTCCCACTGCCACTTTCTACCACTGAGACCAGGCATGCCTCCTGTAAGTAGAATGCCATAACCCCAGTGTGCTGGGGCAGCTCCAGAGGACACCTGCTGCTCTGTGTAGTTACGGATTGTGCTCGCTTTCACTTAAATACACATCTCTAAAAAAATTTTTTTTAAATCCCACCGGGCCGGGCGTGGTGGCACACGCCTATAATCCTAGCACTTTGGGAGGCCGAGGTGGGTGGATCACGAGGTCAGGAGATCGAGACCATCCTGGCTAACATGGTGAATCCCCATCTCTACTAAAAAATACAAAAAAATTAGCCGGGCATGGTGGCAGGCACCTGTAGTCCCAGTTACTCAGGAGGCTGAAGCAAGAGAATGGCGTGAACCCGGGAGGCAGAGCTTGTAGTGAGCCGAGATTGTGCCACTGCACTCCAGCCTGGGCGACAGAGCAAAGACTCTGCCTCAAAAAAAAAGAAAAAAGAAAAAAAAAATCCCACCAGCAAAAAAAAATCCCACCAGCAGTGAAATTTCTCTTAGAAATAAAAATAAACAAAACACATCTCAATTCGGGTAAAAAAACTATGGTTGGTTACCTAACCTACCAGGTTCAGTTTCTTTATTTGAAAACTGAAGCTAATAATACAATCTACCTCATAGGGTGGTAAAAATTAGCCAGGGTGGTTGTACATGCTTGTGGTCTCAGCTACTTGGGAGGCTGAGGTGGGAGGATCACCTGAGATGGGGGGAGGTTGAGGCTGCCGTGAGCCATGATCACGCCACTGTACTCCAGCCTGGGCAACAGAACAAAACAAACAAACAAATAAAACAAACCAAAACATAGATAAAATAATCTATGAAGTGCTTGGAACAGTGGCCCAATAAGCTCTCAATAAATATTAACAATTGCTATTGTTATTTTAATTGTGATTACTGTCCCATTGGGCTTTGGTCCTCCATTAGTGAGTGGGTCCTTAAGTGAGGGGCTGTTGTACACCTCTGTATTCCTAGCACCCAGCACCATGCCCTGCACAGTGGGGACTTTGACTCAATGTCTCCTCAAAGAGACTGGGATACAGGCTTCAGCCATATGAGGGTGTACTTGCAGAATGGGTGGACTCTTCAGAGATACTGTGTCCTATCTGGTTTCAGACGGAAACACGGGGAAAATGGTGGATGTTCTCCTCCTTCCCTTTCTGATTAGAGTTGACAGATAAAATACAGAACATCCAGTTAAATTTGAATTTCGGATAAATAATGAATAATTTCTTGTATCAGTATGCCCCCAGTATTGCATGGGACATAGATTAAAACATGATTTGTTGTTTATCTGAAATTCAAATTTTAGTCCAGCGTCTAATATTTTTATCTGCTGAATGTGGCAACTCTGTCTCTGAGTTCCTTTCCCACTCTTTGCGCCCCCGGCCAGCAGCAGTGCTCCCTCTCAGTATCACACTCACACAGCCACAACCACAAATCTTTCTCTGACTCCTATTTGCCCTCCAGGGCCAACCTTAGGCCTACTCGTGGGACACCTCTTGTGATTTAGCTTCTTCCACCAGGAGGAGGAACTGAGAAAAGATGGGCAGCAGCAGATGTCAGTGTGTCAGGGAGCCAAACTTCCCATTGGGTTAAAAGGCTTCTAGATGTACAGGAGTGTCCCTGAGCTCCTCGTCCTACAGAGATAAGGGGGAGCTGTTTTCTCACCTGGCCTCAGGGAGAAAAGGGAGAGCAAGGAAGAAGCCAGCCTTGAAATCCTCATCAGGTTTTCCCTTCCCATAGGTGTCTTTGTCTTCTAAGATTGCCTCTGCATGAACCTCCTGGTGGCTCTGCTCCTTGACTACCAGCCACATTTTTGATGGTATGAATATGTGGATGGGCTGGGGCAGGGGGATGTACCTTTGGAGCACTCTTCTGGAAAAGCGAAGAGGAAGATGCCAGGATATCTCTGAGTTTAGGAAGTATGAATTGTTAGAGTACCACCTCCCCTGGCTCCTCCCTTTTCCTCAAACATTTACTGTGGGCCAGGCACTGGGCTAAGCATGTCACATATATTACTTCATCCAATCCAACCTTGCAAGGCAAGTTTAACAGTCCTCATTTTACAGTTGAGAAATTAGGGGCTGAGGGAAGTTTACTCCCTTGCTGAACATCATTCAGTTTGTAAAGTGGTGGGGCAGGTATTTAAGCCCAGTCTCTCTGACTCCCAACCCCACTCTTAACCAGCTTTCTATACTGCTCTTTTTTCAGAGTTCCCCCTGGCACCTACTAGGAGCTCAATAAATACTCCCTGGATGAATGCATGATTGAATGTACAAATGAATGTGTCATTCTAAGGTCTACATTTATTTCTGTAGACTCACCTGTCAATGATAATCAGGAGAATGATTTGTTCTGACATGTTTATATATTTTTGATTTTGAAAAATTCATCAAATTATAATTTGTGATCAAATAGTTCATGGATGCTAATTTCATTGTAACATTGTGTGTATTTGTCCTTTTTTATTTTTTTTTTTTGAGACAGAGTTTCACTCTTGTTGCCCATGCTGGAGTGCAATGGTATAATCTCGGCTCACTGCAACCTCCACATCCTGGGTTCAAGCGATTCTCCTGCCTCAGCCTCCCGAGTAGTGGGGATTACAGGCATGAACCACCAAGCCCCGCTAATTTCGTATTTTTAGTAGAGATGGGGTTTCTCCATGTTGGTCAGGCTGGTCTCGAACTCCCAACCTCAGGTGATCCGCCCACCTTGGCCTCCCCAAGCGCTGGGAATACAGGCATGAGCCACTGCACCCGGCCTGTATTTGTCTTTAAATGAAAATGTTTTGGTTCTAGGCCCTGAGTTCCACAGGCCTTGAGGCTCTTACTTATTTTTTTGGCATTTATTACAGTTTTTGGTGGTACATATTCCCTGTGTAATTCAGGATCCAGCCAGTTTTGGGGGCAGTCATCCTTGTGGGATTCTCAAATCACAGCCTCTGGTTGGTCCCAGCCTTTTTAAGAACCTTACTGAAACATGCTCTGACTTTCAGTTATATGTGAAGCAAGAGTAACCAATGGTCTCTGCATAGCCCTGAGTATTCCATTGAGAAATTTATTTTTTCTTTTGATCTTGATGTACATTTGGTATTAATTTTTTTCTTGGTGTATTTCCATTTACACATGAATGACCTCAGTCTGTTTTTAGCAAAGCATTGCTAGAGCTGGATGAGGATGCAGGGCTCATTAACAAAAAATCATCGGGGGGCCTAGGTTATAACTGCTCTTTCAAAGCTCACACAACCATAACACACATTCTGTTACACAAACACACACACAGTCACAGGACAGCAGGTTGTGAAACAGAGAGGGACTCTACTTTGAGGAATATGGCCATGAATATGAACAAGTAAAACAACCATGATCTTAATAAAAAAGTGGTGGGGACCAGGTTAGGTACAAGCTGTGACCTGTGGTCTGCTATGATTTTGATCAACATTTTAGGAGTGCCCAGAACTTCTAAGTCTCATGTCAGAAAGTGAGAGGCGTGCTCACTTGGGCAGCGCATATACTAAAATTGGAACCATACAGAGAAGATTAGCATGGCTCCTGCGCAAGGATGACATGAAATTTCACGAAGCGTTCCATATTAAAAAAAAAAAAAAGTGAGAGGATGTCTGGCAGACCCCTGAGAGGTAGCAGGAATGTCTTACACACAGATTTTTGGTTGTTACATAGTATCAGTGATGCATTTTTTACTGCCAGTTACTACGACCATTCTAAGTGTGCAACAAGAGTATATATAGTAGCCCTGTGAAGTCCAACTACTCATGTTTATAGATATATATTTAAGAAGATAGGAGTCATACTGTTATCAGAGCAGATGGAACTCCCTTGGCTTCCCTAGAACCATATTTCAAGGGTTCATAACGCTAATTTTGGGGAGATTTTCTTCTTACAAGCTATGTGACCTTGAGCAAATTTCTTAACCTCTTGGTGCCTTAGCTTCCCCATCTGTTAAATTAGGAGAATAATAGTAATTCCCTCACAGAGTTGCTGAGCAGATTAAATGAGTTAACCTGTGGAAAGCACTTAGAACAGTGCCTGACATAAAAAGTGTTACATACTAGTTTGCTGTTATTATTATCATCAGCAACAGCAACGCCAGCTTAAGACAACCATGAATGTCATGTCCTCACTGAAGCTTTTCCAGGCTTCCTCAGTTGGATGCACCCTCTCCTCCCCACCCCTTTAGGACCATCTGTCTAACTCTACCTAGACTAAACTATGTGCCCTACCTCCCTGACTATCTGCTGTCCTTGACTCCAAATATCCTCCTGGCTAAGAGAATATATGGGGACTCCTGACTCCCAACTCCTCTATAGCATCAAGACTCATTCATTTTTTTCATTCAGCAAATATTTATGAGTACCTTCTCTGTACAGGCTCCGCTGGGTGAGAAAAAAAATCCCATGATGTTTCCCATGCACACACTGAAGGAAAGCTCATGCAGGCATTTGCTCAGCTCCTCTGGCCAGCTGAATGACCACGGGAAGAAATCGGGTATAGTTAAAGTGATCTTGTGTTTTGAAAAAAACAAGATATGTGTTCGGAAAAACATTAACATACTTAAGAGAAGAGCAAGGCAGAATAATAGATTTGGGATTTTTTTCAGATATTCTCAGCCACATGGTCAACAAAATTAAATCACTCCGGAAAGAGACTCACTTAAATCTTTCCTGGAGACTGCAGCCTTGGCTTGTGTATGGAAACGGCACCCACGGCCACACTGCGCACTAGGCTGGGTACCTCATATCCATGGTGTTTGATCTAATTCTTACAAGACCTTGTAAGGGAAGAACTGTCATTCTCCTTTTAAGAGGAGGAAACTGAATCTCAAAGAAATACGTGTCTTGTCACATCACACAGCTGGCAAGTGGCCCAGGCTCTGCCCCACATAAGGTCAAAGGGTGCTAATTTTCAAAGACACTTGAGCTACTCCTATATCTAATTGGTCACTAAATCCTGCTGGACTTAGATGTGGCATTTGGGAGAGCTACCTCTGGAGACGTTTGTGGATCTTCAAATTTAGGAATACCATTAGAACACTTGATGACAAAACGAGAAGGGAACAAGTCACTTTAAGAGACAGCCATTGGCATCAGCTAAGCTCTTTTACTGGATAAATTATTAATTTCTAGACACTAGACCCTTCATGTGTGCCATAAATGTGTGGCCCAGCCAAATTAGAAATGACCAAATGACATGTGTCTCATTGTGGTTTTAATTTGCATTTCCCTAGTGGCTGATGATGATGAACATCTTTTTGTGTGCTTACCATTTGTCTATCTTCTTTGATAAAATGTCTGCTTATGTCTTGCACATTTTCTAATTAGATTATTTGTTTTTTACTGCTGAGGTTTGAAAGTTTTTAAATATATTCCATATACTAGTGCTTTGTTGGATGTGCAGTTTGCACCTATTTTCTTCCTCTCGATATCTGATTGTTTCACTTCTTAACAAGGTCTTTTGCAGAGTGCATTTTTAACATTGATGAGGTCCAGTTGATCAATTTTTCCCTTTGTGGGTCATGCTTTTGGTGTCAAGTCTAAGAACTCTTTGCTTGGGCCCAGATTCCAAGGATTTTCCTTAATTTTTTTTTCTAACAGTTTTATAGTCTTGCATTTTATATTTAAGTCTGTGATCTCTTTTGAGCTAACTTTTATATAAGGTGTAAAGTGTACATTAAGGTTCATTTTTTTTGGCCTAGGAATGTCTAGTTGTTCCAGCACTATTTTTTGGAAATGCTCTTTTTCGTTCATTGCATTGCTTCTCCAACTCTGTCAAAAGTTGGTTGGTTGTACTTGTGTGGGGTCGGAGATGCGGCGGGTCGGAGGGAGTTAATGGATTCTCTATTCTGTTACTTTGATCTATGTGTTCTTCTGCTAATAGGACACCACCTTTGTACTGTAGCTATATACTAGGCCTCAATACTGGGTAGAGTGATTCTTCCCACTTTATCTTTCTTTTTCAAGACTGTTCTAGCTATTTTAGGGCCTTTTTAGAATAAGCTTTTAATCTATATCTACAAAAAAAACCTTGCTGGGATTTTGATAAGAATTGCATTAAACTTATAGTCAGCTTAGGGAAAAATAGACATCTTTGCTATGTTGTTTATAAGATCTCTTTGATTTGTTCCTTCTCCATAACTGCTACCCTCAAGGAGAATGTCATTAGCTAATGCCTGAAACTATTGACCAACCTTATAATTCGCCTTTCATTGTGGTCTTCTGTTGTTCCCACTCATGCTGTGTGTTGCTGCCAAAATGGTGAAACTCCAGCTCTCCCCTACCAAAGCTGCTGTCTTGTTTGGGAATCTCAAATTGCTTCCTACTCCAGACCTAGGCCCAGGTTTACCCTCTTATTCAAACTCCCCAAATTTCCACTTCTCATTCAGTCTTGATATACCCAAGTAATTCATGACTCTGAACTGCTAACCTAAACATGTAACTTAGCCAGGAATTCCTTCCACTCTGCCAATCTGTTTCCATTTTCTTCTGTCAATTTAAGCTTACTCAATGCAAGAAATATTCCCTAAATAACTTGGTCATCTTGTACAAGTTCATACACAGTGGCAGGCCTAGCATATCTGACATCTGGAACAGGTGATTTTTAATGCTACTCTCCTCTACAGAATGGATTTATGTTCAGTAATAAGTGTATAATGCAATAACAGCAATCATTGGTATTTTCTGATTTTGCTTTTTAGTTTTAAAATAAAACTAAAACTCTTTCCAAGCTTAACTTGAATAAAATTCTATTTTTTAGCTTTGAATTCTGAGCTTCAATGAGAAAAAAGAATTCTACTTTAAAGATATTAAAATTCAGTAAAATATGTCACGTATGAACTAAAATTTGTACTTATGAAACAAAAATATTATACCTTGAAGTCTGCACCCTATGTCACTGTTTTAAGTTTAAAACACAAATAAAAACCTCAAGTGGTCATATAATGACTTAAGTTCGATTCTTTCTGTATTTACTGTGCTATTTTTGTTTATTTCACATCTACCAATTAAATGCAGGAATATGTAGTACCACAGGAGCTAGAAACACACACTGCACCTGAAACAAGGTCAAACTACTTAAATGAGTATGAGCTAATTGTTAAATGAACACTTAGTTGAGTCCATGTGTTACGTGGACATGGGTTGGGACTCAACTAGGAGTAACATCCATGTAACACCCTTGTGTTACCTGGTCATGGATGTCACTATGAGTAGGAGTTCTCCAAGTAACATCCATGTTGATACAATATTTATTAAAGGACAAGGAATGAAAATGTACCAATCCATGTTTATTAAAGGATAAATAATAAAAGTGTACTAATATACTAAATATATTCGCATACATATTATTAAAACTCACCGTCCCTCAAAATGTCAATACAGTGTCACAGTGTTACCCTATGATCCTGCAATTCCAGCCCTAGGCATATATAGACCTTAAATGAATAAAAACATATATCTGCATACAAACTTGTACCCAAATGTTCATAGCACTGAGAGGTGAAGCCGGCTGGGCTTCTGGGTCAGGGAGGGACTTGGAGAACTTTTCTGTCTAGCTAAAGGATTGTAAATGCACCAATCAGCACTCTGTGTCTAGCTAAAGGTTTGTAAACACACCAATCAGTGCTCTGTGTCTAGCTAATCCGGTAGGGCACTTGGAGAAATTTTCTGTCTAGCTAAAGGACTGTAAATGCACCAGTCAGTGCTCTGTGTCTAGCTAAAGGTTTGTAAACGCACCAATCATCACTCAGTAAAAACGGACCAATCAGCACTCTGTAAAACGGACCAATCTGCACTCTGTAAAACGGACCAATCAGCTCTCTGTAAAATGGACCAATCAGCAGGATGTGGGTGGGGCCAAATAAGGGAATAAAAGCAGGCCACTGGCACCCACAGTGGCAAATCATTTGGGTCCCGTCAGTATTGTGGAAGCTTTGTTCTTTTGCTTTTTGCAGTAAATGTTGGTGCTGGTCACTCTTTGGGTCTGTGCTGCCTTTATGAGCTGTAACACTCACCACAAAGGTCTGCAGCTTCACTCCTGAAGTCAGCGAGAGCATGAAGCCACCGGGAGGAAAGAACAACTCTGGACGCGCCAACTTTATGAACTGTAACACTCAACGCAAAGGTCTGCAGCTTCACTCCTGACGTCTGTAAGACCATGAACCCACCAGAAGGAAGCAAGTCTGGAGATGTCCGAACATCAGAAGGAACAAACTCCAGATAAACCGTCTCTAAGAACTGTAACACTCACTGCCAGGGTCCGCGGCTTCATTCTTGAAGTGAGCAAGACCAAGAGCTCACCAATTCTGGACACAGCACCATTATTCACAACAGCCAAAAAGTGGAAACAATTCAAATGTCCATCAACTGATGAATGGATAAACTGTGGTATATCCATAGAATAGAATATTATTAGGTAATAAAAAGGACTTAAGTACTAACATAAGCTTTAATGTGGATATCCCTTGAAAATATTGTAAATGTAAGAAGCCAGAAACAAAAAGCCAGATGATTCCGTTCATATGAAGTGTCCAGCATAGACAAATCTGTAAAGATAGAAACTAGATTCATGGTTTCTTAGGGCCGGGAGAGTAGGTGGGAAGGTGGGGCAATGGGAAATGGCTATTAATGGGTATAAGGTTTCTTTTGAGGGTGATGCAAATGTTGTAAGATTGATTGTGGTCATTGTTGTATAGCATATGATTATACTAAAACTATTGACTTGTATACTTTAAATAGGTGGCTGTGTGGTATGTTAATTATATCTCAATAAAATTAAAAATAAAACCAGCAGTAAATGCAGCAATTGTTTAGAACTTAGACCAACAAAATATTTTGTGGGGAGGAATATTTTATCACTGTCAATATTAGAATTATCAGTGCTTGGTGATTAAAACCCACTCTTGGTTTTATTGTCATTTTTAACTTTTCTGCTGACGACACATCCCCTTATTTTGGGTATGCAAGGTGTCCCTCTCCCGCTGCTGCATGATGGTACATCCCTGCTGACGTGGTCAGTGTAGATCTACACTATGGCCCATCTAGCGACTGGCTGATGTAAATTGCTTATATGTAGAGAAAAGTCTAATTTGGGACTTACAAGAAATTTTAAGAATTTAAAAAATAAAGTGATACCCATTTTAGGAAGTCAAGAGCCATTTCATATGAAATAAAACCTTTTATAGTTAAATGAATCTTCTGTAGACTTCTTAACTCAGAACCAGTATTTCTGTTTTGTTTTTTTGAGACCAAGTTTCACTCTTGTCACCCAAGCTGGAGTGCAGTGGCGTGAACTTGGCTCACTGCTACCTCCGCCTCCCAGGTTCAAGCGATTCTCCTGCCTCATCCTCCAGAGTAGCTGGGATTGTAGGCACCTGCCACCAAGCCTGGCTATTTTTTTTGTATTTTTAGTAGAGAGGGGATTTCACCATGATGTCTAGGCTGGTCTCGACCTCCTGACCTCAAGTGATCCGCACACCTTGGCCTCCCAAAATGCTGGGATTACAGGCTTGAGCTACCGCTCCTGGCCAGAATCCGTTTTTAAACTCAACCCAGAATCTAGATTTCCTGTGCACTCGGGCAGCTGTTGATGCCCATTTGCAGATTGGCTGTCTTCATGAACCATGAACAATCCCTAGGTACAAATGTCTGTTGCTCTTTCCAACCCCAAAACCAGAACAACTCCTGACAGCTGTGGAGACACTGCCCCCAAGGCTATCTTACCTTGCAGCCACAGACCAATGCCCCTCCTCCTCAGAGTGCAGACCCCCACTGCTGTGTGGCTGCCACATACTCCTCTTCGCCTAACTGGGCCCCAAATCCCTGTGGAAGCCTGTGTTCTCCTCCCCAATACCATTCTCTTCCTATGTTTCTCACAGCGCCACTGGTTTCACCAAGGAGAACGCATTTCCACAGACATCCCCTGGCCTGCCCTGGCCTAGGGGCTCCTCAAAGTGTCTCCACTTTGAGGACCGGGGTTAGGGTTCTCCAAAACTTGGCTTGCGTCCTGGCAATGTCATAAATGGTGGTCAGTTCCTACAATGTGATAAGTGCTATTTTTAAAAAGACTTTATGTACATTATCTCCTGTGATTCTTGCACTTTTTAGAAGCTAGACATTATCTCAATTTTGATAAGACTGAGGCTCAGAGAGATTAAATAATTTGTCTCAAGTCACATAGCCAGTATGTGAAAGAACTACGATAGAAATCTATGGCTTCTGCTTCCCATGCCAGTTCAGTATTACATAGAGGAGTAGGCCACAGTGAAATTATAGTCTGCATAGACTTTTGTTGGCTGGGCTTAGAGCCTAACCACCATTTTAGATCTTTTTTTTTTCCCATGGGAAAATGAATTTCAAATTCTGAGCAATCAACATACAAGTGTTCTTCTACAGCATAACTCATTTTTAATTTGGAGACTATCTCCATTGTCTTCCTACTGAAGGGTTTCATTTCTATTGATTCCTTTATCTTACTGGTCAGGACCCAAAAGGAGGATTGAAAAGTAAAGGCTTTAGAGTCAGACTAGGGCCTACCACTTAATTGATGTGACCTCAAGCAAATTACTTAACTTCTCTGGGCCTCAGTTTCTTCCTTTGTAAAATAAGGGCAACATTACACATATAGGATTATTGTAAGAATTAAATGAATAATGCACGCTTGTAAAGTGCTTAGTGCAGTGCTTGGTGCAGAGTCAGCCTCCAATAAACGTGGACTTCGTTGTTCAATGGGAGAGTCAGGTTGACTACAACCTGGAACATATCCCTGCTGGCCAGGGATGGTCCTTGTTTATTCCTATCATGCAGATGAAATTATTAACAGCACTCCCTTCTACTCTTAAGGTGCCCCAACTTGGATGATAAGTTATATGGGTCACCCTACCTGAAGATGGGCCCAGAAGGCATGACTTCGAGGGGACCACAAAGCCCCAAGGCTGAAGCTCCCTAATCACAGGGAAATTTGGCCTTTGTCAAGAGCATCTCACCAGGGAGCTGAGAGCTACTATTTGGATGTTTCCAGAAGCAGCAGCTGGGTTCTCAGTGAGGGTCTGAAGCCAGGAAGAGAGGCTTCAGGGATAAGGGAGCCCAGCCAAAGGCACCAGCAGTCACGCAAGTGTCTGGTCCGACAGGAGCCCTGCCAAGGAGCCAGGCCAAAAGGACAGGGTGGGGGCTGGAGTGGGGGCCAAGACGGCAAGCCAAACAGGAGATGAGGGGGAGCCGGGAGATGAAGTATCAGGGACACCACTAAGGGAAGTCAGCAAGGTGCTGGAAGGGCAAGAGGTCTCACTGTGCCTGGGGGAAGGGGGTCCCTGGGCATCAGTCCCCCTCCAGGAGCCTATATTCCACTCTTCTTTGTCTTTAAAGGAGTTGAGGCACTGTCTAGGGCACATCTGGGTCATATCCTTCTCCAAGATGCTGTGCACATGTGCCAGGGTTGATAAGTGACTCTGAGACTGTTGGTGATAACAAAGACCAAACATAAAGCAGGCAATGTCATTTAAACCTCCCACCACATTTAATGAGCAGGATTGGCAGCTTATTTCAATTTTACTTCAGTACTTAACTTCTCACAAAGTAGCAGTCATAAAACACTTCTCATAATGAGGTGTAATAATTGAAAGCCCGAAGAACCAAGAGGCAGCATGGTGAAAAGAAAGGAATAAAACGGTGAGAGTCGGAACTAGGTTCTATCCTGCTTCTGTTCTGCCTCTTCCTGACTCTGAATTTTTAGGTAAGTCACTTCACCTCCCTGAGCTCACCTGTCAATGGAGGTAATAAGTGTTGGGAAGGAAAAGTGTGGGGAGGCACGGATTACAAAGGCTGCAGAGTGCTACACAAATCTAAGCTAGACATCTCTCTAATATGATAATAAAGTAGGACTTTCTAAAATAAACATTTATCACATGTATTAAGAAAAAAGCTCAGAAAAGACGAAATACTTTTAAAAAGAATATAGCTGGAGTAAACGTAATGAACAAATTCTAGTACTACAGCAAAATCAGAACAACTTCAGATACTAAAGAAATGCTCCTTTACACAGTGAGTAATATGCTAGTGGGAGCTGCTAACCTTGGCTCCTTCCAGAAATGTACAACAGTTAGAAAACATAAATATCTTCTCAAAAAGTTAGGATACATACACAGATAATAGGTTCATAGTGGAAAATTAATATTAATGAAAATTCAGAGTCCCTTTTTGAAGAAAGAGCAATATTTCTTTCCAACAAACATGCCTGGTTCAACCCAGAATGCTGGGTTGGGCTGTTTGGGTCCAGTATTTCCAACATATGGAACAAATAGCACCTTTGATGAGGGCAGCAAAATGCGATAGATGACGCATGGGCTCTGGGATCTGATGAGCCTGGGCTCTTATCCAAGTTGGCCCTTAGTCTTCTATATGACTTTAGGCAAGTTATTTAGCCTCGCTGAGCCTTGATGCTCTCAACTGGAAAATGAAGATAGCAGTATCTACCTAATAGGTTGAATTAAATAACATCTGCTATACTTCAAGTAGAGTGCTTGGCACAGAGGAGGGACTAGTAAATGGAAGTTCTCATTATCACTGTGAAAGTACCTTGACCTCTGCTTAGCACTGTCAGGAAGTCAGGGACAAAGACCATGACAATTGCCTGCTACTTGTCAACATGAGTGAGCAGCAGGGCAAAGCTGCCAAAAAAAGGCTCACTCAGCCAGGCTGCATGAGTAATGAGTACCAATACAGGTCTGAAAGTCGTGCGTGCATGCGTGTGTGTGTGTGTGTGTGTGTGTGTGTGTGTGTGTGTGTGAGAGAGAGAGAGAGAGAGAGAGAGAGAGAGAAAGAGAGAGAGAGAAAGAGATCCCTGTGCACTCTGCTCCAGAGAGACTACATCTGGAGGATTGGCTACAGCTTGTAGAAGCACATCTTAAAATACAGGGAATCCGGCCGGTGCGGTGGCTCTTGCCTATGTAATCCCAGCATTTTGGGAGGCCGAGGTGGGTGGATCACCTGAGGTCAGGAGTTCAAGACCAGCCTGGCCAACATGATGAAACCTCATCTCTACTAAAAATACAAAAATTAGCCAGGCATGGTGTCGGGCGCCTGTAATCCCAGCCACTTGGGAGGCTGAGAGAGGAGAATAATTTGAACCTGGGAGACAGAGGTTGCAGTGAGCCGAGATCATGCCATTGTACTCCAGCCTGGGTGACAAGAGCAAAACTCTGTCTCAAAAAAAACAAAAAACAAGGAATCCAGAGGAAGATAAAGGGAATCCAGAGGACCTAAACACTAGCTCATTTGGAGAATGGTTGAAGGAGCTGGCAGATTTAACCTGGAAAAGAGAAATCTAAAGGCGAAGTAATAACTTTTAAAATAATTAAAGGGCTTCAAGCAGAAGTAGATGGAAACATATTCTTTCTGACTTAGAAAGCAAAACAGGACCCAAAGACAGAAATGACAGAGGTGCTGTTCAGCTCAGTAGTAGAAAGGACTCTCAGTCCCGTGGAGCTCTTCACCTAAGGGAATGGGCCGTGTAGTGAGGCGGTGCAGGCAGCCAGGCCCTGCAGAAGCTGAGCAGAAGCTGGATGACTCCTGGGTCCAGGATTCCTGTACTGGGTTGGGCTGGGATTAGCTGCCCTATGAGGTTTCTTCTGAGTCAAACTTTAAGACAGCCCTGATTTTCATAATCCTGCTAAAATTGTTTTGTCCTTGTTAAATCATATTTTATCAATCTCAAGTCCCTCAAAATGGCTGAAGAGGTGATTATGCCTGAATACATTAAAAGCCAGAGGAAATAGTGAATTTAGGGCTCTTGGAGCTGTTTTCTTTTTGTCATTAGATTCAGAATGTTTTTGATGATTTTCATTCTAGTCAAGGACTCATGAATATTCATGAGCGTTTGCAGGTACTATATATACACCTTCTTCCCTCACTCCTTTTCAAAATCCAACATGGAGTCAGAGTTTTATTTTTTACTGTTTTGTCTAAAATTTAAAGTATTTTTAAATTTAAAGTCTAAAAGTAATTAATACGGCTTCACTTAACCTATTCCATTTTTATTCTTTTCTCTCAAATTGTTCAGAACATATACTCTACATACACACAGAAGAAAAGTAATTAAAGGGCCGATTTTGATCGTCTTTTTTTCCCAAATACAACCATGTAAACTACATTAGTTATCTCATCTCTATCATGGAGTGCTACAGAAATGTGACTCGGGGCTGAAACAATGTTTTATTATTTAGCATGGGGACCCTGGGGCAGATTTGTGGACCTTATGGTCTTAGCCAAGCACCCCTGGAACTCATTTGACCAAGGGCAGGCCATCAGAAGTGGACATTTGAACCATGTCAGCAGTTTCAGAGAAGCACCCAATGACATTTTAATCTGAAAGATTATAAACAACCTCACTCCCACCACTAGCCATGCCACCTCCTGAAGAATGTGCAGCGTGGTGGATCTGAAGGAGCCATTGATAAGGAGGAAAGTAGCTTGAAAGCAACCTGGTGAAGCAAGAGTTTGACAGCCGAGATTATTTTTAATGCTTTCAAAGGCACACACTTTATAAATATATCGCACATATACAAAACAGGTCTGTTCCTATGCGTAATATGTGTATGTAACAGTCTACTTAAAAGCATTTCAAAGCCCATTTAGTTATAGTTTCTCCTAAGTGGTGTGGGTAAATGATAAAGAGATAAAGGAGGACAAGGGCCCTCCCCACAGAACCATAGAAGGCTCTAGCTGACAGTCACTTGGAGACAATCTCCATTTGCTTCACTGTTTAGATGAGGAAGCTGGGATTCCAAGGGGAGGTGACTTGCTTAAGGCTCACCAGAAAATTAGCTCTAACATAATAATAAATCCAGGTTTATGGTTCCAAAACTAGAGTTTACTAATTGATGGTGGAAAGAAACCATCTACACTGTAAACAACCACAAAACAACCCTAAAAACAAACAAAGCCACTGAGAGCCAGGAGTCATGGTTCTTATCCCAGCGAAGGAATGCACACCCTGCCTGATTTCCTGGCCACTGCAACACAGACCATCGGGTCATGGGATTATCATGCTGTTGGTATGGAATACAAGATGGCTGGTTTTTCCTATGATGCCCGCACACTGAGCTGATGGCATCACCCTGCTTTGTAATGGTAGATCCAGCCATGCCATCCTCTGCAGCTTGGGCAGCTCTGGGTTCTCTAGGATAGCTGAATTGATTCACTAAAGATATGAAGAGGCACATGGGAAAATACACAAATCCCACCCTCTACATTCTCCCAACTGCAGCTCCTGCCTTTGAGCTTCATTTGCTGTTTTCCTGAAGGCTCTCTCCACAACACTAATTGGGGTGATTAGATCAGTTCAAACAATCAGACGATTGAATGGAAATATCTACCACACTAGTTGGTTTTATGAAGCAACTGGCAAATGGAGTCACCGATGATAGTGGAAACTCACCCCGCATAGACACAGACTCATTCTCTTCTCCACTTTGACTTCTTCAGCGTCTTTGTTTGTTTACCCAGACAGGGTCTTCATTTACCAGGTTTCTCAGCACCAGTGAGGACTCACACAATGAGGCTTGGATAACACTTTGGTGGGGACAGTGCGGACAGACTCCTCTCAATACGCTCATGGTTCAGTCACAGAACAGTCTGTCCTTTCACTGGGCACTGTGGAATGAGCGTGAGCTCTGTGAGCGGGCAGGAAGGGCATCTTCTGTTTGAGAGCCAAGTCCTGTTTCGAAGTTCCCCACTGTAACCTTGGATACAGCTGGCTGGGGGTGGGAAGGCCCTGTGAGAGGCCTTTGTTTATAACTGGAGACTCCGTGGAAGGAGGTTATGGATAGCTGGATTTGGGGCCTTGCAAAGGAGGAGGGGAGAAAACTAGAAAGAGAAACTTCTTTTTTCAGAACTTCTGCAGGCTCACAAAGAAAGGATCCCAGCCAGGTATAGATCCATTGCAACAAGCATTCTATATTTTCTAGGTATTTTCAATACCTCCTGAATGTTTCATTTTTAGCTGCTCCCACTCACAAAGGCTCCAAAGATTTCACAGAGGACTTCCAGGAGCCTGTGGTGTTTTTGTGGCATGTGCGTGTAGTTCTGGTCATGAAATGGCATGTTGGGCAATTCTAGGTAACTTGATGCAGGCTATATTGATATGTGGCTCAAGAGACTAAACCGTGAAGAAAGATAAACTTGGTGGCCATTGGCCACCATGATCTAGAAGGCAGCAAAGTGGCAGGCACCCCTAAACTCTCTAGTTCTGGATAGCCTTTGGGGACTGTGCACACTGGACTCATTTATATTCTCAGACAGACTGGCTTGCCATACGACTTTTAGGTCCCTTCCAAGGTACACGAGATGGCTATATGATCATGTCATGAGGTTCCAACATAGGTGATTTAATTGTCTAATAGTTACCTTTTAGAATCATAATAATGATTATTATTTTTCTAGGAGTTATTTAAAGCATTTATCATATGCCACATATTTACTTACATGGTTTCATTTCCTCTCCTCAACAATCCTGGAAAGTGGGTATTATCTCCTTTAATAAATGAAAACACAGAAGTACAGAGAGACCGGCCTGGCCAACAAGGTGAAATCCCATCTTTATTAAAAATACAAAAAGTTAGCTGTGCATGGTGGCACGTGCCTGTAGTCCCAGCTACTCCAGAGGCTGAGGCAGGAGAATCGCTTGAACTCAGGAGGCGGAGGTTGCAGTGAGCCAAGATCGCGCCATTGCACTCCAGCCTGGGCAACACAGTGAGACTCTGTCTCAGAAAAAAAAAGAAAGAAAGAAAGAAAAAGGTGGAGTTTCTGGTGATATATAGGGGTTTGGGTGGGCAGGGAGGAAAAGGGATACAATAGGTATCTTCAAAGTTTGAAATACTGTCCAGAAGAAGAATGAAATTCCCCAGTATAGCGGCTAACAGGTAGCTCTAAAATCAGTATAAGGATGTTGCTAACTGCTCAAAAGAAAGAAGGGCCCTCCAGTATTTGGAACTGTTCACAGATGGAATCGTCTGCTTTGTGAGGTAGGAGTTTCCCATCACTGGAGATGTCCATGCAGAGACAAGAGAGTCAAGCATCAGGACCCTCCAACCTTCACAGTCCCTTCCAACCCCAAATTCCACAATCCACCAGTTAATCTACCATCAGAACTGTCTTCTTAGATTCGGTTTTCCCCCCTCTTAATGTCTCATTTGCAAGTAATCTGCTATACTTGGTGGCATTTACTCTTTCCCTTCCCTTGAGCCATAATTATATTTTAAAATAGTTCAATATCAAGCTAATCATTGGTAGCTTTATGAGGTTTTCTTAAACTAATTTTTTTTAAATCTGATTTTTTAAATCAAACATTTTTCCTGGATTTCTAATATGAGACATCTAAAAACAACTCTATGATCCTTGGGAAGGCAATTTATTTTCTGGAACAGGTTATTCAAAATTTTTCTATCTAATGACCAAATAGTGCTTTAAGTGTCTCTTCTAAAATTAAACAGTAGCAAGATGGATTATTTCAGTTTCTCCTGCCTCTGAATGTTGAATTTACTTGTGCTGGTAACACCAAAAGTAATATGCATTCAATTCAATATGCACTGTTCATTCATTCAACAAATAATTGTGGAGTATCCAATATTGTTCTAGGCTCTGGGGAAACCACAGTGAACAAACACAAACAAAATTCTCTGCTCCTGTGGACCTGCTTTTTAATGGAGGGGACAGAGAGTAAATAAGATAAAGAAGTAAATATACACAAGATAAAATATACATGAACTGGTGACAAACACTAAAGGGAAGACTAAAGCAGGAAGAAGTGAGTGGGAGAGGTGGGGGAAGAGAAAGAGGATGTTGTAATTTATTTTATTTTACTTTATTTATTTATTTTTTTGAGACATTGTCTCGCTGTGTTGCCCAGGCTGGAGTACAGTGGCATGATCTCGGCTCACTGCAACCTCCGCCTCCTGGGTTCAAGCGATTCTCCAGCCTCAGCCTCCCAAGTAGCTGGGATTACAGGCACATGCCACCATGCCCGGCTAATTTTTGTATTTTTTAGTAGAGACGGGGTTTCACCATGTCGGCCAGGCTGATCTCGAACTCCCTGACCTCAGGTGATCCGCCCACCTCAACCTCCCAGAGTGCTGGGATTACAGGCGTGAGCCACTGTGCCCGGCTGACGTTGCAATTTAAATGGAGTGGTCAAGCCCCTTTAAATTCTATTTAAATAAAGGGAGTCCCACTGAGAAAGTGACCATGAGTTTTTTTTGCTGTGGTTTTTGGTTTTGCTTCTGTTTTTGAGACAAGGTCTGGCTCTATCGCCCAGGCTGGAGTGCAGTGGCGCCATCTCACCTCACTACAACCTCCGTCTCCTGGACCCAAGCCATCCTCCCACCTCAGCCTCCGAGTAACTGAGACTACAGGCGCGTGCCACCATGCCTGGCTAATTTTTTGTGTATTTTCCGTAGAGACAGGGTTTCACCGTGTTGCCCAGGCTGGTCTTGAATTTGTGAGCTCAAGTGATCCACCTGCCTTGGCCTCCTAAAGTGCTAGGATTACAGGTGCGAGCCAACCCACCTGACAGAAATTGAGCTTTAAGCCACAAAGGAAATCAGTGAGTGATCAGGGTAAGTATCTGTCAGAACATAAAGGGAATAGCAGATACAAACGCAAGATTCCAGTCATGTTCTGAATACCTGCTGAATGCTTAGCATCATGTGTGGCAAAACGCACTAAAACACAGGTTTCTGAACACCAAGGTCTTGAAGAGGGAAGAACACAAATGCACCCAAAACAATAGCTAGTTAACTGCCAAGTGCTAAATTTGGAAGATCAGATCTCTGAAAAACTTCTCCCCATCAGTTATACTGGACCAGCAGGGTCCCCTGAAACATATCTTGGACGTTTCCACTTCTAGGCCTCTGTCTCATTTCCCAGAGGGGAATGCTATTCTCATACTTTCTTAAGTTTTAGATCTTACACAATGTCCAAAGCCCACCCAGACTTGTTCTCCTTCACAAAACTCTTCCTGACCACCGAGCACCCAGTGTTTCCTTTTTCTGGATCTGTACAGTAGCACGACACATTCTCAGCTGACTGTACCAGACCCTAATTTTAACAAGATCCACAGGTGATTGAAAATGCACACAAAAATCTGAGCATCGCTGTAGGCCACTTGTCTTCAAATGTGCCTACACACTCTAAAACCCTGGGAATCTTTTTATTATTATTATTACTTTTATTTTTGAGACAGAGTTTTGCTCTTGTTGCCCAGGCTGGAGTGCAATGACATGATCTCAGCTCACTGCAACCTCCGCCTCCTGGGTTCAAGTGATTCTCCTGCCTCAGCCTCCTGAGTAGCTGGGATTACAGGCGCCCACCACCACGCCCGGCTAATGTTTTGCATTTTTAGTAGAGACCGGGTTTCACCATGTTGGCCAGGGTGGTGTTGAACTCCTGACCCTAGGTGATCCACCCGCCTCAGCCTCCCAAAATGCTGGGATTACAGGCGTGAGCCACCGTGCCCAGCCCTGGGAAGCTTTTAAAAATACCAATGCCTAGTTCCACCTTCAGAGATTCTGATTTAATCAGTATGGGTGACAGCTAGGCATCAAAAAAAATTTTTAAAAACTTCCCAGGTGATTCTAATATTAAGCGAAGTTTGAAAATTACTGGTAGCTCCTCTCTCCTTTCCCTGAGTTTCTTCTCGCCACTGTTTTGCCCTAGCTGTCAAACAGCCTGCCTTCAGGCTAAGTCATTTCCGTCCCCCCCTTCCCCCCCAACCCCCGCCATCCCCACCAGGTGGATTCTTGGGTATACAGAACTAGGAGAAGCTAGCTTCCCCTCCACCCTTTCTCCCCTGGTTCAAAGGCTCTGGGACTGGCCCATAGAGGCCTTCCCAGAATACAGGACTGCAACAGTGTGAGTGGGAAGAGGCAGACCCAGGGCAGACTCCCGACCCAGCAGTGTGGCCTTAGGTAAGCCTCCTTGGGCAAGCCACTAAAATATGTTGCCTGTAAAGGGGGAACAACATCTCTGAAATCAGCCTGTAGAGTCACAGCGTCTTGGGAAGATCAACAGAGATGATATGTGAATGTGTTTCTAAAATATTAATGTGCATGACAGCTGCGATGGTTTCCTATCCTAGGACAACCATTTCAAATTTAAAAATCTTCCTTTCCCCTACTTCCCACACAACTAAGTAAGAATTTTAAGCAAAATTTTATCTTAGCATCCAAAAAAGATGAATATGCATGTGTAGTATCTGTGTTGATATAGGTAGGTATGATTCAACAGTTACAGCTTGCTGCATCACTAGTTACTAGAAGGCAGTGATTCTGTGACTTGAAGATATTTTAATTAGCACCAAACACACTGAGAGTGTTCAATAAACATTAACCAATGAGGCCTAATTTAAGACGGCATCATATAAGTCCACACTATGCCACTATTGACATGAGGAGTACTGCTTATTGCTTACCCAAATGACACATTTTCACCTTTTAAGTAAAGTATAGCACCTTCATTTAGCCATTCCGCTGATCTGCAAACTGAGAGACCAAGAGACCTTGGTTTATTCAAAATTGGTTCTCTGTTTTACTAAAAGGAGTCGTCCATTAAAAGTTATGCTCAATACTAAATACCAGTTAGAATAGATACAACTGTGCTGCCTTCACCTACACTAAGGGCTAGGGGTTGAGAGTAGAGAAAGACTCCTCTCCCCACTCTTTGTTTTTCCACGTCTATCCTTAAACATTCTTTGAGGATCTGATTCTCGAAAGGGTTTTTGTTGTTTATGTTTGTTTGTTTGTTTCTTTTAATAGCTACAAATCTCCTTGGGAGGGACAAGGAACCTTGATGTGAACCACATGTGGAATACAGCAATGGTACCCAAGCTTTTTGGATTTCACAGATCAAGTTTAAAAGATTTTGGGGGATCTACCTAGGACTGCTAATTTTTTATTTTTCTGAGAGAGGACATCAACCAACAATAACTATCGTATTTCATAACAGAATGGACAATTCAAAATAACTAAAACTATGAAGCATATAGTCTTAGAATAAAGAATTGTCCTGTTCAAGAAAGGACAAGTGTAACCTTAAAATTGTTATAATACATCCGGATAAATTTATTACATAGATGGCCCTACATTTCCTATGGGTCTGCGGTTGTGAGCCACTGTTCTAGACGGCTAGGAGGGTTTGAAGTGAGTTGAGAACCTTTACTGTCCTGAAGATGGGGTAGGGGCTAGACAAGGGTATATTCTAAAAAGAGGAAAGCGCTACTGTAATAATCTTGCCTAGGATTACATACAGATGGGCATAACAGAGTCCCAGGACTTCACCCCTTCGGTGTAGAGCAGGGATGGCAGGGATGGCAAGAGCCCCACTTAGGATACCTGGAAAAAGAAATCTCCGCAGCAAAGGGTCCTTGTGCTGACTTTTCTTTTTCATTTACGAGTGTACCCTCTGTCTCCTTGGGGGCCCACCTTCTTATTCCCAGCAGGAAAGGGGAAGGGGGAGGACAGGAAATGTGGAAACCGCGTTAACAGCCTGATTGTGAACCAGCACTGCGACTGAGATGCGAGGAGGGAAGGACAAAAGTCCCTCCCTCGCTTTTCAAAAAGTAAGCCACAAAAGTTATAGAAACATTTTCTATTAAACATCATCTCCATTTTGCAGAGAACCTAAGGCTCCGAGGACTTGCCCAGGGCCATACAGCCGGTGAGCCCCAGGGCTCAGCCACAGCCCAGGTAACGAGGACAGGGCTTGCTCCAGCCACCATTGGCTGCCTCTTCGGCCTCCCTCTCTCAGGTGAGACAGTATGTCAGGTGAGGCAACTGAAACAATGTCCCTCAGTTCGGATGCATCCTCCCTCTTCGTTTCCTGTCATGAGACAGGTTTCTCCTCTTCCTGGATGTGGTTAAAAAAAAAAGAAGAAGAAAAGAAACAAAAGAAAAAAGGAAAGAAACGCAAAGCAAAGCCAAGCCCAACGTCTTGGCTCTCAGGGTTGCACCTCCTTTCTCTACCCGCGGGGTCTGGGCCGGCGGGGTGTGGCCGCAGCCCTGGGGCGCGAGAAGCCCATCCGGGCCCGAGGTGCTGGGCGGCCTGGAGCGCTGGCTGCCCCCAGGGCCGGCGGCTGTCCCTGGGGTTTCCCCGCTTCTGGGCTTTCCCCGCTTCTGGGCTCGGTGGCCGCGCGGGCGGGCGCCAAGTGACTCAGCCGTCCCCGAGGGCGTTCCGGGAAGCGGCCGGGGGCGCGGGCTTTCCTGTCGCCGCAGCGTGTGAGTCCCCAGCGCCGAAAGGGGATCAGAAACCGCTGGGCGGAGCAGCGGGAGGAAGCTGCGGCGCGCAGAGCAGAGTCAGCGCCACCGTCTTTCGAGCTGGAGCGGAGGGAACGTGGCCTTGACGTTGCTGAAGCTGAAGCGCCGGGCGGGCGCCCGGACCCCGGGGCGGGGCAGAAACGAGTCCGTTCCCTACTGCGGGGCGGGGGCAGGGCTGGAACGGGAGTTCAGGAGGGACAAGGACGTGGAAGGAGCCCAGCAGAGGGCACCCGGGACCCCCGCGGCCGGGCCGAGTTTGAAGGGAGCCCCTCTCCCCCTCCCCCTGGCGGAGCCCCCTGTAGGGTCTGACCTGGTGCCCCGCAACAGGAGCGGGAGGAGGAGCAGGCCCAGAGCGGCCGGGCCCCAGCCTAGAGGGGCGCTCGAGGGGAAGCGAGTGAAGTGAGGGCTCCGCCAGAGCAGCACCCCCTTCCCCGCCGTCCCTCCCGGACTGGCCGGTTCTCGTCAGAGATTCCTTTGTCTTCGACGCTGGTCCCTCCACACCAAGGTGGGAGGCTGAGGTGGGAGGTGGCAGAGCGGTGGGAGTGGGAGCAAGGCCGGAGCGTGGGTGGAGGCGCTGGCCGCGGGCTTGCAAGGATGGCACAAGGGAGACATCCAGGACAAACCATGGGGAACACAGCTGCCACTGAGAGAAGCTGCCCGGAGGAGGAAGGGGCTGCAAAGTTCAACCACCAGGCAAGGCAAGTCCACGAACAAAATCCCGGCTCTAAAAACAGAGCAGCAATTGTCACTGTGGGTTAGACGCTTTGAGTTACCTCTATTTTCATTTATGTCTAAGATAAATTCAAGAGACAAGGAGAAAGTCAGGAGGTTAAAATTCCAGCCTCTGGTCCCAGCTCCCTAAAGCCAGCTCCCTTCTTGTCTTTGCCAAAGTTTGCTTCTATGAATCAGTAATTAACCCCCACTTTTTTTCTTATGTCAGAGTTCCTTCAGTCACAACCAAGAGAGTTCTGACTAATAACACACCTTTTAATCCAGCAATTTTACTTCTGGGAGTTTATTCCAAAGAAATATTACATAACAAAAGAGCCATATGCCTCACAATATTCACTGTGGGCTTGTTCATAAAATTAAAACAATCATAACTATAAATGTCCAGTAATGGAGGCAGGGAATAAACTGGCATATTTATATGATAAACTACTATGGGCCGGGCGTGGTGGCTCACGCCTGTAATCCCAGCACTTTGGGAGGCTGAGGCGGGCAGATCACCCGAGGTCAGAAGTTCAAGACCAGCCTGGCCAACATGGCGAAACCCCGTCTCCACTAAAAATACAAAAACAAGTTAGCTGGGCGTGGTGGTGTGGGCCTATAGTTCCAGCTACTTGGGAGGCTGAAGCAGGAAAATCACTTGAGCCCGAGAGGTAGAGGCTTCAATGAGCTGAGATCGTGACACTGCACTCTGGCCTGGGCAACAGAGCGAGTCTCCGTCTCAAAACAAAACAAAACCTACGGAGCCTTAAAATGTTATATGTAGGGTTTTATAACTTGAATAAAGACTTCGGTTATAAGAAAGCAAGACACAAAATCATATATATATATAATATATATATACACACACACAGTGTAATCACAATATGAAAATGTACATAGAAAAAAAACACTTGAAGGAAATCCACCAAAATGTTACATCTTTGGGTGATAGAATTACATACAAGTATTTTTTTCTTTCTAAAACATTTATGTATTTCCCAATTTATCTACAATGAGGATAAGCATGTATTATTAAAAAGTATGAAAACATTGATTTTAAAATTTTACATATATAGTATATAATTATATATACATAATACATATATATATACTATATATATATATATAGTATATATATATATGTGAAATTGCTGCTGAATAGGAAATCACCGGGCCTGGGTGAAAGATGATAAAATTTACTTGAGCAATTTTTCCACTAATTGAATGATTTTTCTGCAATTTAAAAAGGGTATATGGAAGTTAAAGAGGATGGGTCAATGTTTATACATCTGTATTAGTTCGTTTTCACACTGCTGATAAAGACATACTGGAGACTGGGCAATTTACAAAAGAAAGAGGTTTAATGAACTTGCAGTTCCACATGGCTGGGGAGGCCACAAGTCATGGTGGAAGATTAAAGGCACTCAAGAGAAGAGAGAGCTTTTGCAAGGAGACTCCCGTTTTTCAAAACCATCAGATCTCGTGAGACTTACTCACTATCACAAGAACAGCCCGAGAAAGGCCTGGCCCCATGATTCAATTACCTCCCACCAGGTCCCTCCCACAACACGTGGGAATTCAAGATGAGATTTGGGTGGGGATACAGCCAAACCATATCAATGTCCAAGATATTAGTGAAAGGGAAGGGCATGCCACAGTAGGCCAGAGGAGAGAAAACATCTGAGTTTTAGAATACACAAAAAGAAAATGATGAGATCGCAGCTGATTCTTGATTGGTGAGGACTTGCTGGTTTGTGGGCAGAAGTAATGGAACTTTTAATGGCAAAGGGAAGAATACACTCAAACATTATTTAAGATAGGAGGTAAGGGAGTAATGGGTAAGGTTACTGCATCATGAAAAGTTTTGTTTACAATGGGTTTACTGTATTTATCAGGATAATATTTTTTAATCCTGAAGAATAGGTGTGCAAAATGAATTTAACATCTTCACATTTGGCCCAAGGTTGTTGATACCAGTATTATTATCTTACCTTAGCAATAGGATGAGTATGCTTATTTTGGGTTGGAAAATGCCTAATGATCATGTAGCCCCTTATTTGGGGCCTATTCCTCTTCTATAGGGAGGGAAGGAAGAATATCAAGAAAGCCTCATGTCTAAGTGCCCTGTATCCCTGGAGATCTTTATGTAGCAGCAGAGAATAGACACTGATAAAACCAAGTTTCGCTAGTTTGAGAACTGTTCAGTCTTGTGGGAGGATCTGGTAGAAGGGAGAATGCAGCAATATCCTTCAAGTAATACTACATACCATACCTTGAACAAGGAATGTAGCATAAACTGGTGAGGACCTGTGTTATGATAAAAGGCAAAGCTTTTGCTCTGGGATTGAAATCTAGGACTCTCTGTGGGGTAGATGTAGAATTTACCAAGCCATACACAGAGAGGTGTGGGTCTGGGCTTAAGGAAATCTTGGGTCATTCCAGTTCCCCTCCCTTGATTCTTCCCCTGCCAGGGGAGATCCCTTGCTGATCTCACCTTGTGTGGGCTTTTTATCATTGTCCCTCCCTCACCTATTGAAAGCTGTACACGTTTTACTGGGAATGAAATGGGAGGTGTCACTAGGTTGAGGGTCAGACACTGGACATTCGTGGATTCACAGCCTTCCTCTAACAACTTGACCATCTCACCAACCTCACCACCCTGTTTTCCAATCACTGGAATAGATTATAGGGAAAGAGGGGGAACCGCTCATGGTTCTTTTTAGACTTTTAAAATTAAAGTCTGTTAGAGCCAGGGGATATGATGCTTCAGTACTAGGAAAATGTTTGGTTATCTACAGATTCTTGTTGATTAAATGAAATAAGCGCAAATGTTTGGGTTGGATATGACTGTGTTGGCATCTAGATGGAAGGTGGGAACTGCCTTGCTTGATATCCTGCAATTTATGGAATGCAGTGAAATGTTATCTTCTTAAGATGTCTTATGCTATAATGTACCGTGGTTTCTTAATATTTTCCACAAAAATAAAAGACGGTGGCAGAGAAATTATCTTTTTAAAAGTTATTACAGCAGAACAGAAAGCAATGATCTTTGCTTTGTCTAAAATCAAAACACCAACATAAATATTTGTATGACACTTGGGCTCACAAAATAGAAAAATTTTCTGACCCATCCCTAAAAAGAAAGAAACAAAAAAAACTCTAGAGTTTTTTTTTTTTTTAATATATGATGAAATCCAGAAGGTGCTTTTATCTCATAGCACCCATACCAGAAGATTAATCTCTGTGGTTGGTGTCTTGTTCTGGTTGAAAATGCGTTTGAGCCGAGCTTTGGAATCCTCACTAGTTAGAACATCTGTTCCACAGTTGTTAATGTTTGTTTGGTATTACCCAAAAGAAGGCAGCAGAAGGGAAGAATTTTTAACAATGAGTCCCAAGATAGACTAGACCAGCAGCGTTGCTTATTTTGAAAAGGCATTTTTTTTGTTTTTTTGGAGCAATCTGACCTGTATGTAAAAAAAAATGGGCAGGTTGTTGGACCAAGAGATAGAGGTCCATCTAATACTGGAATGTAGCTTAGCTTGTTTTCACCTTCTCAATTTTTTCCCAGGAATATTTGTTTATTGAATTATTACTGCATTCTGTACTACCAGAGCTTAGATTTTGAATTTTTAGAGATTTAAATGTTTAACTCAAAATAATTATAAGCGAGAGACTAATTCTACAGTATTAAATTAGAATTATTCAAGAGTAAAAAAGTTCTAGCTGTCATAGAGAGAAAGTCTAGGTAAAGTAAGTAAGTATATTAGTTGTGAATTTCTACCCTAGCCAAGAAAAGAGAGAACTGTTCCTTCTTATAGGCTCTGTGAAACAGAATTAAATTAATCAGGAAGTAAAGTATCTCCTTAATTTGCTAACTAAGGTAAGGTTTAAGAAAAATCAAGCTGACCTGCATCTACTGGGTAGAAAAATTATATTTAAGGCAATACTCAAATTATTAGATGATGTTTTTAAAAAGATCAGAGCACAACCTCTCTGTCAATAATGCCGTCTTTGAAATATTCTTATTATACCTTCAAGAGTTCAAATGGAGATAACTTAAATCGATTCTGAAAGTCACCCAGTTAAAAACCATTAGACCTAGCATTTGAAAACTTCGTAGAAACTGCTGGGTATTATTGAGACAGGGTCTCGATCTTTCACCCAGGCTGGGGTACAGTGGTGCAATCATAGCTCACTGCAGCCTCGACTTCCTGGGTTCAAGCAGTCCTCCCACTTCAGCCTCTTGAGTAGCTGGGGACACAGGCATGAGCCACCATGCCCAGCTAATGAAAATTTTTTTTTTTTTTTGTACAGACCAAGTCTCAGTATGTTGCCCTGGGTGGTGCTCCAAAATTAAATAGAAAGAGGGAAAGATCCTAATCCTTCAGACCATCTATTTAAAAACCGTGAACAAACTGACAGGACTCTTCAGCTGAAAGAACAGCAATTCCCTTTTTAACTAAAGTCCCTTTCCTATTCACTACTTCAACTGGTCCTCACAATATCTCTTTTAGGCCTATCAAAGCAAATATTTTTATCTCCATATTCCTCAGTTTCCAGATAAGCAAACTGAGGCTTAGAGAATAATCTTACCCCATGTCACAGTAGTACTTCCACTTAGTCAACTACTTCAGAAATTCTAAATTACCTTGTACTTTTCTGTACCAGCTTCTAATTCCATTCTTCCTATCCTCCTTCCTTTCTTTTTCCCTCTCATTTCTTCTTTCTTCCCTTTCCTCCTACAGTAATTGGGATGCATCTGTAGTGGTAGGAATTATTCTGTGTTGTTAGTGTTCACATAAAAAATATTTATACCCATAGTGGCAGGAGGGCTGAGAACTATTCATAGAAATGCTGGTATTAAGTGGCATTAATATCAGCCCTTCAATTCTGCCTTATTTCTTTACTGCTTCTACTGAAAATAGAAATGTGGCCAGGCGCAGTGACTCACGCCTGTAATCCCAGCACTTTAGGGGGCCAAGGTGGGCAATCATGAGGTCAGGAGATCGAGACCATCCTGGCTAACACGGTGAAACCCCGTCTCTACTAAAAATACAAAAAATTAGCCGGACATGGTGGTGGGCGCCTGTAGTGCCAGCTACTCGGGAGGCTGAGCCAGGAGAATAGCGTGAACCCAGGAGGCGGAGCTTGCAGTGAGCTGAGATCGCGCCACTGCACTCCAGCCTGGGCGACAGAGCGAGACTCCGTCTCAAAAAAAAAAAAAGAAAAAAGAAAATAGAAATGTGACATACCATACAAAACATAAAACATCACATTACATATTAGTGCTGAGCATTTTTTATCAAACAAAAATACACATGGCTTTGCGTATGTGTTCTGCAGGCTATTTACAAAATGTCTTACGCAAAACAAAACACCTGGACTGCCCAGAGGAAAGCTTCTGGAGTAAACCTGATTGCAGAAAGCAGGTATTAGTGAGGTCAGGGAGAGCAAAGACAGGAGGGACATAGGGGATAAATGGTTGGCTGGGTGGGTGACCTGCGGCACAAAAGAAGTTTTGCTGATTTGCAGATTCAAGCAGCAGTGGTTTTCAACTTATTTTTTTAAGCATGAAGTGCTTTGTTCAGATAAATTTCACTCCAAAGCATAAAACAAATAGCACTAAAGAAGCAGAGTTCTTTGGCTGAAGCAGGGTGGGGAACCCTAGAGCCTTCCCTCTGAGGCCCCACTAGTGGCCCCTGTGATGGGAAAAGCATAGCACAGACTTGAGGTTTTTGTACTTAACCATCCTTTAAAATAAGCAGGCAAACACAATTTCTTAAGATTAAAGTATGGGCCCCACAGCAACTATTTCACCAACAGCCCCCAACTCAAGCTCACTCCAGCTCAGGGTTTCAGAGAGAAGAGGCAGCTGGCCAGGGATTTCTCTGTTTGCTGGAAACCTGATTACCTATCTTTAAAGCTGAGTGTACCCTACACAGGACAGGGGTGTGAAAATAGGTTTGGCTTCCTAGGGAAATGGTGGGGGTTGTAGGATTGTTGTGGGCTGTATCAAGTTTATCCAGTCCTAAAACAACAGTTCTGTTTAGAGAAAGTTATTCTCAACCTGTATCCCTCAGTACTGCACTGGGAGATTGATCATACTTTATATTCCTTTAACAACCCACTATTTTCAAAGCACACTGTTTTTGCATCCATTGTCTTGTTAGATCCCCACTCCATGAGACAAGTTAGACAGGTATTATGATCCCATTTTACAGATGAGGAAGCTGAGGCTCAGAAAGATGAAGAGAATGCTGCAAGGTCACATGACTAATACACAGTTCTGATTCCCATCCAGAGTTTTAAACACGCCTGCTGTGTACATAGAGCTTGCATCCTAGGGAGGTAGTAGTAAAGGCCACAGATTTGGTGTTACCAGCTTTGTGTCCTTAGGGAACATCAGTGTCCTCATTATACAGCATGTGTGATAATTACCTGCCTCACGACTTCATAGGATTTTGAAGAACAATGAGACGATTTGTAAGAGTACTCTGTAATGTGCTGTCTAAGGATTACTTTCTCCCTTCCCCACCCCAACATTTTGGCAAGTTCTCTGTCCTTCTATTAACTTGGACCTCACTTTTACAAACCAAATAAAATTTGTTTCACATTCTCTGTATTGTGCAAGCCTCTTACTATTGTCAGCTGCTGGTCAGCATCCACAGCAGCAGCTAGCTCCCCTTTTGCACCAAACCAAAGCTCTTTATCTCTCCACATCAGAGATGTGAGTATGCACCACCAAAGGTTTGTAAGGCTGCCTTACCCCTAGTCCCAAGCAGTGTCCACAGGGACTGTGGGTCAGCCTGATGTCTTAGCGAGGCCTTAAGAGGTGGCAGCGGGGAAGCTGGGCCTTTGCAGAGTCATCACAGGCCAGGGTCTTGTCTTTTCCTTTGCAGAATCATAACCTGAATTTGGCAAGTTCACTAGAAGGTGATCATCGTGCTCTGCTGCTAAGTTCAGAGCGGATGACTTTGTAATGTCAAATGGCAATTGAATTATTTTGTATAGAAGTTCAGAATTGGGTTTGGGCTTCTTATAGATGGGGGCCTCACTGAGAAGAGCAAGTTGCAGATAATAAAATTTGTTTGATAATGAAATCAAAGTAAAAGAAAGTTGGAATAATTTAGGGAATATGCATGTTTTATAAAATGAAAATATTCTTGTTGGTTTTTCAAACTATAAACATTATTATACATGTTCATTGTTACAAAAAGCAATTCAGACAACACGGTAACAGCAGTATACACAGAAGAGAAAAGCATCCATCCAGAGAAAGCTCTTGCTTATGTTTTTGAGTATTTTCCTCCAGCTATGCACCTGGACAATGTACTAGAAGGCCCTGAAGGACTTCTGCTGGTAGCAGATGGCTGAAGCTGTCAGGGCTTGGGGGAGGCACAAGGGTGTGGAGGAGGGTTATGTCAGGAAAACAGCTCTGCCAATTTCCTTCCACTATGGCAGTGGGGGATGTCTATAAGGACTCATTGCATTCACTGCCTATCAGTAAATACAGGCTCTGGGGCCATTAGTTCTTCCTGAACACAAGTGCCTAAACTGCTGTACAATCATAGTATTCAAATTCTACTTTAAAAGTCCTTTTGCTTATATTATCTCACCTAATTCTCACCCCTCTTTTAGATGAAGAAATTGAGAAACAGAAAGTATGATGATTTGCTTAAGACCAGATGACAATTATCTGCAGAATGAAGACAATCCTGACCTCCATCAGTGGATCCCTTCGCCACCTCCACAGTCTCCCCATTGCATGGACACAGACACATGACAGATGCACACATATGTGCAAAACACTTATACAGAACACACTCCTCCACCTCCACCTCACTACCACGCAATCCCAAGACAGCATTGCCCTTCTCTGGACCCAGCCACTCGGTCAACACATATTTACGAACATTATGCTAGGCACTGGCAATAAAATAATGAACACCAGAAGACACAGTTCCTGAGTCTCACAGAGATGACCCAGGATCATTCAGAGTCTAGGATGAGGCAGGGATTAGGTGGGGATGAGGATGATAAGAGCAGCGTTGGGGAAGTACAGGATAAGATGAGAACACACACCAAGGGCACCTAACTTTTTCTCTGGAGGACCAGGAAAGGCACCCTGGAGGATGAGACATCCGAGCTGAGGTGCAAAAGATGGGTTGGAGTTGGCAAGGCCCAAAGTGAGGCTAAAAAGAGAGTTGAGGGGAGTGTTCCACACAGAGGAAGGAACGTGTACGAAAACTTGGAGGCAAGAGCGGCATGGCACTTTTGAGGAACTGCGAGAAGTAGAGTGTGGCCAGGGATAATGCTCTGGTCGGGAGATGTGTCCATTGAGGCTGCAGAGGAAGCAGGTATCTGCATGTGAAGGCGGCAAACCTTGTTGGTGTTGATGGAGTTGGTGTTTGTCTTGCAGGCACTGGAAAGCCATTGACGGATTTAGTGAGTGCCACTGGTGACAAGCTCTTATTAAGACATTCTCCTTTTGCCCACTATAAGAATCTATGGATATAAATGTTTTCTGATCCTACCTTAAGATATACTCTGGCTACAGCATCTGCAAAAATATAGATACTCAACTTCAGGATATGTTTTCAGTTTAGGCTGCCACCTCCATTTCACCTGCTTTTGCCACTCTTCTTGGGTCTTTGTGATCTGTGCCAGGTTGGCCTGGATAACCACTGTGACCAAGATGCATGGATATACCAGTTTGTGGGCCAGACAGCTTCTAAGTCTTCCCTGCTCTCAGCCTCAGCTTTACTCCAGGGCCTAAACTCCAGCTGTCCAGCTGACAGAGTATCAATTGACCAGACAAAATCCCTCACGAATACTGGAAAACAAGTTTAAACTATAATTAGAAGTATGTGGGCTAGCAAATTCTACCCTCGTTCGTTCAGCAAAGGGAAGCCATTATTGATATTTAACAAGTTATAGATAATAGAAATTATCAATGAAAATGATACGTGGCTCATATATTCAATAGATAAGTGATCAATATTTAGATAATAAGTGAAATCTTACAGGAACTTGTAAAAAGAGAAAGCTTCATACACAAAGAAATGGTGAAATAAATTATGGTTTAAAAAATAAAACATATGTATATTTGCTTGTATATACACAAAATATCTTTGGAAGGATTTCCAAGAAAATAACACTAGTTGATTCTGGGAAGAGGAACAGAGAAGCTGGGGACAGGGATGGGAAGGAAATTTTTTTACTATACTCTTTAGAGTCTTTTACATTTTAAACAACAATAATGTGATATCTGATTTGAAAAATAATTAACACTTTAAAAACCATCCATTCAGTAGAATCTCATCCAGTGATTAAAAAGAAAGAAATCAAATTATAGTTACAAAATGGGTAGTTGGCCAAGGTCTACTCTCACTTGAAAATAGCATATTTCAGAACATGTGTATGATATAACTTTATTTTTGAGGGAAAAGAACAAAGAATATCAATCTCCATGCGAATTTTTAGTAAACACACAGAGAAAGGTCTCTGTGCTATCCAGTGTAACTGCCACTAGCCACATTTAAATTAATTAAAATTAAAATTTTAGTTCCTGGGTAGCACCAGCCACATTCAAGTGCTCAACAGACACATGTGGCTAGTGGCTGCCACACTGGGCAGCACAGATAGAGCAAGTTTCCATCTTTGCGGAAAGCTCCATTATACCGAATTAGATGAATCTGTCTAGACTGATAACTGACAAATGGGGCTACAAGGATGTGGGAAGGGACTTTATACTTTATAAATCACATTGTTGTTGTTGTTGTTTTTAACAATTGCTTTTGTTATTTTATTTTATTATTTTTGTAATTTTACAAGAGAAGAAGACGGCTTGTACTTGTGTCAGGTGTTTATTCCTTATTAAATCACATCCTGCATTGTTTCTCAAACTGGGGAAATGACAAAGATGAAGAGAAGGCTGGAAGAAAAAGAGATGGGATGGAGTAGAAGCGTGACCAGGAGGCGGGTGAGAAGGAACATTACAAAGTTTTTCACCTCAAATAAAACTTGGATTTGAAACGTTAAACATCCTTCTAGTTATCATCCACAGGACTGAGTGAAATGAAATTTCCCAAAATTATAAATAAATGGAACAAAGTTTGAAACTCTGGTTTAGAATTGCCCCAGGTACATTTTCTCTCCACCTGAAAAAAGTTTATTCCCTGATGGGGGTCCAATTTTTTCTCAACAGCTACAACAAAACCAACAAAAAGGACAAGGTGGTTTTAAACGTGGCTCTTGTGAGCTTTCCACTTCCTTTATCAGTCTGGAATTTAAATGGACACATTTGTCTTCACCACTCTCTTTTCCCTGGAAGATTTAAAATGGTCACTCAAGTAGCCATTGGTTCCTGTAAACAGAGAGTTCAGGCAGATAGATACTGTCACCTTTGTTCTCTTTTGAGAATGTTGATCCTGCTGTACTGTTTTTACCACTCTACCTTGATTTTTGTTGTTACCTCTGTCTGGAATATCTTCCCTTCAGACAGAGACTACTCAGATTCCACTCATCTTTTAAGATCCCACTCCTCTGAGTCAGAACTGATGTCATCTACTTCCTATTGTGGTTTGTGTGAGAATCAGTTGAAGATACGTCCATCATATGGGATTGTGACCCTGTCTCCCACATTCCCTCCCCAGGACAGATAATACCTGTTCCTCCCAGTGTCCCAGCTGATCCAATGCCTGATAAGTGCTTAGCAGATGGTGGCATTTGATGTCCATCTCTTCCTCCACTCCCATAATCGCCACTCTATTCTCTTAAGTGAATGCTATCTGTTAGCCAACCGTGTCCTGTGGGAAAACAAACTGTGGTTTGTTGAGTAACGTCCCCCCAAAGAGGTCCACATCCTTATTCCTAGAATCTGTGAATATTACCTTATATGGCAGAAGGGATTTTGCAGATGTTATCAAATTAAAGATCTTGAGATGGGGAGATTATTTTGGATTGTCTGAGTGGTCCTAATGTAATCACTTCATAAGAGAGACGCAGATCAGACAGAGGAAGACAATGTGAGGATGGAGGCTGAGGAGCAAAGGTGACATGAGTCAAGGAATGAGGAAGGCCTCTAGAAGCTGGAAATGGCAAGATTCTCCCTTAGAGCCTGCAGAAACAAACCAGCCCTGCAGACACCTAATACACAGAGGAACAGAGGATGGGTGCCAGTCTTCAAGGAGCTCGTTTTCTTCTTACTCAAGGGAGGAAATTATGACAGCGGTTGGAAGTGAGAGGTAACAGAGGTCTACTCTAGGGCAGAAACACTGGGAACGGAGACGATTGGCCAACTGGGGAATCTACTGGCATTAAAACGGACAGGCGTGATGGGGAGCTGGAGGCAGACAGAGGGGAACATAGGCTGTCACTTCTGTGCTCTTCATTGACCACTTTCTGCCTTGCTGGAGGTTAGCACCACACCAGCCTACCTGTTTCATCTGCATGTCTATCCTTCAAAGCTGTCTTTTCCCCTTTAAAAGCCTGTTTCTTCAGTTAATTCCAATTTAGGGTTGGGAAAAAGGAAGTTGATTAGGTGAATTACCAGTGAGATTTAAAAAAAAGCAGTTGGTAGTGCCTTTAATCTTCCCAGGCGTGTGAGCATTTACAACAGGCATTACCTAACTCAAAGTGCTCTCGCTAAATGGTGGTTGTCTAAGCCAGCAGTCCCCAACCTTCTTGGCACCAGGGACCAGTTTCGTGGAAGACAACTTTTCCATGGTGGTGGGGAATGGTTTTGGGATAAAACTGTTCCATCTCAGATCATCAGGCATTAGGTAGATTCTTATAAGGAACCTGCAACCTAAATCCCTCGTGCGCAGTTCACAATAGGATTGGCGCTCCTATTAGAAATGCTGCTGATCTGACAGGAAGCAGAGCTCAGGCAGTAATGCTCTCTTGCCTGCCCTCACCTCCTGCTGTGCAGCCTGGTTCCTAAGGGACCATGGATCATACCTGTTTGCAGCCTGAGGTTTGGGGACCCCCAGTCTGCACCATATTACCAAGGCAAGAACTCCCTGAAGGGTGAATCACTTGGTTAAGAATCTGTTCTGGAGTCTGGATCTCCTTTCTTGCACACCACTGGGTGACCACAGAATGTTGTTGTGTCATCTCTGGCTGCTCTCCTGGAAGCTTTTCCAGGCCAAGTCCCTAACTGGTTTTCTCTTTTGACCCCTGAAGACTGAGCCTGGGCTCCCTGTGTGGCCAAGGCATTCAATTACCCAATGTGATCTATTGTTCTCTAGCTGCTTCTCCTGTGAATGCCAGTCAGCTTGACGGGAGGATAATTTAGAAAGGGACCGTGTAGTGTGACGGACTGAGACAGGACTTAGATTGAACCCTGGCTTTGCCAAGTACCAGCTATGTGGTTTTGGGCATATCACTTCACTTCTCTGAGATTCTATTTTATTTTGTTTTCTTTTTTGAGACCTGAGATTAAAAAAAAAAAAAAACAGTTGATAGTGCCTTTAATCTTCCCAGGCATGTGAGCATTTACAACAGGCATTACCTAACTCAAAGTGCTCTCGCTAAATGGTGGTTGTCTAAGCCAGTGGTCCCCAACTTTTTTGGCACCAGGGACTGGTTTCGCAGAAGACAACTTTTCCATGGTGCTGGTGGTTGTGGTGGGGGGGATAGTTTTTTTTGAGACAGAGTCTCACTCTGTCTCAGGCTGGAATGCAGTGGCATGATCACAGCTCACTGCGGCTTTGACCTCCTGGGCTCAAGCAATCCTCCCACCTCAGCCTCCTGAGTAACTGGGACCACAGCCCCACGCCACCATGCCTGGCTAATATTTGTATTTTTTTTTTTGTAGAGACAGAGTCTTGCCATATTGTCCAGGCCGGTCTTGAACTTCTGAGTTCAAACAACTCTCCTGCCTCAACCTCCCAAAGTGCTGGAATTACAGGTGTGAGCCACTGCACCCAACCTCTATTTTCTTCTCTGACCTCCTAGGGCTGTTTTCAGAGACACATGAGTTAACATTTGCACAGGGCCTGGCAAGAGGCAAGTTCTCAATCGATGGGAGCCATGATTCCAGCACTTCTGTGGCTTCCTCAGCAGTCAGCAAGGCTGAACACATATTACTGACAGGCCAGCAGCACTTTACACTTGCAGTCTACAAAGTAGAGACTCATTAGTAGAATGACATGTTCTCCACAAACCCTCACATACAGGGCTTTCCGTTTGTCCATTTTGTTTCAAGCAATCAGAAATGGAATTTAGGGAGTATTTCTAACAGTGTACCAAATTGGATTAATTGGCCAGGCACGGTGGCTCACACCTGTAAACCCAGCATTTTGGGAGGCAAAGGTGAGTGGAATACTTGAGTCCAGGAGTTTGAGACCAGCCTGGGCAACATCGTGAAACCTTGTCTCTACAAACAATACAGAAATTAGCCAGGCGTGGGGGTGCATGCCTGTAGTCCCAGCTTCTTAGGGGGGATGAGGCGGGAGGATCACTTGAGTCCAGGAAGTCAAGGCTGCAGTGAGCCAAGATTGTACCACTGCACTCCAGCCTGGGTGATAAAGTGAGACCCTGTCTAAAATTTAACAACAACAAAAAAAATCATATAATGACCACATTTAGGAATTGGGAAAGACTTCAGAGGTCATCAGGTATGGGCAATTTGCCCAGTGCGACACCTTTCTGGAGGGCGGTAAGCAGTATAATGCCCTTCAAAGATGTCCATGCCATAATCCCTGGGACCTGTGAATATGTTACCTTCTATACAAAGAGGCTTTACAGATGTGATTAGGTTAAGGACCTTGAGATAGGGATAGTGTCCTGGATTATACAAGCAGGCTTAACCTGATCACATGAGTCATTGAAAGCAGAGAAGCTTTCCCAGCTGTGGGTAGAGAAAGACATGACTTTGGACAAATGGTGGAAGACATGCAATATGGTTGGCTTTGAAGACAGATGGAGGAAGGTGCCATAAGCCAAGGAATGTAGGTGGTTTCTGGAAGCTGGAAAAGGCAAGGAAATGGATTCTTCCCCAGAGCCTCCAGAAATACATCTTGCACCTTGACTTTAGTGACAGCTGTGTTGGACTTCTAACTTACAAAACTGTAGGATAATAGATTTGTATTGTTTTAAGTCATTAAGTTTGTGGTAATTTGTTATGGGAGCAATAGGAAACTAAGACAAGGGACAACAAACACCACAACCCAGAGAGGCCAGCATGGTCATGTCTGCAAAGGAAGCAGCATTTACTTGTCTGTAATAAACATTCTCAGCAACTTCATTTGTCATCTGTAGCATTTTACAATCCTTCACTCTTCTGATCACCTTGCTAAATATAATTCTGTGTACAAGCTTCCATGTTAAAATGCAGCTCCAGAATAAAGACAACGCTGCGTGCGTGACTCCAGTCCTGAAGAGTGTGGATGGATCCCTTGATCTATATACTCTGCTGCTGTTCCTACAGCCTAAGATTGAGCTTTTTTTTTTTTTTTTTTTTGCTGTTAATTCATACTTGGATTCACTCTCAAGCCAGATTTACCTCATTCCGTCAACTTCCAAAATGCAGTTTTGGGGCAAATAAATAGGCATATGTGAGATGTCTTATGGCCCAGCAAAAATCCAGGACTTACATTGTTCCATCAATGATGGAAACAGACTTGATTGCCAGATTTATAACTCTCCTGAAATACAGATGGAAACTAGCAGGCTAGATGGCTGTCACTGTGATTATAGCCTTTTTATCATAAACTTTATAAGGGAGGAAGAATTATTTTTAGATTATTTTCTTTTTCTAATTGCTAAAGAAATATAAAACTTAGAAAGTTTGCCACATTCCCACCCCAGATATATTTATCAACAGATTAGAATCTTAAAACTAGCATTTTTATACATCCACCCAAGGGAAATAAATAATTGTGTACATACAAGAGAATTTCTTAGAGAAAGAAACCCCTAGGGATAGATGGGGGCCTTGGAATATTTGTTCTCAGCTTTCTCAACTTCCACATCTATAGCATAACCGAGGAACCATACTTTTAGTAATAAGGCTGAAACACGGTAAGATTTCCAATCCTCAAGGAAATGATAACCATAGTTAATAGGTATGGAAGGTTTACTAAATTCCAAACAGTGCACTAGTTGCTTTAATGCTCATAATGGCTCTATGTGGTAGGTACCATTATCATCATAATCTCCACTTTACAGATGAAGAAACTGAGGCATAGAGAGGTTTGGTAGCTTGTCCATGGTCACAAACCTAGCATGTGGTAGAGTTGGAATTTGAATCATGGTAGTCTATCAGCAAACAAACCATATGCTCAACCACCCTGCTACACACTGCGGATAGGTTAATTGGTTTCACTATACTGGATCTATTAAGGCATGAAAAAAAAAACTAACAGACTTAGTTTTTTTTTTCTAAAAATAAAGATTGAAACAAAGGGCATTTATGAAAAAGCCAATGACTCAAGACACACTATTCCTAAAATAATTTTAGAAATGTTTCTTTCTGATTTAAAAGATAAAAATGTATCTTCAGTGTTGAAATGTTGGGCAATATAAAAGTATAATGAAGAAAATAAAAATCGTGTCGTTTCACATAGCTGCTTCTTTCTGTGTGCTAAGTCAGTGTTTCTCAAAGTGAGATCAGTAGGCCAAGGATATTAGATCACCTGGAGCTCATCTTTAAAATGTGGATTTCCCACCCCAGACCAACAAAAGTAAAATCCCTGAGGAACTGGACCTCAGAATCCTGACTTGCAGCAGCACTTTACAGCTTGCTGCCCTATAAACTATGGAACCCATTCGGTAGAATCATATGTTCTCCATCGACCCAGACATTACACAACCTATGCAAATACCCGTTTGAAAACTTTTTTTTTGAGACAAAGTCTCACACCGTCCCCCAGGCTAGAGTGCAGTGGTGCGATCTCGGCTTACTGCAACTTCCACCTCCCAGGTTCAAGCAATTCTCGTGCCTCAGCCTCCCATGTAGCTGGGATTACAGGCACGCGCCACCATGCCCAGCTAATTTTTGTAATTTTTTTAGTAGAGATGGGGTTTCACCATGTTGGCCAGGCTGGTCTTGAATTCCTGACCTCAAGTGATCCACCCACCTAACCTCCCAAAGTGCTATGATTACAGGCCTGAGCCACCACACCCGGCCCCATTTGAAAACTTTTACTAGATGTCCATTTTGTCTCAAGGAGTCCAAAACTGGATTTGAAGAGTATCTCTAGTAGTATACTAAAATTGACTAATATTTAATTTTAAAATTAAAATTTAAAAGCAAGAATTACATTTTTAGTCTTTCTTATGCCCAGTAAAGTTTGAGAAATGCTGCCCAAGGATTAACAAGAGAGGTCCAGAATTCTCGGACTCTGAATTTAAAACTCATACTGTACCCAGAGAACTAGCCCTCCTTTCCATCTGAAACCAAATTGTCTTTAGAGTTACTAAAGAAAGGAAAACTGAGGAAACCATGCCCCATTTGGAAGTCAGGCTTAGGAGGGGGGAAAACAGGACGTTTACAGATTACCTGAAGGGGATATTCTCCTGGCCTTTAGCTATAGGCTCTGTGTCCAGGGCAGCTACAGCTTTAATGCAGCCTCAGAGGGCCCCCAACCCAAGCAGCGTTTCTGTCCTCAGCTCTGAGCTTGATTCAGAGACCTGCATTTGGCTTTGCTTTTCCAGAAAGCAACATGGCTCTTCTCCATTAGCACCAAGCTCATATTCTAGCTATTAGCCAAACAAAGGATCTTCCAAATATAGGCCCCAAAAAGCATGTGCACTTTGAAGGCCACAATAAAGCTTAAATAGCTAAAACTTGTTAAAAAGAAAGCCAACAATTGTCGCCAAAAGTATGAGTCCTTAGCAGAACAGCAAGACAAAAGCCAGAAAGAGGAACAAAAATATGCATTGTAGGGGAGGGGCTGGCAGGGAGGTGTAGATTTATATGGAAGAGTTGACATCATTGTTTCCCAATAATACCCAGCATGCAGGAAACAGATGGGAAAGAAGTGGTGGAAGGGGCTACTTATGGTAACAGGGCATGCTCTCTGTTTAGAATCCTGCCATTTGGAACCTAAGTGTTTTACTTTGAAAAACTGGGGATGGGAACTCAATTGCCAGAAGTTTTATTAAGTCTAACTAAATCCTACTGAACTTATCACCTTGGCAATGCATGGCAAAATGGAGCTCTGCATATCAGACCTGTTTTACTGCTAGCATAGCTGTGTCTCGTTGGGTCAAGAGCAGACAAAGCCATGGAAGGAGAATTTAATGTTGCACAGACACAGCTGGAGTCTTGCTTCTGCCGCTTCCTGGCTGGGTGACAGGAGGCAAGTTACTTAACCTCTCTGAGTTGGTCCTTCTTCATAAGATGGGGACAAAACAGAACTTTCCATATAGTGGAAGACTCTGCAGTTGGACATTTATGCCATACAGATAGATTTAATCAAGAAACAGAGGGTCAGTTAGCACCATTTTTTAAAAGTTTTATTTTATTTTATTTTATTTTATTTTATTTTATTTTATTTTATTTTGAGACAGAGTCTCACTCTGTCACTCAGGCTGGATTGCAGTAGCGCCATCTTGGGTCAGTGAAACCTGTGCCTCCCGGGTTCAAGCAATTCTTTCGCCTCAGCCTCCCAAGTAGCTGGGATTACAGGCGCCCACCACCAAGCCCAGCTAATTTTAACAGAATTCTCCATTCTTCTGTGCTTGGGCAGGGGATAGACAAAGCCAAGATAAGCCAAATCAAAGGTCACTCTTGTTATTATCAGCTGGTTTGCCCTCTCCTGAGGTTAGGTTCACTCCCCCTGCAGCTGAAGGCAGGCTTCTGTCACTGCAGCCAGTCTCAGCCTCACCACTCTAAGTACCCTCAGCTGCCTTTCCCAGATTTTAAGCCCCTTCTTCCCCAGGGTGCAGAAGGGTGTGACCAATTCCAAGTGTCAGGCAAATTCCTGTGGTTTTCTGCCTCTAGAGACCAACCACCCCATCCTCCCATCCTCCCATAGCTGTCATAACTCGGTCAGATGATGTTTGTTTTATAATTTTACTGATTTTTCCCCTGGTGAAAACAACCCACTCTGTCTGATGGTTCTTTCTCACTTGGCTGCCTCACATGTGCACATCCCCTGCTTGCTCATCCTCTACAGCCCTCATTCCATTCTTCTTTGTACTTCTTTTAGTTGTTTTCCCTCTTTGAATCCTTTAGGTCAGGAGCAACTTGAGAGCATCTCTGTAAACCCAACAGTGTCTGGCACGTTAGAATCCCATTACATACTTATTGCATTGAATTGAAAGTCCCATTCCAGATAGGATCTGATTAAAACATGAAAAGAGGCCGGGTGCGGTGGCTTACACCTGTAATCCCAGCACTTTGGGAGGCTGAGGCAGGCGGATCACGAGGTCAGGAGTTTGAGACCAGCCTGGCTAACATAGTGAAACCGTGTCTCTATTAAAAATATGAAAAATTAGCCAGGCATGGTGGTGGGTGCCTGTAATCCCAGTTACTTGGGAGACTAAGGCAGGAGAATCGCTTGAACCCAGGAGGTGGAGGTTGCAGTGAGCCGAGATCGCACCATTGTATTCCAGCCCGGGCGACACTGCGAGACCCCATCTCAACAACAACAACAACAACAACAACAAAAAACATGAAAAGAGCTGGGGAAAGAAATATGCATAATCACACAAATTAGCTCAATTGCCTTCACATAGCCTATAGATTTATGTACGGTTTGCCGGAATCCTAGCTTATATGTCAAGCTGTTTTCTAGTGTCTATGACAGCGAGAGCTGGTATATGTTGCTTTTGAGGGGAGGGGTGACATTCACCCCTCTCCCTCCAGTAGTGGTGGGAAGGGGGCCTACAAGGCATTCTGGGCCAGCATCAGGCCATGGGCGTGGTACCAGGGCCTGGTATGCATCAACCAAGCTTAAACGAGAACAAAGAGTGCCTGAGACTCGATCCCAGAAACTCAGTTGGTTCTGGGGCCTTGCCAAGAATGTGGTTCACACCAAGGAGTGATTGGTGAGGAACTAGGAAAAGGCAGTGTTTCTGGGGAGTTCTGTGCAAAGCCTGGGTCAGTTTCTATTTGGGAGTAGCTATGAACCCCTGTGGGGACCATTAAGCAATTGGATTCCTGATAATCCAGCACATCAGCAATGTGCCTTATCCTGAGCTTCCTAGAAGGGCACAAACACTGGTTTTCTGAAGAAGGAAGTAGGGTCAATGAATCAACTGCTGCATGTCTCACATGGGGCTCACCCTGAGAGAGCCACAGTGAGCTACCAGATCTGCCTTCGGGGGAACTCACCATCGATTTGCATACATAAAGTGTTAGAGAACAAAACAACAGGTAGAATGCATAACAAATTGGGTACACCTGACCCTAAGGCAGTGGGTATTCCAAGAGGTGAAGAAGATGTGGCTGCAGTGGGCAAGGGACCTGGGAGGAAAAGATAGGGTCTGGCTGGGCTTCAAAGCTGGTAGGTTTAGATCCGTGTGTGTGAAATGCACCTTGCAGAGGGTAAAGTGCTATGCAAATGTCCATCGTTATTATGACTCTTCATGGTTTAGGCTGTGGGAAAAACAAAGCAAAGGGAGCAAAATCACTTTTCATAGGTTGTGGCAAAACTGTTAATGCCAAATTATGAAATATGCTATCCTAAGATATGTGGTTCATGCCTGAGACCATGGCCTTAGGAGTCATACAGATCTTGATTTCAATTCTGCCTTTCCCATCTCTATAATCTTGGCATCACTTGGTTAAATCACTCAGTTTTCTCTTTTGTAAAATGGGGATTAAAATGCCCAATTCTTAAAGATACTGAAATATTACTTTGCATGTATAAAGTGACTGGCACAGAGTAAGCAATCAACACAGATAAGTAGCACTTACTACCAATGAAAATAACAACAAGGCCTGATGTGGGACTCAGACTTCATGTCTAAGTCCTTTCTCTTCAAGAGACCTCCTCTTCCTCCTCTTCCCTTCAGCCATTCAGCAGCCTGATGTTTTCATCTTTCTCTATCAAACTCTGCTCTTACAAAAAAAAATCTAGTACCAATACTTATTCTCCTCTGAATTACAGTCAGCCTGTTTGTTCCCAGGGGTTTTAAATGTGAAGCCTTAGTTGAAATTGTATACTGCGGCAAAGTCTAGAGAGACAGAGAGTGCTATCTAGACTCCTGAAGTTCCAGCAGGCTGTGACCCTCACTGAATCAGTACTTGAGGCCAGCCCCTTGGGGGAGAAATAGCAAGATCGGTTCAACTCAAGAGTGTCATTTCTGTTGGTGCATAGGGGGAAACAGCTCAGGAAATTGGGTAGGACATGGACCCATAGTCAAAAAGAAAAATAACTTGAAGCTTGGGGATAAGTATGAAAATGTCACATTGGCTTAAATACACAGCAAGCACTGAATGGGAAGAAAGCTAACTCCCTGTTCCTGGGCCTCAAGGCTGGTCTGAAGGAACCACTAGAAGGAAGTGGAGTCCTGAGATGCAGACGCCAGGGTGGGAAGGCGGCTCAGAGCAAGTGTGGTCTGTTCTGGAGGAAATGAGCAATGGGTAGCCCCAACTAGAAGAGTCTATCACTACTTTGTTCCAGAATCTTTAGCTAGACTTAGCTAATGGCAAGGGAGGTGGCAGGGCAGTGACAGTTCTTATGCCCAGAGTCCTGGAACTTAGAGCCCCATCCCCTTTCTCCACCCACTGCTGCAGAGCCTCACCCACAGCCACAAAAGCCCAGGAAACCTCTCTGCAGCGAGGTGATTCCTGGTAAAAAAAAACAGTCCCCATCAGGTGTTTGAGAACTTGAAGCAGTGATCAATCAACTTTTGGAATTCGGAATGTGTTTCCCCTCACACCTGCTTCCACCCTACAGAAAAGGTTCCCAGGCTAGCCCACAGATGCCTAACAGGCTAAGGGGAGGAGGATGAAGCAAATGCATCAAAAACTACAGCTCTAATGGCACTGGAGAGTGTGTCCACCGCTTACAGCATCAGCTATGGGAAAATGTGTTCCTAGTTTCAACATGTTTCCCTCTGTCCCAGCACAAGAGCAGGCCTTCAGCTCTCCCTCACCCCGCAGACTGTTCTTAGCTTCAGGGTAGGGCTGAGGCAACAAGGGAGTGGGCTTCCTTAGCAGCCCCAAAGCCTGGGCCTCCTGAAGCTGGAAGGCATCTGGATGGCGGCCAGTGCGGGTAGAAAGGGGAGGAGAAAGGGTGAGGCTGTCCCTGTGGCCCAGGGGCTCTTGGCAGAGGTCTAAAGAGTGGGCAGAAGGGAGGCATGTGGAAGTGGCTGTTTCTATTCTCTGTGTGGGTTGTCATCTCCAGACTACACAGAGTAAGTTACAGCTCGGCCTCAAGTTAGCCAGTCAGTTTGCTCCACGTTTAAAGCCTAATTCTCCTTTTTCAGTTCTTCCTGTTTCACTCTGGGAGCCCAAATGCGGAGATGCCCCTCTAAACTTAAGCCCACGAAGTTGCTGTTCTTGCTCCACAAGCTCCACATCCAGGACCTGACTTCTGCTTCAGCTCTGCTGGACTCAGCTGAGGCTGTGTCTTTCTTTCTTTCTTTCTTTCTTTCTTTCTTTTTTTTTTTTTTTGAGATGGAGTCAGTCTGGCTCTGTCGCCCAGGCTGGAGTGCAGTGGTATGATCTCAGCTCACTGCAACCTCCGCCTCCCAGGTTCAAGCGATTCTCCTGCCTCAGCCTCCCAAGTAGCTGGGATAACAGACCCCGCCACTCAGCTAATTTTTTTTTGTATTTTTAGTAGAGACGGGGTTTCACCATGTTGGTCAGGCTGGTCTCGAACGTCTGACCTCAAGTGATCTACCCACTTTGGCCTCCCAAAGTGCTGGAATTATAGGCGTGAGCCACCATGCCCAGCTGTGGCTGTGTCTTAGGCCTTTTGAGGGCCCTTTAATTTTAGGGTGACCTTTAGTTCCTGAGTGTATACTGATGATCCACCCTGCAGTGACTCTGAGAAATCCCTGCATAAATTGGCTTCTTCATTCAGTAGGGCAAGCAACTTGCTTCTTGTCCCTTTTGGTGATGGATTAGCTCCATCTTATCATATCATTTACTCATTTAATTGGAGCCTCATCCACTCAGTCCTGGATGGTAGGTGGTGATGCTAGGTTAAACTCAGGGTGCCATGATAATAGCTACACTTATGGTTTACCATGTGCTTGCCCTCTGTTAAGTGCTTTACCCATATTAACTCATTTATTTTCGTATCAATCTTATTATCATTTCATGAGTGAGGACACTGAGACCCAGGGAGGGTAAATAACTGGCTCCAGGGTCACTCAGCTGGGAACAAGCAAAGTTGGGATTCTATTCCAGGCAGTAAGTTTCCAAAACTCCTAATAGGATCCTCCAGCAGGGGCACCTGCCTCAGGAGGATCGGAGGTTTCCAGAATCTTCCAAAGCTGAGACCCAAAGGATGAAGAGTGAGGCAGGGAAGGTGTGACCACGATGTGCCAGGCAAGCTGCTGGAAAGGAAGCAGCTAAGCCAAAGAAAAAACCCCTGCCTTCATTCTCCATTCAAGGTTAAATCTTTTCTTGAACAGAAAATATTTACCTTCTTTGCTAAGACTTTGCTGCTGTTGATGTTTGAGTATCTTGTCTATTTAATTGGAGATCAAAACTTGCGAATTTTCTTCTTCAGCTTTTCCTTCAGCTATGACAGCTAACTTCAAAGCTTAATTGATCTGAAAGTTTGTTCATATCCCTTAGACTGTAACTTTCTTGAGCTTGCAGCCCATCTTTTTTTTCCACAGTATCTACCACAATGCCTTAATAAATATTTGTTAAATAGATAAAGAAAGAGAATCATTTAGCCTCAGAAATGTAGAAGAGTCACATCTAAAAGTTCCCGTTGCCTTATCCTTGTTCTTTGAAATACCAGGGCTTACTCTCATCAAGCTTAAAGTCATATTTGTAATGGGCACTTATTTGTTATGAACCTTCCCTCTGTCATGCCTCAAATCAAATATATACATTATATATGAAAGATATGTCATATATATATGTTAATGTGTATTTTTCAAGTGCGGTAAGAACTAGGAAAAAAATTTTAGGAATAAAAAGGCTGACGGTTCTTACCAAACATTCAGAAGGTGCGTTCTGAATGGCTAAGGCCGCTTATCCAGGGGAAAATGGTCTGTAATCTGAGCAGAGATTACAACCTGCCTAAGTATCCACATGTTCTAAAAAAGATTCTGATTTCATTGTTCTTAGAGGGGTCTGAGCAACAGCATTTTTTTCTTAAAGCTGTCAGGTAATTCTAATGTGTTGCCATCACTGAGAGCCATGGGGCCAGAGCAAGCAATATCACCTTTTAATTTTTTTTTAAGTATAATTTCCATTTTATTTTTCTAGAGAGAACAGTTTTTCTTCAGCCCTTAAGGACTCAACTCCTTACAAGGGCTTTGGTGGAGGCCGTAGGGCAACACCTGCACATGTAAATCAGGGTGGGAGTGTTTGGTCCTTGCAGGCTTCACGAGATCAATTCCTGACTACCTTGCTGTGAATGGCACAACTCACACAATAATGTAGCTTTACATACAACTTCGGAAGTATATAGGCGGTGAAGACGCTTGCTTCAGAAATGTCCCTGACAGCGGTGGCCTCTACTGTGTTTTGGATGAGGAACTTCTTAATAGCCTTGTCCTTGGGCAGGCATTGGGCGCAGATGGTGCAGCGAACAGGCTGCACGTGGCTGCAGCCCTTTTTGGCACAATCGTCGCCCCTTCTTTTCTTTGTCAGCTTGGAAGCTCGGTATCACTTTTTACCAGGGAGTGGGTAAAATAAACAAAGATTGCTCAGAGGAGCAAGAAAATCCTCAGCCATTAAAGTAAAGCCAACCCAGAGGAAGAAGATAATTTTCCCTATAACTCTCTCTTACTTGTCTCTTGGCTCCTGGCCCCAACCATCTCCAAGCTCTAATAGAAGACCCAGAACACTTGGCATATGAAGGAGAGGTAGGAAACAACCATGGGCACATTATGACCTCGCAGAGCTTCACCCACAACCTCCCAACCACAGACAGCAACATGATGTGGTTTTCGTTATACAGCTGCAAGCAAGGGCCTTCTTATTCAGTGGTCAAGAAAAGAAAAAGAAAACTATACTATTTTCAGCAGCAGCAGTAAGGAAGGGATGATCTCCCTTTATTCCAGACAGGAAGAGAAAGTTAGCTGGTTCCCAGGGGAGAGCTGGGGGTTGGGGGCAGCAGCCACTGTGTTGGAGGGGAAGTGCAAGAGGCTCTTGGCAAGTCTGCCAGGAGCCACTTCATGCCATTCTTGAGTGTTCTTACCTGGCTAAGAGTGTTCATTGCTCCCTTCTTACCAAGTTAGAGAAAAGTGGTCAAAGAAGGGGGAAAATTGGTCCTGGATATCAGGCCCCCCTGTGTAGCCAGTGAGGGGTGATCACAGCAGGGTCTGAAATTGGCATCTATGTAGATACCTGCAGAAATTGCATACACGGTGTGTGTGTGTGTGTGTGTGTGTGTGTGTGTGTGTTTCTAAGGAAAGGGTTTCTGTTTCTCATCAGCTTCCCAAAGATTAAGGTTGACAACTGGCCCTGAGCAATGTCTGCCCTAAGCTGAACACCTATTTGTAAACCACACACCCAGCCTTGTCAGGTTTGTCCAGCTGAAAGTAGCAGGGCTGAGCCTCAGCAAATTACAGAAGCATATGACATTCATTCTGTCTTCAGCCTTTGTCTCTCCAAAGTTCCCACTCAAGCATGTGGCGTCCCCATGTTCAGATGCCCTGAGCATAGCTCATCATCACCCCGCTTTGTCCTCCACTCCAACTCAAGGCTTTCCTTCCCTGTCCAAAGACAGGAGCTCTCTTTGCCTCCCTAAATCTTTGGTCTTCTCCCCTTGTACTCCCAAACCTGAACCTATCTTTCCTCTCAATGCAGGTCTACTGCACCACCTTTGACCTTCAAAGTTCAGTAACCATGATGTCAGTCCAGGGAGCCCTTCTCCAGCCCCCTGGCTCCCAGTTACCACACTGACTTGTCACCCTCAGCATTCTGGGCTGATCTTCCAAGGTGGTGGGCAGAGGGCCAGTTCCCAGCTCAGCTTTTCCTCCCAGAAGCAGAGTCCAGGCCTTGTCTATGAATCAATACATGTTTGGGAGAGTCCACAAAGAAGCAACATTACTTTAGAGAAAACCATTAGCACTGACTTTGTTCATTGATGCTACACTATCACAAATACACAGAAAAAAACCATCCAACTAGTTTTAGCTGAGGGAAAAAATAAATTCTAATTACTCTTATTTCCATAAGCAGTATATTATGCATGTCTAATTTCCGTGTAGCACAATAACAGTGTGTGGATCATTAAGTGGGTCAGTTGCGTTTCCTTTCAAAGCTGAACTCTCATCAGGTATGTTCAGTCTTCAAAGTTTGCTGATCCTGTAGCAGGGCTGTCTGCTTTCAATTTAGGGGGAAAATATCATTAGAAGAGAATGTTGGCTTAGACACAGAAGCCAGGGAGGGCAGAGGAACCTAACAGGCCAGGGAGGGCCCTCCGATCCTTCATGATTAGCTGTACAACCTCAGGCAGGCCAATTTACCCCTCTGGGCTTCTTTTCCCCCTCCCCAGGGTGGGGAACCCGGGGTACTGGTTTGCCATTCTTTTAAGCAGTAGTCTCTGTTTTTTTTTGTCTAAATGAAACATATGCAGAAGCCCAAAATATAAAGCAGGTGAAAGAACAGCTGCCTAAAGCTGCCTTTGACATATCTTCATAGAACCCTGGGGTTCTGGCTCATCCTATAATCTATTAGTTTGTAAGAACGAACAGGGCTGGCAAGCACCCCTATGCAACTCTCACAGATTTGAGGGAGGGGCCAGAATAACACCCGCATGGTGAAAGGTGGCATCCCAGGAGCATTCCTAGTGTACCTGGAGGTTAACTTGAAGGCCCCTGCAAAAATAGGTGAAGAGGAACCTTTCATTGTAAACTTCTGACGATAGTGGTTAAGAGGCATACTTGGAGTTTTCTCACACTCAAAAAAACTCAAACCAAGTGATTTTTATCTCAAATCTACCTCTCCAGATGGTTGGTGAGGATTCAATGAAGTGTTAAGTTATGCATCAATTTCAAAAGAGTCAGTTTTGAAACCTGTGGTTCTCCAAGCTCTAAAATCCTAAGCTATTTGTCCTAATGACACAGCAGACTGAACTCTAGAATACCACAGGAATATCACACCACTGCAAATTACTAGGTGGTGCTGAGTCTCCCAAAACACAGAAGTGAAACAAAAGCATTGCACTGTTTTTGAAATGCATATTCGATATGGACTAATCAAATAGGTTTTGAGATTATTTTCCTGGAGGCAGAATTATTCCGCACGGTTACACAGCCCTTAGTTTTCCCCTTTGTTGTATCTATCTATGTATAAACACATGGCCTATATAGTAGGCTATTTTCCTCTCGCTGAAGCTTCTGAAGACAAGGCCTTTTTGTCAAGGGTAAGTGCAAAACCAGTCAACCTTACAAAAGGAGTCATTTAATGCTCAATTTTCCAACTTTCCTATGATTAAACACTTCTAAGCTCAAACGCTGTTATTGTAATCTAGATGGTGTTTTCTTTCCCCCTTCCCCAACAAATGTTTAAATTGTCTCCGCTGGATTCCCCCATCCCCAACTCCCCCCTACCCCCATCTGACCTTGAAAACAGAGAAGTTTTCCTTTTCTCTACTTACCCTAAACTATTTAAAAATGGAGGCCCTCTGACCTTTTTACAACACTCTTCTTGTCTGACACACCAAATGTTAATCTGAAAGCCAAGAGGAGGGAAAAGGTCTTGCAGGGCGGGGAGGGGGTTGTGGAAAGGGGGTGGAGGTACTATATATTTGGCATCAGCTCAGAAATTCAGAAATGTTTGTGCAACCACTCCCCCAGCCAGGATCCTCCCCCACCCCCCACCCGCAACTGCCTTCTAACACATTAATAAAAAAAGATGTGAGCAGACGAAATTGGAGAGCCCAGGAGGGACAGCTAAGGCGGTCATGATTTTGTACCCAGGCAAGACCACTGATCACCATCCCACATGTCCACCCCTCCTCCCTCCCTTCCAACGTGCCAAGTTTAGGATTGGGACCTCTGCAGCTTCCACCCCCATCCCCTGAGGTGGCCCGGTAAACTTGCGGCAGTACCACCCATTAACAGCTTGTGTGAGGCAAACGGAAGGACTGACACAGCAGCCTCTGCGCGTCGGGACAGCAGCGCTGTGCACCTTAAGAATCGTTTATGTTCTTTAAAAAAAAAAAAGAAAAAAAAGTGCAATGAGCGCACAGGCCTGGAATACATTAACTTGTGAACCGACTCTATCACAACTCGAGAGAGTCCGTCTCTCCCTCAAACAAAAAGAAGGTGGGGGCGGGGGAGAAAGGCCAAGGCACATTACCATCCTGTCCCGAGCTTTCCAGATACTCCGTCAGGTCACAGCCAAACGCGCTGGCGGCTCCCTTTCGTTTCAGCTTCTGCTTAGCACCCTTGTTCTTCATGAGTTAGTCCCAAAGAGGCTGCCCCTCCGTCTCTGCCGCCCCTCTGCTTGGCACCGCTGTAAGATGGGCTCCCGGGCTAGATCACCGGCTGCCCCGCGGCTCTGGGGGGCCGCATCGGAAGATGGAAGAACTTGGGCTGGGGGCCCTGCGCATGGACCCCGCGGGCCGCGGGCCGGCAGAGCCTGAGATCCACCCCGCGCCGCTCCGGGGCCGCCGTGCCGAGGCCGTGCAGACTGGCAGCCGCGGGCCGGCTCGCCTGGGAGTGTCACTTCCTCACTTGGAGTCCTAGGGACTTTCACAGGCTCCTGCGGTGTCTTCGGGTGTTTCTCCTCAGCTTAAGAGGGAGGGCAAGCTCTCCCCACCCCTTACTAAGTGCCCCGGAGACGACGCGGACGCGGGGCGAGGAGACTGCCCAGGGGGCTGCGGTGGGTCCTGCGCCCTGGGCCCGCTGTCTCGCCTTCAGACGACTTTGGTAGAGCGAAAAACAAGCATCCTGTCGCTGCTGCCCGCCCTCACGCCTTCCTTTTTTTCCTGTCTTACAAATCCTAGGATCATCCAGCTCAGGAAATGCTGGAAGGAAGTTAGCTAGGGAGGGGGGCGGTGGGTGGAAATTTTTGGCAGCTCGGTGCTTGTGAGTGTGTGGAGCTAGAGGAAGTAGGTGGGTGGGTTGAGGAGCACGGGGTTGGGGTAGAGAACGCGTTCTCCCGAGAGCAGTTCTGCGACTCCAGAGATAACTGGGCAGCCCCGGAGGAAATCGCGCTCTTCTCGCAGGACCCGCAGCCGCAGCCGCCGCTTCCTGCCCCGCCGAGCCGGCTCTTTGAAGTGGCGGGAGGAGGTGCGCTGGCATTCTGCGGGGACCGTGCTGGTTGGGACTTTCAGAACCCTCTGCCCTGGTTTTATCCTCATTGTCATCGTATCTTTGACACTTTCTATTTCGGTGCCCGCCTGTCTGCTACGCAAATACTTAAAGAGTAATGACAGAGACAAACAGGGGACTCCAGCGGAGAAACCTGACAGGCAGTGGCTTCACGCCGGCCACTCCCATCCCAACCTCCTCTGCAGCGTTCGTGCACCCCCACCTCAGCTCACTCCCCTCCCACTCTGGGGTAAAGATACCCCTGGGCAAAGAGAGGCTGCAGCTTTGTAACCACTGCCCAGGAAATCAGATTTCTGGTTACATATTCAAGACACACACACACACTACTGCAAAGTTTTCTAAATGGAAGTGATTTGGGGGGGACAAACCAGGATTTAAGATGCCTCTGACACATGAAATGTGAAGAAAGCAGTCTCCCAGGTTCTTTCATAATTTGTTTCAAGTTGTTTCAAGAGGGCATGTTTTTTTCTTCTCCAGTTAGATTTTAAATTCTTTAACTTCTGTGTACTCAGCACACAGAAAGCACTCAAATTCTTGTGATTTAACCATTTGAGGATTAGATGAAACTTCCTGTATAAATTCAAATCCATATACAGGCTTGAAGGATAGGGGCATATGTCATACAGCTCAGATTGCTGGCAAAGCTGCATCCGTAGCATTTTAGGTACTGAATCCCTTTACAGTCACTGTCTCTCTATGTAACCTTAACAGTCTATGAACTTTGACCCTTGACATTTTCTCTATGTCAGAGGTCACAACTTGATAGCCACCCTGCCAGATCTGGCCCATAGATGTACTTGGCTGGCAGACACCATGCTTTAACACGTTTTAAAATTAGTAGCTAGCATTAAAAAGTTAAGAGATTTCACATAAAATCTGAATTTCTGGCTTCTCTTGAAAAAATGGAAGATCTAGTTACACCACAAGTGCATTCCCATATGGCAAGGACGGCTGATGCTGAGTTGTGGCAGGCCCCTTGGAGGCACCCTCTTTAGAGAGACGACTCTTGCAGTTTTGCAGACCCCACGGCCTGTCTTCCCCCTTTTGCACCTGCCTGGCCTCTGCTGCCACTTGAGTTTGCAGCCCAACCTCTATGAATTGTCTTTCCTGTTTTTCATTTTCCATCTCTCAGTGACACTGAGAAGCATTTGCCCCAGTCATCTTGGTGAAATGTCTTCAAGTAACCACAGACTCATTTGTCTCCTTCCTCTCCCACCTGCAAGGTAGTCCCGCCCAGACGATGAGCTCTTCACCATGCCTCTCAGCTTGGTTTATTCCTTTCCAGGCCCACTCAGTGAGGACCATCCACTCCTCAATTATTAAAGTAACTCCTAGTGGGATTTGTTGAGTCCAATCTCCTCCACTTCCTCCATCCTATGTATTAAAAGCTTGAGGAGTCATCTTGAAGGATTGCTGTTGTTATATGCCTGCCTGCCTTGCTGAAAACCTTTCAATAGCTCCCCAGTCCTACTTTTAGGGCAGCAATTTCTAAGCATTTTGTAAACTGCTTGGAGAGTATCTGATAAGGTATTTGGTACAATGGCTTGTTCCTCCCTTTATTTATAGAGAAGCAGCTCCATATGGGACTATAATGATCACTATTAGCATTTGCTTAGCAGTTTACTTCAGCAAGGACTTTTGCATTCATTCTTTCATCTGACTTACGTGGATTTCATCATCTTGTCAGCAAAAGAGAGAGGCTGAAAGAGCCCCTTTTCTGAGTGCAAATAATGGAGAAATTGCCAAGCCCTGTTAATTACCTTTTTAAATATTTCAAAACTTCCTTTTAATGTTTCACTTTCAAGTAATTCCAGCTTATAAATAATTTACAGGCCGGGCGCAGTGGTTCACGCCTGTAATCCCAGCACTTTCGGAGGCCGAGGCGGGCAATCACGAGGTCAGGAGATCGAGACCATCATGGCTAACGCGGTGAAACCCCGTCTCTACTAAAAATACAAAAAAATTAGCCGGGCATGGTGGTGTCGGGCGCCTGCAGTCCCAGCTACTCGGGAGGCTGAGGCAGGAGAATGGTGTGAACCCGGGAGGCGGAGCTTGCAGTGAGCCGAGATGGTGCCACTGCACTCCAGCTTGGGTGACAGAGCGAGACTCCGTCTCAAAAAAAAAAAAATTTACAAAAAAATAGTCAAGGAATTCCCATATACCTTTCACCCAACTTCCCCAAATATTAATATCTTATACAATGAGAGTATAGTTATCAAAATTAGAAAGTTTATATTGATACAATAATATTAATCAATCAACAGACTTTATTCAAGTCTGAATTAATTTTTAAATTACATACAATTTTTATTAAATATGGTCTTTCTCATAATGAAGGCTATCAGTTAAGCATGCAAACGATAATTTACAAGTAATTCTCAAAATACTTCAAAAATACTTCATAGTATAACTTTAGCTATGTACAAAATCCCCATAATCACCATCAAACCCGGCAGTTGTAGTTTGTTGAAAAACAGGGCTGTCTAGGTGAAGCAGTGAGGCCAGTTAGTGACCTTAACATAGCCCTGAGATTCTTCTATGCTTTACTTAGAATTTCCCCGAATGCCTCTGGCATCATAGGATTTTCAACCTGGAATGGCCTGATGGACGTTTTGATCCCTGCTTCATGTTAAGTTGGGTTCAAGTTTGTAAGAGTTCAAGATGGAGGTAATACTGAGCACCTAGCAAAGTGTTTATTATTCCTGTGCTGATTAAACAAACCTTATCTGAAATGTACACGTGATATGCATTTCAAGGTTATCTTGATGATAACTCAGTTATTCACACCAAATGGTGGGATGAGTTCACAATATTTCAACCGAGATAATGAAGTCACATGGTGACAACCTGATTTGGGGAGTTGGAAAGCTGTCCCCCTCCCCATTTGTTTTCTGCCCCCTCTTAATGTTGAGTATGTCCTGCGATAGATGCCAAACTTGAATCTAGTGCTTGTTTTAGATTTTTTTTTTTTCCAATTTTTCTTTCTCTTTTCTTCCTCTACATATCTCTTTCTCTTCCCATTTTTTTTTCTTTCTCCTTGCTTATTCTAAGCAGAGTCTTTTCTGGGGCTATAGAAGAAAATCTGATTTGGTTCCAAAATCTGATTTCTGTTTGGCTGAGCATTACCTAAGAAACAAGCTGGTATGGAGATAATGTAGGAATGTTAACAGAAAGACTAATTGAGAAGCCATTTGGTGATCATATAAATTATGCCTTTAGCAGACTGTCATGGTGCAATTTACTGGAAAAGCTCTTTGCTCACACAGAGATACCTCAGAATTCTGTTGCTGCCTATGATCCCTCTTACCTGCACTTATTGAGGACTGATGCCTGTCAACATGAGCTATCTGTTTCCTTCATCACCAAGGATGGTAACAACCTTCTCTCCTGTAAATAAAGAGATGTAGAAAAGCAAGATGACTGACTTAGAGATATGCCTGGCATTCATCCCCCTGAAAATAAAGGACCAAGGCAACAAATAAACAGCTAAGATTTTACTGAAGTGTCAAAAGCAGAGTGCTGGAGTGCAGTAGGGGAGTGGCGATGGACCTGTGGTGATTGGAAGTCCAGGAAGGCAGCATGAAGACACAGAGCCTTTGCATCCCCATCTCTTTTGCCCAAATCTGATCAACCCATAGACAGGAGGGATTTCCTATTGCAAGGAAAAGGGAAGCAGATGATCTCTATCAGCCCCTATTACCATTGCAAACATCTGCAGTCTTTTTTTTTTTTTTTTTTTTTGGAGACAGAGTATCACTCTGTCACCTAGGCTGGAGTGCAGTGGTGTGATCTCAGCTCATTGCAACCTCTGCCTCACCGGCTCAAGCAATCTTCTCGCCTCAGCCTCCTGCATAGCCAGGACTATAGGCGTGCACCACCATGCCTGGCTAATGTTTTGTAGAGATGGGGTTTTCTCATCTTGCCAAAGGTTAGTCTCAAACCCTTGGACTCAGGTGATCTGCTTGCCTCAGCTTCCCACATTGCTAGGATTATAGGAATGAGTGACAAGGCCCAGCCTACAGTCCTTACAACAGGAGAATTCCACAGTCCTCACAAGCCCTGAGCCCAGTTGGGAGAGCTGATGGAAATTCACACAACTACGTGGCCCTGATTAAGAGCACAAGGTGTGCACTCCTCATTCACACCCACCCTCTGTGAGCCAAGCTGCTGCAGCATGGTACCATCTTGAGACCAGAGCTACCTCTGGAGTGTGCCCTGCTCTGATGGCCAGTAGCCACTGCACTTCCCTAGCACTGGGGCTCCATCTTCATTGCACCAAGCCCATATGGGTGGCTGAATGCCACAACCCCAGCTGTATGGAGATTGGGCCAAGGATCAGCTGTGACTCTGGTCCTACATAGCAGGGAAACCAACCCCTGTCACTGCAATTCTAGAAGGAGGAACTGTCTGCCAGTCCTGCCCAGGGTGAAACCACCAGTGAGCCAGCCAAACCACTACATATCCTCCCCTGAGTGGGAGAGGCCCCTGAGCCTCCAGGCATCTGATATGTTCCCAGGCCAGTGAAGTGGCTACACATCCATGCTCAGGACCTGAGAAACAGCCCCGCCGTGTCCCCAGAGCCTCTACCCTACCATGCCCCAGCCTGCCCAATGGCCCTGCACTCCCTAAAAGGGCCTGAGAAATAGTCCTGAAGGTCACTCCTGGTAAGCATGCCCCCAGAACACTCAAGTCACTAAAAGTCCATGTCTCAGACCTGAGAAATAGCCCCATGGGCTGCCACTGGCAGACACACCCCAGACTAGACAAGTAGCCATACATTTGCATACTGGACCTGAGAAACAACTGCATCGGCTGCCTCTAGTGTGCACGCCCCTGAGCTAGCTGAGCAGCCTTGTGCCTGTGTCCCAAATCTGAGAAGTTTCCTATGGGCCACTCCTTGGCAACACACCCAAGGCCAACCAAGCCTGAAAAACAGCCCCATGGATTGCCCTCTACAGACAGGCTGGCCAAGCAGCCCTGCACCTGTGTACCAGGACTGAAAAAGAGCCCCATGGACCATCCTGGCAAGCACACCCTCAGACCAGCTGAGCAGCCTTACATCCATGTTCTGGGCCTGAGAATCACCCCTTCTGGCTACCCGTGGCAGACATATTTCCAGCTCAGCCAAGCAGCTGTATACCTGCATCCCAACACTGAAGAACACTCCTGGCAGGCATGCACTCAAACTGGCTGAGCAACCATGTGTCTATGCTCCCAGCCAGAGTAACAGCCCTGTGGCCCCAACCTTAGTGAGCAAGACCACAAATCAACAAACTCATCACTTGTATACATGTACCCTCAACCTGAGAAACAGCCCAGCAAGCCCACTCCTGGCAAAACCATAGCACAGTCACCACAAACTCTCTCAGCCTAGGCCACTGAGAAACTTGCAAATGCCACTAGTATGGATTACAGCTGAAGAAACTACACCGAGACTATACGACTGTGTCCACCTACAGTCAAGGTCAACATACCCCACCAAACTGACACCCAAGACCCATTCATACAAATAAGTCTTTCCCTATGAAGCCTTCTCCAAAAAAATAGAAGAGGTGACTTTTCCACCAGATGTGTAGAAATCAATGTAGGGACATATCAACCATGAAAATAAGAAAACATATTACTCCTAAAGGAAAATAGTAATTGTTTAGTAACAGATCCCAATCATAAGGACATATGCAAAATGCCAGAGAAATAATTCAAAATAATAATCTTAAGGAAACTCAGTAAAATACAAGAGAATACAAATGGACAATTCAGCAAAATCAGGAAAACAATTCATAATCTGAATGAGAATTTCAGCAGAGATAGATATCATAAACAAGAACCAAACAGAAATTCTAGAGCTGGAGAATTCCATGCAAGAACATCAACCAAGAAGATATTCCATGCAAACAGAAACCAAAAGCAAGCAACCAGACAAAAAGGACTTCAAGTTAAAAGCTATAAAAAGAGACAAAGAAGATCATTATACAATAATGAAGGAAATAAAAAATGCAATTGAGAGCTTCAGCAATAGGCTAGAAGTTGAAGTTATGTCTTTTGAAATAATACATGCAGGAAAGAAAGAAAAGGAGAAAGAAGGAAAGAAAAGGAGAAAGAAAGAAGAAAAAGAAAGAAAGAAGGAAAGAAAGAAAGAAGAAAAAGGAAGAAAAAGAAAGAAGGAAGAAAAGAAAAAAGAATGAAAAAGAGTGAAGGAAGCCTATAGGATTTATGGAACACTATTAAGTGAACAAATGTTTGTATTATGGGCATTCCAGGAGAACAAAAAGAAGAAGATGAGTAAAACATATCTAATGAAACCAAAGCGGAAAACTTACCAAGTCTTGGGAGACAGATGATGGACTTTCAGATCCAGGAAGCTCAAAGAACCCCAAAGAGATTCAATTTAAACAAATCCTCTTTGAGGTACATTATAGTCAAATTTTCAAGATTCAAAGACAAAGAATTTTAAAAGGAGCAAGAGAAAGGTATCAAGTCACACATAAGGGAATCTCTGTTAGATTATTATAAATATTAGTGGATTTATCAGCAAAAACTTTATAGATCAGAAGACACTGTGGTGTTCAATTCCAGATACTGAAGGACAAAACTGCCACTCAAGCATATTGTACCCAGCAAAGCTATCCTTTACAAATGAAGGAAATATAAAATTTTCACAAACAAGCAAAATTTAGGGAATTCATCACCTCTAAACTGGTCTTACAAGAAATCCAAGGGAGTCTTACATCTGGAAGTGAGAAGATGATAACCACAATCATGAAAGCAGGCAAAACTTATGTAAAAAAAACCTCTGTTAGAGCCAATACACTAAAGGGTAAGGAAAAAGGAATCAAATCTTATTACTACAGAAAACCACCCAACCACAAGAGTAAACAATAAGAGAGGAAGCAAGGAACAAAGGATATACAAAACAATCAAAAGACAATAAAATGACAGGAGTAAGTCCTCACCTGTCAATAATAACCTTAAATGTAAATAGATTAAAGTCCCCATTTAAAAGATATAGATTGGCTGAATGCATTAGAAACCCAGACCCAACTATATGCTGCCTACAAGAAATCTATACAAAGACATACATAGCCTGAAAGAGAAGGTATGGAAGAAGATAGTCCACGCAAATGGAAATCAAAAGCAAGCAGAAGTAGCTATATTTGTATCAGACAAAATAGACTTCAAGTTAAAAGCTGTAAAAAGAGACAAAGAAGGTCATTATACAATAATAAAAGAATCCATTCAGCAAGATAATATAACAATTATAAATATATATGCACTCAACACTGCAGCACCTAGATATATAGAACAAATATTATTATATCTAAAGGGCAAGATAGACCCCAATACAATAATACTTTGGGACTTCAACACCCCACTCACAGCATTGCACAGATCATCTAGACATAAAAAAAAAAAAAACATCAGATTTAAACTGCACCATAGACCAGGTAGACCAAACAGGCATTTACAAAACATTTCACCAAACAGCTGCAGAATACACATTCTTTTTAGCAGCACATTGAACATTCTCCAGGTTTGACCATGTATTAAGACACAAAACAAATCTCAGAAAATGTTAAAAAAATTAAAATCATATCAAGTATCTTACTGGACTACAGTGGAATAACACTAGACACTATAACAATATGGATATTAAAAACTATAGAAATTCATGAAAATTAGGCTACTTGCTCCTGAAGAACCAATAGATGAAAGAGGAAATTAAGAATGAAATTTAAAAATTATTTGAAACAAATGAAAATTGAAATATAACATACCAAAACCTATGGAATGTAGCAAAAGCAGTGTTAAGAGGGAAATTTAGAGTACTAAACACCAGCATCAAAAAAATAGAAAGAGTTCAAATAAACAACCTAACAATGCACCCCAAGGAACTAGAAAAACAAGAACAAACCGAATCCAAAGTTAGTAGAAGGGTAGAAATAATGAAGATCAGAGCAAAATATTTAAACACTGAGACTAAAAAACAAACAAACAAAATCAATGAAACAAAAAGCTGTTTTTTTAAAAAAAAGAGATAAACAAAATTGACAAACCATTAGCCAGACTATTAAAAAAAGAGAGAAGACCCAAATAAAGAAAATCAGACATGAAAAAGATGTCACAATGGATACCACAGAAATATAAAGGCTCATTAGGGATTCTATGAATAGCTATATGCTGAAAAATTAGAAAACCTAGAGAAAATGGATAAGTGCCTGGACACATACAGCCTACCAAGATTGAATCAAGAAGAAATAGAAAATCTGAGCAGGCTAGTAACATGTAATGAGATTGAATTAGTAATTAAAAAAAAATCTCCCAACAAGGAAAAGTCTAGAATGGGATCCCTTCACCACTGAATTCTACTGAACCTTTAAAGAAGTACTAATGCCAGTTATCCTCAAGCAATTCAAAAAAAAATTGAAGCAGAAGGAATTCTTCCTAACTCATTCTATGGGTATAGCATGACCCTGATACCAAAACCAGACAAGGACACAATTAAAAAAAAGAAAACTGCAGGTCAATATCTCTGATGAACATAGTCACAAAAATCCTCAAAAAATAGTAGCAACCCGAATCCAACAATACATCCAAAAGATACTACACCATGATCAAGTGGGATTTATCCCAAGGATGCAAGAATGGTTCAACATGTACAAATCAATAAATGTCATATATCACATCAGTTAAATGAAGGACAAAAACTATATGATCATCTCAATAGATGCAGAAAAACATTTGATAAAATTCAACAGTCCTCCATGATTAAAAACTCCTAGTAAAGTAAGTATAGAAGAAAAGTATCTCAACATAATAAAGGCCATATATGACAAACCTACAGCTAACATCTTACTCAACAAGGAAAAGCAGAAAACGTTTCCCCTGAGAACTAGAACAAAACAAGGATACCCATTTTCACCACTCTTATTCAAAATAGTACTGGAAGTCCTAGCTAGAGCAATTAGGCAAGAGAAAGAAATAGAGGACATCCAAATTGGAAAGAAATAAGTCAGACTGTCCCCATTTGCAGATAATGATTTTACATATAGAAAGACCTAAAGACTCTATCAAAAAACTTTTAGAACTTGTAAGTTCAGTAAAGTTACAGTATACAAAATTAACATACAAAAATCAGTGGTGTTTCCATACACAAACAACAAAGTAGCTGAAAAAGAAATCAAGAAGGCAATCGCATTTTCAATAGCTACAATAAAAAATCTGAAAATAAATTTAACCAAGGAGGTAAAAGATCTCTACAAAGAAAACTACAAAACACTGATGAAGGAAATTGAAGATGGTACAAATGGAAAAACATCTTATGCTCACTGATTAGATAAATTAACATTGTTAAGATTGCTCAAAGAAATCTATATATTCAATGCAATCCTATCAAAATACCAATTACATTCCTTATAAAAATAGAAAAAAAATCCTGACATTTCCATGGAACCACAAAGATCCCAAATAGCTAAGGCAATCCTAAGCAAAAGAAACAAAACTGGGGGTATCACACTATTATATCTCAAAATATACTACAAAACTGTAGTAGTACAGTTTTTTTAACAGTAAAACAGCATGATACTGAAATAAAAACAGACATTCAGACCAATGGAACAAAGTCAAGATCCCAGAAACTAATCCATATATTTATAGCCAACTAATTTTTGACAAAGGCGTCAAGAATACTCACTGGGTAAAGAAAAGTCTCTTTAATAAATGGTGCTGGGGAAACTGGATATCTACATGCAAAAGAATGAAAATAGACCCTCACCATGTACTCTCTATAAAAATCAACTCAAACTGTATCAAAGACCTAAATGTAAGACCTGAAACAATAAAACTACTAGAAGAAAACATAGGGGATGTGCTTCAGGACATTTGTCTGGGAAAATATTTTGTGAATAAGATCTCAAAATCCTAGCCAACAAAAGAAAAAAAAATAAATGAAATCACAGCAAACTAAAAAGCTTCTGTACTGCAAATGAAACATTCAACAGAGTGAAAAGACAATCTATAGAATGGGAGAAACTATTTACAAATTACTCATCTGACAGGGAATTAATATCCAGAATATACAAGGAACTCAAATATCTCAACAGCAAAAACAAACAAACATTCCAATTAAAAAATTAGCAAATGATCTGAACAGACATTTCTCAAAAGAAGACATAGAAATGGCCACACACCCAGTAACCTCTATTTTAAAGGTGCTTGTATTAGTCCTTTTCACACTACTATAAAGAACTACCTGAGATGGAGTAATTTATGAAGAAAAGAGGGTAATTGACTCACAGCTCTGCAGGCTTAACAGGAAGCATAACTGGGAGGCCTCAGGAAACTTACAATCATGGCAGAAGGTTAAGGGGTTGCAAGTCATATCTTCCCATGGTGGAGCAGGAGACAGAGAATGAGGGAGGGAAGTGCCACACTTTTAAATCATCAGATCTCATGAGAATTCACTTACTATCATGACAACAGCATGGGGGAAATCTGCCCCCATGATCCAATCACCTCCCACCAGGTCCCTCCCCTGACACATGGTGATTACAATTTGACATGAGATTTGGGTGGGGGCATAAAGCCAAACCATATCATTCTGCCCCTGGCCCCTTCCGAATCTCATGTCCTTCTCACATTGCAAAATTAATCATGCCTTCCCAACAGTCCCTCAAAGTCTTAACTCATTCCAGCATTAACTCAAAAGTCCAAGTCCAAAGTCTCATCTAAGACAAGGCAAGTCTCTTCTGCCTATGAGCTTGTAAAATCAAAAGCAAGTTAATTACTTCCAAGACACAATGGGGGTGTAAGCATTGGGTAAATGCTCCCATTCCAAAAGGGAGAAATTGGCCAAAACAAAGGGGCTACAAGGTCCATGAAAGTCTGAAACCTAGCAGGGCAGTCATTAAATCTTAAAGCCCCCAGATAGTCTATTTTGACTCTGTGTCTCACATCCAGGCCACACTGACACAAGGGGTGGTCTCCCAAGGCCTTGGGCAGCTCCACCCCTGTGGCTCTGCAGGGTACAGTCCCCATAGCTGCTTTTATAGGCTGGCATTGAGTATCTGTGGCTTTTCCAGGTGAACAGTGCAAGGTCTTCACGGATCTACCATTCTGGGGTCTGGAGGACAGTGGCCCCCTTTTCACTGCTCCATGAGGCAGTGCCCCAGTGGGGGCTCTGTGTGGGGGTTCCCACCCCACATTTTCCCTCCAGACTGTCCTAGTAGAGGTTCTCCATGAGGGCTCCACCCCTGCAGCAGACTTCTACCTGTACATCCAGACATTTTCATACATTCTCTGAAATCTAGGCAGAGGTTTCCAAACATCAATTCTTGCCTTCTGTGTACCTGCAGGCCCAATACCACATGGAAGTCACCAAGGCTCGGGGCTTGCATACTCTGAAGCAATGGGCTGAGCTGTACCTTGGCCCCTTTTAGCCACAGCTGGGGCTGGAGCAGCTGGGACTGAGGTGCCAAGTCCCAAGGCTGCACAGAGCAGCGGAGCCCTGGGCCTGGCCCATGAAACCATTTTCCCTCCTAGGCCTCCTGGCTTGTGATGGGTGGGGCTTCTGTGAAGATCTCTGACATGTCCTGGAGACATTCCCCATTGTCTTGGCTATTAACATTTGGCTCCTCTTCATTTATGCAAATTTCTGCAACTGACTTGAATTTCTCCCCAGAAAACGGGTTTTTATTTTTGACCACATGGTCAGGCTGCAGATTTTCCAAACTTTTATGCTCTGCTTCCCTTTTAAACATAAGTTTCAATTTCAGACCATCTCTTTGTGAATGCATATGACTGTATCCTGTTAGGAGCAGCCAGACCAAATCTTGAATTTTTTGTTGTTTAGAAATTTCTTCTGCCAGATACCCTATATCATCTCTCTCAAGTTCAAACTTCCACAGATCTCTAGGGCAGGGGGAAAATGCCACCAGTCTCTTTGCTAAATCATAGCAAAAGTGACCTTTACTCCCAATAAATTCCTCATCTCCATCTGAGACCATCTCAGTCTGGACTTCATTGTCCATGTCACGATCAGCATTTTGGTCAAAACCATTCAACAAGTCTCTAGGAAGTTCCAAACTTTCCCACATCTTCCTTTCTTCTTTGAGCCCTCAGAACTGTTCTAACCTCTGCCTGTTACCCAGTTCCAAAGTCGCTTCCACATTTTCAGGTATCTTTTTAGCAGAGCACCACTCTCCTGGTACCAATTTTCTGTGTTAGTCCATTTTCACACTGTTATAAAGAACTACCTGAGACTGGGTAATTCATGAGGAAAAGAGGTTTAATTGACTCACAATTCTGCAGGCTTAACAGGAAGCATAACTGTGAGGCCTCAGGAAACTTACAATCATGGCAGAAGGTGAAGGGGAAGCAAAGCACATCTTCTCATGGCAAAGCAGGAGAGAGAGAGTGGGCAGGGAAGTGCCATATGTTTAACCATCAGATCTCATGGGAACTCACTATCATGAGAGCAGCACGGAGGAAATTCATCCCCATAATTTAATCACCTCCCAACAGGTCCCGCCCTTGACACATGAGGATTATAATTTGACATGAGACTGGGTGGGGACACAGAGTCTAATAATATCAGTGCTTATGTGGTATCTAGTATTGAGATCAATTGTTAGATGATGCTCTCCTATTAGAGAGGACTTATGCACCCCCTTAGTCCAGGCACCAATGTCATGGGATTCTGAAGCTAGTAGAAGATGCACTTGACCAGAGCAAAAGATCTTCTAAAAAGTTGTGTATCCCAAGTCCATTATTGCATTTCCCTGTGCATCAGTTTCCAGATTACACTGCAAATTGTTGCTTCTAAGTTTCCAAATTAAGCATACTTAGTGGACTGGAGCAGGGAGGTCTACATTATCAATCCTTAGTCAAACAGTACTGAGTGGAGGAGAAGTTAACTTGATGGGAAAGAAGAAATGAGAATCAGAATCAGTTTCCTATCCTGACCACCTGACTTCCCATTGCTCCACCATCTCTGCAATTATTAAAGCCAGTTTTCCTTCTAAAAGGACTTCCAAGATCAAGCAGCTGCCATGATAAGAATGGAGAAAGAGAAGGGCTTTAAATGACTTCACTCCCAGCCTAAAAGTTGAACAGATCTAGTCATTATTAAACATAACTTCTTTATCTCTTTCTCTCTCCTCTCCCTACATTGAATATTATAGTTCCCAGAGTTGCAAAGCTGCATTAGTTAGGGCAAAAAAAGCACTGGGAGACTGCTTTATATCCTCACTTCCCCAGCTGAGAACATAATTCAGTTACTTTACCATCAACTACCAATTTTGGGGTAGAAAGGGTGATGTAAAGTGAATAGCAAGAAAGAATAAGACTCGATGATAAATGAAGTATTATTTTTTATAGTAACCGTGCATTTATCAGGGACCCTAACTGCTAACTCAAAATCTCAGACATTTATTTAAAAGACTAGATGTAGGAGACAGTAGAGTCCAAAACCTCTCCGGGTTTATAAGACTGGGGACTGGTAAGAGTAAAAACTGTTTTTTTTTTTTTGGAGAATGATAATACATACTTCTCTACACATCAAGGGCCATATCAGAAATTTCAGGAGGAAATGTCCTTTGATAGTATAAAATGCAAGACTGAGGAGAAGCTGAGAAGTTAGGACTAGAGATTAGATGAGACATCAGGATAAATTATTTGAAATTATTTGAGAAATAAGTTTTTCCTCACCAATATTTTACTTATGCGCTAATTTCTTTGTATTGAATAGTATTCAAAAATAGAGGTTTGGAAATCTTTTGTGTTCTATAGTGTTTAAAAAACCATAATGACATTTGACCCATATGCACAGTTGTAGCATTAAATCAATCTTCAATGTTTCAGAAATGAACAAACCAGGCAGTACAAGACCCCCTTGTCCCACTCCACCATGGGCACTAGACACTGCCAAACAGCAGCGGGACACTTCCTTCCTAGAGTCACATGTGGACGAGAGACTTCACAAGGCCTGAAAGAGCCAAGTGCTGTGAGTGGAATTATTATTATACCAATGCCTGAATCTGCACAGCGTCTTGCATTAGGCTTTAAGTCTGAATCTGGATCCATTTGGGTTAAGATTTGTGTCCAGTGGCCCAGAGGGAAGAAGCCTGGCAGGGTGTGTCCCAAGGACCTCACATTGGATTCTGGGGTCCCTCTCAGCAGCTGGGTTTGAGATGATTTCTCTTGCCTCTTGTGCTGTATCTTTGGAGTTCCCACACTGGACAGAGTCTTTGGGTAGAAAAACCTTCATCTCTCACAGAATACAGCAGTCCTCAGGAAAGAGAATGAACTGTCCATTTGACTTATTTTTAATAATCTTGTTATATTTTGTTGCCTCATTCTGCCCTGCTCCCCCTCTTGCTCTGTTTCGCACCCCTTTGGGAACGTTGCCTCTTTCTAGCTGAACCAGGGAAGGAGCAGAACCCTGAGCTCAGTCTGTCTCCCCCCAGGGTCTCTGAATACTGGAGCCAGCGATTTTCTTAGGTGGGTGGGGATCTGTCCCGCCCCGTTCATTGTGTTCCATGGTTTCCTGTCCACTGCCTGTAACCCTTTACCAATCTGCCAGGCGCCTCTTAACACAAAAGGGAGGAGATGGGGGAAGGGAGTACTGAGGAAAAACATCCCTATAAATAGCCCTCTTGAACAAAATTGTTTTCCCCAATACACAGTTGTTGTTAGGCCTTGATGCCTAGTAATCTGCCTCTGTACGCTCTTCCCCTTCCATTTCAGCCCTCCCTACAGGCCTGGTTTTCCTACTCAGTCCTGTCCATGAGATGGAGGTGCTGTAAAGGTTCTTGTAAACATTCGTGTCCCCAGAGGCTCCTCCCCAGCTCTGGGCACACAGACTGTGGACTCAGGCCAACCTGGGCTCCATGCCTGACTCTGCCACTGATTTGCCCAGTGGTTGGACACATGACTTAACTCCTCTGAGCCACAGTTTTCCCATCTGTTAAATTGGAGTGATAATATCTACCTTGTTAGACTGTTGTGAGGATTAAATAAGATAATGAAAATGCCTAGCACTTTGTTTATACCGAGGTAGAAGCTTGATACATAAATGAGAGTGATTTTTATTGTCTTCTCACTGAGCGATTCTTCCATTTCCTCCATCATTATCCAGTTTATTCATGTCTTTTTCACATTTCCTTATCCTGATCCCTTGTCCCATGTTAAATATATTTATAAGACTTTAAGTTTATTTTATTGTCATTAATTTATTTTTACCATTCCCAGTTCCAACATAGTTTGAGATGATTTCCTTTACACATAAGTGCTTAGAACCTGGAAAATTTTTCAGAAAGGGCAAGACTGTTTCTTGTAAAACAGTTTTTCTTTCTTTCTCTTTCTTTCTTTCTTTCTCTTTCTTTCTTTCTTTCTTTCTCTTTCTTTCTTTCTTTCTTTCTTTCTTTCTTTCTTTCTTTCTTTCTCTTTCTTTCTCTTTCTCCTTCCTTCCTTCCTTCTTTCTTTCTTTCTTTTTCTCTTTCTTTTTTTTGACGGAGTCTTGCTCTGTCACACAGGCTGGAGTGCAGTGGTGAGATCTCGGCTCACTGCAACCTCCGCCTCCCAGGTTCAAGCGATTCTCCTGCTTCAGCCTCCCGAGTAGCTGGGACTACAGGTGCGTGCCACTGCCCCCGGCTAATTTTTGTATTTTTAATACAGGCAGGGTTTCACCATGTTGGCCAGGCTGGTCTCGAACTCCTGACCTCAGGTGATCCACCCGCCTTGGCTTCCCAAAGTGCTGGGATTACATGCCCGAGCCACCGCATCCGGCCATAAAACAGTTTTCTAACACGGAGGGCACATTGCTTTTTGTGGGCTATTTGGGAAATGGTTTTGATTGTGGCTCACACTTTTCTTACATCTCTGGTATCCCAGGACCTGTTTTCATTCCCATCTCGGGAATACAGTATGCAGAAGTTAGTTTGGAGACAAGAGTTATAACAGGTCAAACATACAAATTACCCTCGATATATATTCGCTCCCCTAAAGTTGTGAACATTTGTAAGTTGGATAATATAGGCCTGTTGTTTTTCATTCTACCTTTTGGATATATGTTTCCAAGCTTGTGGTGGGGGGGTGGGTAGAAGTGGGGAGAAGGGGTTCCACTTTGTAATCAAAATCACACTTGAATCTTAACATTTATTTCAGAGAATATTCTTCTTTTTTCAACCTTCAATACACAAGTATTTTAATCTCCATTTTGATCTTAAAAGAAGCTAGTCAAATACACACAGATCTCATTTACTTATGTGCTTTCTCAAAGTAAGATGCATATGTATGCATGTAGGTATGTATATATCTATATCTATTTCTATATCTGCATAACTCACATTAATTTGATTTTGTGGAACCTGATTATTTAAAGCAGCCACAGGTTTCTGTTCTAATTCTAGGTATTTAGCAGAACTTTTCCTTATTTAAAAATTTTTTTTGAGACAGGGTCTGTCTCTGTCACCCAGTCTGGAGTGCAGTGGCACGATCTCGACTCACTGCAGCGTCCACCTCACAGGTTCAAGCAATTTTCGTGCCTCAGCCTCCCAAGTAGCTGGGGCCACAGGCCTGTGCCACCATACCTGGCTAATTTTTATATTTGTAGTAGAGACGGGGTTTCACCATGTTGGCCAGACTGGCCTCAACTCCTGACCTCAAGTGATCTGCCCGTCCTGGCCTCCCAAAGTCTTGGGATTACCAGCATGAGCCACTGTACCCGGCCAGGTATTTAGCAGAACTTTTTCAATTGGGTATCCACCTGGATGTTTTAAAAAATTTTCTATAATATTAACTTGCCTAGATTTACTCTTGAAAAGGATTCCCCCATACACCCACATTGCTCAGATAGTCCTGATTTCAAACATTCTGCCCTATAGTCAAACCATGTGCCAAAAGATGTGTTCTGATTTTCGCTTTAGAAAACATGGCTAATGTTTTGAGTTGAACTGTGTGCCACCAATTTCAAATGTTAAAGTCCTAACCCCTAGTACCTCAGAATATGACCTTATTTGGAAATAGGATGGGTACTACTAATTAGTTAATATGCAGTCAAACTGGAGTAGGGTGAGTCACGAATCCAGTATGGCCGGTGTCATTATAAAATGGGAAATGTGGACATCCTCCCTGTCTACTTACACAGGGAGAATGACATGTGAAGATGTGAAGATGAAGGCAGAGATTGGAGCGACGCCTCAAGCCAAGGAGTGTCAGACGTTGCCAGCAAGCCACCAGAAGCTAGGGAAGAGACATGGAACAGATTCTCTCTCATAGCCCTCAAAAGGAACCAACCCTGCTGGCACTTTGATCTCAGACTTCTAGCCTCCAGAAATGTGAGATGATAAATTTCTATTGTTTAAACCACCTGGTTTGTGACACTGGCAGCCCTAGCAGATGAATACAGCCAACATAATTAAGGAACAGAACTAGCCCCCAGTCCTGCAATGTAATCTATTACTTTAATGATCGAATTGGTAGCAGTCAAACCTCAGAAGTCTTTCTTGGTGGAGCCCCCAGTAAATACCTGTATCTCTAGCTGGCACTGAGATTAAGCAATTTTATACAAATGCTGGTTTCAGCAAGGAGCTCCAGTGGAGGTAAAGGAGGATAGTTTCGGAAACAGCCAAGGATTCACCTGACTATAGAGGTTGCTGGGAGGTGGGAGGTTGCGGGGCTCCTTCCCACATGCTTTCATGTTTTCAAAGACTGTTCTTGTAGCACCAGAGACAGGAAGCTCTGTGGAGCCACTCTATCAGCCCTGTAGCCTCCCTGAGCTGGCTTCTCTGGCTCTGGCTCCCTGATCCTCCATCCCCACCTATGCCTCTGCAAGGGACTCAGTGAAGGAGCTATCTCCCTGCTACATTCTGGGAGCTGAGCACTGAAATTTTTAAGGAAATGTGCAAAGTCTGTTTACATACAACATTTATACATTTATTTGGCCAGCCAGTCAATAATTTACTAAGCATTGTCTGTATGCTAGGCCTTGGATTCGGTGCTGAGGACACAAAGTTGGAAAGACACCATCCAGGCCCTCATGAAGCCCTCGTTTTTGTGGCAAGAGAGAGATGCACTGTGCAACAAATGGTATGATGGGTATATTGAAGTTGGAGTACCTGATTGGCTGGCAGAGTCAGAGGGCCTCTTAGAGAAAGTGACCCTTGTGGAGACTTGAAGAGTGAGTAGTTGCTCCTGCAGATAATAGGGGAGAGGGTTTTCAGGACAGCAAGAATAGCATTTCTAGAGTCACAGAGGCGTGTGAGATCAGGACTTGCTCAGGGACTGGAAAGCAAATCAATGCGGTTGGGTGTGAGAGAGATTGGTGATATACCGGCTTGTCCATAAGGTGGGACTGTGTGTGTGATACCATTGATAGAGTTGATCCTTTAGTGGGGAGCCACTGGAGAATTTTGAGCAGTGCAGGCTCAACTACATCTGGCAGCAATGTAGGAGGCTGGGGAGGAGGGCGGAAAGCTACGCATTCTTCCTTGGTGCCTTCCCTCTCACGTTAGCGGAAGGTTGAAATGCATCCTGGATAAAATGCCGAACTTCCAGAATGGGACTACTTAGGCTCACACCCTATCCCCATCACTGGCTTTACTCCCACAAAGTTATGAAACCTAGATATGAAATCAGATGGTATAGTAAGGAAATTTAATTTACCTGCATTCATACTGTATTTTGCGTGGAAAATAAATCAGATTAGGTTCTGGAAATGGTGGAGTTATAAGTTTAGCCTCTATTCCTAGAAATGATTTGTAAGACCATCATCACAAAGCTAATTTGCATGCCCCTTAAACTGTATACAAAATCTTGGCCTTTTACGAATTGGCTTGAATTATTAAAGTGCCCTAGCCTTCCAGAAGGGTCACTCCAGTAATGGTTAACATTTGAGATGTGGGTTTGCCATCTAGTGGGCATTTTTGAATGTGTATGTGTTTTAAATACACATGCATCACACACACACACACACACACACACACACACACACACACACACTCTCAGAGTTTCCATCAGTAGTTCCTAATCTTTCTACCTCATCCCCAGCACTTAAAGGTCAGGATGGTACTTTGGACACATCCGCATTTGTAAAAGTGACTTAGTTTACATGTGGGAGGTATGAGGATGTTTTATGATGTGGGAATACCAGCATCACATGGAGGGTCTCTTCAAACTTTGTGTACTTCACATCTGCCTTTCTTGCTCCCCTGTGGCAATTACTAATCTAGAAAAAAGAGAGAGAGATACTTCACCACTAGAAAGGCACAGTGACTGCTCCATAGCAGATACTCGGTAAAAATTAGCTTCCTTCCTCTTCTCCCTATGACTTCTCTCATAAAAGCTATATTCCAAATTACAGCTTTAATAGTTTTGTGTGCACTTGGTGTGTAAAGCACTTTGTAGGCCCAGTGAATGCAAAGATGAATAAAACCCAGTCCCTATTTCTAAGATGCTTAGAGGAGAGAAACTCGTAGTTTTACAACTATATTCTAGCAGGCTATGTCTCAAATCTTTGACTGTAGTAGATTTTTTAGAAATAAGAATTTGGTTTTTCTTTAGAAGTAATAATACAATGATGCTGGCCTAGCATGGTGGCTGATACCTGTAATCCTAGCACTTTGGAGGCTGAGGCAGGCAGATTGCCTGAGCTTAGGAGTTCGAGACCAGCCTGGGCAACATGGTGAAACCCCATCTCTATTAAAATACAAAAAATTATCCGGGAGTGGTGGCACACACCTGTAGTCCCAGCTACTCAGGAGGCTGAGGCACGAGAATTGCTTGAACCGGGGAGGCAGAGGTTGCAGTGAAGCAAGACTGCACCACTGCACTCCAGCCTGGGTGACAGAGTGAGACTCTGTCTCCAACAAAAACAAACAAACAATAATGCTAGTTTTCCCAGACTAAGAAGAAGCATCCTTGTGATAAGGGATAAAATGAACATCAGGGACAGCTTGATTTATATTTGAAAGGACCGAGACTTAGAAGACAATAGGCCCAGAAAGAGAAGGGAGAGAAGTGGGGAGTAGAGGAAACTAGAGACAGTGTGGGATGCATTCTGTAAAGGTTTGAAGATGGGGGGAGAGAGTTTTAGAAGCAGCTACCATATGGTGTGAGATATTGAGAGGTTGGGCAAGAAGATTTTAAGAGGTTTTGTTATGTATTATAAATGGAATCCCCCTTTGATGCTTTCATGGCACTGAAGTAAAAATTTAAATTGCCTTTCTGTTATTTTTGGATATGGGTTAGTGTTTCTTTGGAAAATAGTACCATGCAGAGACAGGCTATGAAGTGGCTTAGCTTTATCTGGAAAACATAAATGTTCAGACCATAAAACTTTAAAAATAGATACATTATACTTTCCTCATGTGCCTTAAACCTAAAATTAAACAAAACCAAAATGATGAAATTGTATAAGGAATGTCTATTTTAACAGTAATACATGTACTTGGTTAAAAAATTCAAAAGTATAGAATGGCATTAAATGGAAAAAGAAAAACGTTTCCTGCTTTATTCTCCAAACCTCCCTTTCACCCCCATGTCTCACCACCCAAAGGTAACTAGCTTCTAAAGAGTTTGTTTTTAATTCTTTTTTCCCCAATAAGAATTTTTATTATTATATATTTTTTAAATTTTACTTTAAGTTCTGGGATACAAGTGCAGAATGTGCAGGTTTGTTACATAGGTAGACATGTGCCATGGTGGTTGCTGCACCTATCATCTGGTCATCTAGGTTTTAAGCCCCGCATGCATTAGGTATTTGTCCTAATGCTCTCCCTCCCCTAGTCCCCCACCCCTCGATGGGCCCTGGTGTGTGATGTTCCCCTCCCTGTGTCCATGTGTTCTTATTGTTCAGCTCCCACTTATGAGTGGGAACATGGTTTTCTGTTCCTGTGTTAGTTTGCTGAAAATGATGGTTTCCAGCTTCATCCATGTCCCTGCAAAGGACATGAACTCATCCTTTTTTATGGCTGCATAGTATTCCATGTATATGTGCCACATAGTATTCCAGGTACATGTGCCACATACATATACACATGTATATGTGTATATGTGCCACATTTTTTTTATCCAGTCTATCATTGATGGGCATTTGGGTTGGTTCCAAGTCTTTGCTATTGTAAATATGCTGCAATAAACATACATGTGCATGTGTCTTTGTAGTAGAATGATTTATAATCCTTTGGTATATACCCAGTAATGGGATTGCTGGGTCAAATGGTATTTCTGGTTCTATATCCTTGAGGAATCGCCACACTGTCTTCCACAATGGCTGAACTAATTTACACTCCCACTAACAGTGTAAAAGCATTCCTATTTCTCCACAGCCTTGCCAGCATCTGTTGTTTCCTGACTTTTTAATAATCACCATTCTAACTGGTGTGAGACGGTATCTCATTGTGGTTTTGATTTGCATTTCTCTAATGACCAGTGATGATGAGCTGTTTTTCACGTTTGTTGGCCACGTAAATGTCTTCTTTTGAGAAGAGTCTGTTCATATCCTTTGCCCACTTTTTGATGGGGTTGTTTTCTTCTTGTAAATTTGTTTAAGTCCCTTTTAGATTCTGGATATTAGCCCTTTATGAGATGGGTAGCTTGCAAAATTTTTTTCCCATTCTGTAGGTTGCCTGTTCACTCTGATGATGGTTTCTTTTGCTGTACAGAAGTTCTTTAGTTTGATTAGATCCCATTTGTCAATTTTGGCTTTTGTTGCAATTGCTTTTGGTGTTTTAGTCATAAAGTCTTTGCCCATGCCTATGACCTGAATGGTATTGCCTAGGTTTTCTTCTAGGGTTTTTATAATTTTTGGTTTTCTGTTTAAGTCTTTAATCCATCTTGAGTTAATTTTTGTATGAGGTGTAAGGAAGGGTAAGGTGTAAGGAAGTTTCTGTTTCTGCATATGGCTAGCCAGTTTTGCCAGCACCATTCATTAAATAGGGAATCCTTTCCCAGTTGTTTGTGTGTGTCAGATTTGTCAAAGATCAGATGGTTGTAGATGTGTGGTGTTATCTCTGAGGTCTTTGTTCTGTTCCATTGGTCTATATATCTGTTTTGGTACCAGTAGCATGCTGTTTTGGTTACTGTAGCTTTGTAGTACAGTTTGAAATCAGGTAGCGTGATGCCTCCAGCTTTGTTCTTTTTGCTTAGGATTGTCTTGGCTATATGGGCTCTTTTTTGGTTCCAAATGACATTTAAAGTGTTTTTTTTTTCTAATTCTGTGAAGAAAGTCAATGGTAGCTTTACGGGAATAGCATTGAATCTATAAATTACTTTGGGCAGGATGGCCATTTTCATGATATTGATTCTTCCTATCCATTAGCATGGAATTTTTTTCCATTTGTGCCCTCTCTTATTTCCTTGAGCAGTGGTTTGTAGTTCTTCTTGAAGAGGTCCTTCACATCCCTTGTAAGTTGTGTTCCTAGGTATTTTATTCTCTTTGTAGCAATTGTGAATGGGAGTTCACTCATGATTTGGCTCTCTGTTTGTCTGTTATTGGTGTATAGGAATGCTTGTGATTTTTGCACATTGATTTTGTATCTTGAGACTTTGCTGAAGTTGCTTATCAGCTTAAGGAGTTTTTGGGCTGAAACAATGGGGTTTTCTAAATACACAATCACATCATCTGCAAACAGAGACAATTTGACTTCCTCTCTTCCTATTTGAATACGCTTTATTTCTTTCTCTTGCCTGATTGCCCTGGACAGAGCTTCCAATACTATGTTTAATAGGAGTGGTGAGAGAGGGCATCCTTGTCTTGTGCCGATTTTCAAAGGGAATGCTTTCAGCTTTTGCCTATTCAGTATGATGTTGGCTATGGGTTTGTCATAAATAGCTCTTATTATTTTGAGATACATTCAATCAATACCTAGTTTATTGAGTGTTTTTAGCATGAAGGGGTGTTGAATTTTATTGAAGGCCTTTTTGGCATCTATTGAGATAATCATGTGGGTTTTGTCATTGGTTCTGTTTATGTGATGGATTACATTTATTGATTTGCATATGTTGAACCAGCCTTGCATCCCAGGATGAAGCTGACTTGATCGTGGGGGATAAGCTTTTTGATGTGCTGCTGGATTCAGTTTGCCAATATTTTATTGAAGATTTTCGCATCAATATTCATCAGGGATATTGGCCTGAAATTTTTTTTGTTGTGTCTCTGCCAGGTTTTCGTATCAGGATGATGCTGGCTTCATAAAATGAGTTAGGGAGGAGTCCCTCTTTTTCATTGTTTGGAGTAGTTTCAGAACGAATGGTACCAACTATTCTTCGTACCTCTGGTAGAATTTGGCTGTGAATCCGTCTGGTCCTGGGCTTTTTTTTTTTTGGTTTGTAGGCTATTAATTACTGCCTTAATTTCAGAACTTGTTATTGGTCTATTCAGGGATTTGACTTCTTCCTGGTTTAGTCTTGGGAGGTGTATGTGTCCAGGAATTTATCAATTTCTTGTAGATTTTCTAGTTTATTTGCATAGACGTGTTTATAGTATTCTCTGATGGTAGCTTGTATTTCTTTGGGATTGGTGGTGATATCCCCTTTATCATTTTTTATTGTGCCTATTTGATTTTTCTCTCTTTTCTTCTTTATTAGTCTAGCTAGTGGTCTATCTATTTTGCTGACCTTTTCAAAAAACCAGCTCCTGGATTCATTGATTTTATGAAGGGTTTTTCATGTCTCTTTCTCCTTCAATTCTGCTCTGATGTCAGTTATTTCTTGTCTTGTGCTAGCTTTGAATTTGTTTGCTCTTGCTTCTCTAGTTCTTTTAATTGTGATGTTAGGGTGTCGATTTTACATCTTTCCACTTCCTCCTGTGGGCATTTAGTGCTATAAATTTCCCTCTAAACACTGCTTTAGCTGTATCCCAGAGATGCTGGTACGTTTGTTTTTGTTCTCATTGGTTTCAAAGAACTTCTTTATTTGTGCCTTAATTTTGTTATTTACCTAGTAGTCATTGTGGAGCAGGTTGTTCAGTTTCCACGTAGTTGTGCAGTTTTGAGTGAGTTTCTTAATCCTGAGTTCTAATTTGGTTGCACTGTGGTCTGAGAGACAGTTTGTTATGATTTCTGTTCTTTTGCATTTGCTGAGGAGTGTTTTACTTCCAATTATGTGGTTGATTTTAGAATAAGTTATGTGCTGCTGAGAAGAATGTATATTCTGTTGATTTGGGGTGGAGAGTTCTGTAGATGTCTATTATTTCTGCTTGGTCCAGAGCTGAGTTCAAGTCCTGAATATCCTTGTTAATTTTCTGTCTTGTTGATGTGTCTAATATTAGCAGAGGGGTGTTAAAGTCTCCCACTATTATTGTGTGGGAGTCTAAGTCTCTTTGTAGGTCTCTAAGAACTTGTTTTATGAATCTGGGTGCTCCTGTATTGGCTGCATATATATTTAGGATAGTTAGCTCTTCTTGTTGAATTGATCCCTTTACCATTATGTAATTCCTTTCTTTGTCTTTTTTGATCCTTGTTTGTTTAAAGTCTATTTTATCAGAGACTAGGATTGCAACTGCTGCTTTTTTTTTGTTTTGCTTTCCATTTGCTTGATAAATGTTTCTGCATCCCTTTATTTTAAGCCTATGTGTGTCTTTGCACATGAGATGTGTCTCCTGAATACAGCACACTGATGGCTCTTGACTCTTTATCCAATTTGCCTGTCTGTGTCTTTTAATTGGGGCATTTAGTCCATTTACATTTAAGGTTAATATTGTTATGTGTGAATTTGATCCTGTTATCAAGATGGTAGCTGGTTATTTTGCACATTAGATGATGCAGTTTCTTCATGGTGTCATTGGTCTTTATATTTTGCTGTGTTTTTGCAGTGGCTGGTACAGGATTTTCCTTTCCATATTTAGTGCTTCCTTCAGGAGCTCTTGTAAGGCAGGCCTGGTGGTGACAAAATCCCTCAGCATTTGCTTGTCTGTAAAGGATTTTAATTCTCCTTCGCTTATGAAGCTTAGTTTGGCTGGATATGAAATTCTGGGTTGAAAGTTTCTTTCTTTAAGAATGTTGAATATTGGCGCCCACTCTCTTCTGGCTTGTAGGGTTTCTGCAGAGAGATCTGCTGTTAGTCTAATGGGCTTCCCTTTGTAGGTAACCTGACCTTTCTCTCTGGCTGCCCTTAACATTTTTTCCTTCGTTACAACCTTGGAGAATCTAATGATTATGTGTCTTGGGGTTGCTCTTCTCAAGGAGTATCTTAGTGGTATTCTCTGTTTTTCCTGAATTTGAATGTTGGCCTGTCTTGCTAGGTTGGGGAAGTTCTCCTGGATAATATCCTGAAGTGTGCTTTCCAACTTGGTTCCAATCTCCCTGTCACTTTCAGGTATACCTATCAGTCATACGTTTAGTCTTTTCACATAGTCCCATATTTTTGGAGGCTTTGTTTGTTCCTTTCTTTTTTCTCTAATCTTGTTTTCATGCCTTATTTCATTAAGTTGATCTTCAGTCTCTGATATCCTTTCTTCTGCTTGATTGATTTGGCTATTGATAACTTGTGTATGCTTCATGAAGTTCTCATGCTGTGTTTTTCAGCTCCATCAAGTCATTTATGTTCTTCTCTAAACTGGTTATTTTAGCTAGCAGTTCCTGTAACCTTTTATCAAGGTTCTTAGCTTCCTTGCATTGGGTTAGAACATGCTGCTTTACCGCAGAGAAGTTTGTTATTACCCACCTTCTGAAGCCTACTTCTGTCGATTCATCAAACTCATTCTTAGTCCAGTTTTGTGCCCTTGCTGGAGAGGGGTTGCAATCATTTGGAAGAGAAGAAGCATTCTGGGTTTTGGGATTTTCAGCATTTTTTGTGCTGCTTTTTCCTCATCTTTGTGGATTTATCTACCTTTGTTCTTTGAGGCTGATGACCTTTTGGTGGGGTTTTTGTGTGGCTGTCCTTTTTGTTGATGTTGATGTTATTACTTTCTGTTTGTTAGTTTTTCTTCTAACAGTCAGGCCCCTCTTCTACAGGTGTGCTGCAGTTTGCTGGGGGTCCACTCCAGACCCTGTTTGCCTAGGTATCACCAGCGGAGGCTGCTGAACAGCAAAGATTGTTGCCTGATCCTTAATCTGGAAGTTTCATCCCAGAGGGGCACCAGCCTGATGCCAGCCAGAGTTCTCCTGTATGATGTGCCTGTCAACCCCTGCTGGGAGCTCTCTCCCAGTCAGGAGGCACAGGGGTCAGAGACCCACCTGAGGAGGCAGTCTGTCTCTTAGCAGAGCTGGTGTGCTGTGCTGGGAGAATCCCTTTTCTTAGGATCAGCTGGTCTCTTCAGAGCTGGCAAGCAAGAATGATTAAATCTGCTGAAAGTGCGCCCACAGCACCCCTTTCCCCAGGTGCTCTGTCCCAGGGAGATGGGAGTTTTATCTCCAAGCTCCTGACTGGGGCTGCTGCCTTTCTTTCAGAGATGCCCTGCACAGTGAGGAGGAATCTAGGGAGGTAGTCTGGACACAGCCGCTTTGCTGTGCTGTGGTGAGTTCCTCCCAGTCTGAACTTCTGGGCCTCCTTAGCACTGTCAGGGCAAAACCGCCTACTCAAGCCTCAGTAGTGGTGGATGCCCCGCCCCCACCTGCGATTGTCCCAGGTCAAGTTCAGACTGCTGTGCTGGCAGCGAGAATTTCAAGCCGGTGGTTCTTAGCTTGGTGGGCTCTGTGGGAGTTGGACCCACTGAGCGAGACCACTTGGCTCCCTAGCTTCAGCCCCTTTTCTAGGGGAGTGAACGGTTCTGTCTTGCTGGGGTTCCAGGTGGTACAACTCCTGCAGCTACCTTGATGCCTGCCCAAACAGCCGCCCAGTCTTGTGCTTGAAACCCGGGGCCCTGGTGGTGTAGGCACATGAGGGAATCTTCTGGTCTGCAGGTCGCAAAAACCTTGGGAAAAGCATAGTACATGGGCTGGATAGCACAGTCCCTCATGGCTTTCTTTGGCTGGAGGAGGGAGGCCCCCCAGCTCCTTGCACTTCCCTGGTGAGGCGACACTTGAACCTGCTTCTGCTCGCCCTCCATGTGCTGCACCTACTGCCTAATCAGTGCCATAATTTGTTTAAGTGGGCCTACTGATGGCCGTTAGTCAGTTTCTGATTTTGCTATGACAAATTGATGCTTCATTGACTATCCATAGACACATATGCTTGAATATCTGTAGAAAAAAAAATCTACAGAAGAATTGTTGGGTCAGAGGCAATGTACATTATTTTACTTTATTTTTATTTATTTATTTTAATTTTTAATTTTTGTGGGTATATATAATAGGTATATATATTTATGGGGTGCGGTGTGCATTTTTTTTTTGAGACAGAGTTTTGCTCTTGTCACCCAGGCTGGAGTGCAATGGGACGATCTTGGCTCACTGCAACCTCTGCCTCCCGGGTTCAAGCAATTCTCCTGCTTCAGCCTCCCAAGTAGCTCGGATTACAGGTGCATGCCACCACGCCTGGCTAATTTTTTTTTTGTATTTTTACTAGAGACAGAGTTTCACCATGTTGGCCAGGCTGGTCTTGAACTCCTGACCTCAGGTGATCTGCCCACCTTGGCTTCCCAAAGTGCTGGGATTACAGGCATGAGCCACCATACCCAGCCACAATGTGCTTTTTAAAAGTTTAATAATATTGACAAATTGTCCTTGACAAAAGTTAAACTAATTTACATTCTCACTAGCTGTCTAAAAGATTGCCTGTTGTTCCACACCAACATCAATACAAGTTTAAAAAAATCTGTGTCTCTGATTCTCTCAGTGTAGTTTTAACTGACGTTTGAATTGTATTAATTTTAGTAGAAAAGAGAGTGAGCTTCTTTTCATAAAATAAAGATGTTTTTACATTTCCTTATCTGTGATTATCCCTTCAGATATTTTGCCCATTTTACTACTGGTTAATTGATCTTTCTTGCTGACTTCATGCTATTGTAAGTGCCAATATGTAGAAATTCAATTTGCTTTTTTATATTGATCTTGTTCCATCAATCTCACTAACCTTACTTATTAGTACTAGTAGCTTTTTTGTGTACACTGTTGGAATTTCTACAGAGACAATGGTGCCATCAATTAATACAGTTTTTCTCTTCCTTTCTAATCAGGATTCTTCTAATTTTTTTAAAACTATGGTTTTATATGGATTTTCTTTTTAGTTTACAAATATGATGAATGACATTTATTGATTTGTGGGTATTAAACCAATACTTATTCCTGGAATGGATCTTACCTAGTCGTGATGTATTATTCTTTTTATACATTGTTGGATTTGTTACAATTGTCTTTAGAAATTTTGCACCTATGTATAATGTTGGATAGAAGTAGTGACAGAAGACATCCCTGTCTTGTTAATGATCTTAGTACAAAAGCAGTCTTTCATCATTCAGTATGATGTTAGTTACAGATTTTTATAAGTGCCTTTTATCAGGTTGAGGAAGTTCTCTCACATTCCTAATTTGCTGAGAATTTTTATCAGAAAAAGGAAATTGGATTTTGTGAAATACATTTTCTATATCTATTTAGATGATCATATGATTTTTTGTTTGTTTATATAATGAATTACATTGAATAAATTTTGAGTGTTAAACTAATCCTGCATTTTTGAGATGAACCCCACTTGGTCATGCTTTGTAGTATCCTTTTTATAGTATTGGATTCAATCTACTAAATTTTTGTTTTGAATTTTTATATGTATGTACAAGAAAGATATTGGTCTTTAGTTTTCATTTCTTATAATGTTTTTGACTGGCTTTGGTATCAGGATAATGTTGGGCTCAGAGTGAGTTGGGAAGTATTTTCTTCTCTTTAACTTTTTTGGAAAAGTTTGTGTAAAATTAGTATTATTTCTTCTTTTAAAATTTATTTTTATTTTTACTTTCTTAGAGATAGAGTCTTGCTCTGCTGCCCAGGCTGGAGTGCAGTGGTGCAATCATAGCTCACTATAACCTTGAACTCCTGGACTCAAGCCATCCTTCCACTTCAACTTCCCAAATTCCGGGAACCACAGGTGTAAGACACCATGCCTGGGTATTTCTTCTTTAACTGTTTGTGGAATTCACTAGCTATCTGGGACCTGGAGTTTTCTTTGTGGGAAGGCTTTTACCTATAATTTAAATTTCCTTAAGAGAGATATAGAGCTGTTTAGGTTGTCTATTTCTTCTTCCTCATCTTCTTCTCTTCTTTTTTTTTTTTTTTTTTTCTGAGACAGAGTCTCACTCTGTTGCCCAGGCTGGAATACAGTGGCATGATCTCAATCTCAGCTCACTGCAACCTCCGCCTCCCAGGTTCAAGCAATTTTCCTGTCTCAGCCTCTTGAATAGCTGGGATTACAGGCGCGTGCCACCACGCCTGGCTAGTTTTTGTATTTTTATTAGAGATGGGATTTCGCCATGTTGGCCAGGCTGGACTCAAACTCCTGACCTCAGGCGATCCACCTGCCTCAGCCTCCCAAAGTGCTGGGATTACAGGCATGAGCCACCGTGCTCAGCCTATTTCTTCTTGAGTGAACTTCAATAATTTATATCTTTCAAGAATGTGTCCATTTTATCCAAATTATGGAATTCACTGGCATAAAATTATTCATAATTCTCTTATCTTTTTAGTATCTGTAGAAGCTATAGTGATGTTGCTTCTCTCATTCCTGATATGAGTAATTTGTGTATTTTCTCTTTTGTCCTGATCAGTCCTTTAAGAGCTTAATATATTTATTGATCCTCTCAAGAACCAGATTTTCTCTTCTCTTTTCTTCTCCTCTCTTCTCTTCTTTTTGAGATAGGATCTGGCTCTTTTGCCCAGACTGGAGTGCAGTGGTATGATCTCGGCTCACTGCAACCTCCAACTTCTGGATTCAAGCCATCCTCCCACCTCAGCCTCTTGAGTAGCTGGGACTACAGGTGTGCACCACCACACCCAACTAATTTTTGTATTTTTTGTAGACACAGGGTTTCACAATGTTGCCTAAGTTGGTCTCGAACTCCTGCGCTCAAGCAATCTGCCTGCTTTGGCCTCCCAAAATGTTGGGATTACAGGCATGAGCCACCGTGCCCTGCCTTTTTTGATTTCTTCTATTGAGTTTCTCTTTTCTATTTCATTAATTTCTACTTTGATCTTTATTACTTCCTTCCTTCTGCTTACTTCATGTCTAATTTGGTCTTCTCTTTCTAATTTTGTATAGTAGACACTGAGATCATTGCTTTGAGAACTTTTTTCTTTTCTAACATAGACATTTAATGCTATAAATTTTCTCTTAGAGACTGCTTTAGTGGCATCTACAATTTCTGATATATTGTGTTTTCACTTTCATTCAGTTCAAAATATTTTTTGATTTCTCTTTTGAGTTCTTTCATCTCTGGGTTACTTAGAAGGGTGTTGTTTTGTTGTTAAATATTTGTGGATTTTCCAAAGATATTTCTATTATTGATTTCTAATTTAATTCCTCTGTGGTCAGAGGATATACTTTGTAAAACTTTAATTCCTTTGAATTTATTGAATCTTGTTTTGTAACCCAGAAGAGTTCTCTGTGCACTTGAGAAAAGTGTGTATTCTGCTATTTCTGGGTACAGTATTATAAAATTGTCAATCAGGTCAAGTGTTAATAGTATTGTTCAAATCTTCTATAATCTCACTTATTTTCTTTATACTTACTCTAGCAACTATTGAAATAGGTATGTTGAAATCTCTAACTATAATTGTGCATTTGTCTATTTCCTTGTGTAGTTCTAATAGTTTTTACTTTATGTATATTGAAGCTTTGTTATTAGGCTCATAAGTGTCTAGGATTATTATTTCCTCTTGATAAATTTACCTCTTATCATTATAAAATGATTTTTATCCTTGACAATATTGTTTGCTCTGCAATTTATTTTGTCTGATTTTAAAGTAGCCTGTCTTGTTTCTTTTGACTAGTGTTAGCATTGTATAGCCCTTTCCATTCTTTTAATCTATTTATTATATTACTTTTATATTTATAGTATGCTTTTGTAGGCAGCATACAGTTGGGTCTTTTTTAATCTAATCTGACAATCTCTGCCTTTTAATCAGGGTGTTTACACTATTTACATTAATTTGATTATTAATGTTAGGTTTGACATGTCATCCTGCTATTTGTTTTCTATTTGTCCCATCTGTTATTTGTTCCAGTTTTTCTCTTTTGCTACCTTCTTTTGAACTAATCAATTTTTAAATGATTTTGTTTTATCCCTTTCATTGCCACATTAGCTATAATTATTTATTTTGTTTTTTTTAGTGGTGCTCAAGGGTTTATAGTATATAGGCATATATCATTTTATTGCACTTTGCTTTATTGCATGTCACAGATATTGTGGTTTTTTTTTTATTTTTTTGAGACCAAGTCTTGCTCTGTTGCCCAGGCTGGAGTGCAATGGTGTGATCTTGGCTCACTGCAACCTCTGCCTGCCGGGTTCAAGTGATTCTCCTGCCTCAGCCTCCCGAGTAGGAGTAGCTGGGATTACAGGTGCCTGCCATCACACCCGGCTAATTTTTGTATTTTTAGTAGAGACAGGGTTTCTCCATGTTGGCCAGGCTGGTCTTGAACTCCTGACCTCAGGTGATCTGCCCTCCTCGGCCTCCCAAAGTGTGCTGGGATTACAGACATGAGCCACTGTGCTTATCCGATACTGTGTTTTTTGTTTTTGTTTGTGGTAAACCTGTACCAAGCAAATTTATTGGCACCATTTTCCCTACAGCATGTGCTCAGCTCACTCCACTAGCATTTTTAGCAATAAAGTATTTTAAAATTAAGGTATGTACATTGTTTCATTAGACATAATGCTATTGCACGCTTAACAGACTATGGTATAGTATAAACATACCTTTTCATATGCACTGAAAAACAAAAGAAATTGTGTGACATACTTTATTGCAATATTTGCTTTATTGCAGTGGTCTGGAACTGAATCTGCAGTATGTCTGAGGTATGCCTGTACATGTTTATCTATCACAGTCTACCTTAAAGTTGTATTATACTCACATTGTGTAAAACCTTCCCATGTAGTATAGGAATCTTACAATAGTATACTTCCATTTCTTCTCTTTTGGCATGTATGTTATTGTTGTCATGGATCTTTTCATCTCTACAAGTTCAATTTGGGTTTTTCTTTACACTTAAATGTTTCTAACTTTTTGAATATATGAAATACAATGAAATTAACTGTCTTACTGTCCTCTGTGAATTCTAACATCTACGTCAGCTCTGGGTTGCTTTCAATTGATTATTGTCTTCACTATTGATTATGTTTTCCTGTCTCTTTGTGTGCCTGGTAATCTTTGAATGCTAGATATTGTGAATTTTATCTTGTGTGCTAGATATTATTGCATTTATATAAATCTTCTTGAGCTTTGTTCTGGGAGACACTTAAATTACTTGGATAAAGTTTTATCCTTTTGGGTCTTTTTTTTTTTTTTTTTTTTTTTAGACAGAGTCTCACTCTGTCACCCAGACTGGAGTGCAGTGGCACGATCTTGGCTCACTGCAAGCTCCGCCTCAGCCACCCAAGTAGCTGAGACTACAGGCATGTGCCACCACGCCTGGCTAATTTTTTGTATTTTTAGTAGAGACGGGGTTTCACCATGTTAGCCAGGATGGTCTCGATCTCCTGACCTTGTGATCCGCCCGCCTTGGCCTCCCAAAGTGCTGAGATTACAGGCGTGAGCCACCGCACCCAGCCTCTTTTGGGCCTTGTTTTGATACTATGTTAGGCAGGTCTGGACTATTGCTCAGCGTAGGGATTATTCTTCTTTGTTACTGAGGCAAGACTATCCTCAGTACTCCACCTAATGCCTTGTCAATTATGAGTTTTTCCTGTCTAGTTCCTGGAAGCACATTATCCTCAGGCCAGTGTGAGTGACAGGAACTGTTCCCACTAATCTTTACATATGTATATTTCCTGGCCTGGGGTGTTTTCCTTACATGCAGGCATTGATCTTGCATATTTGGGGGCGACTCCCTGAAGATCTCCAGGATTCTGTCTGTGTGCATCTGTCTTATCTCTGGTATTCTGTCCTATGAACTGTAGCTGCCTAGGTCTCTTGGACTCCAGGGTTTGTCTCTTCAATTCAGGGAGTCTGCTAGGCTCTGCCTCAATTTTCCCTCCCTCTGTCACAGTTTGGAAACTCCTTTGAGGTAGTAAGATGAAGCAACTGTAGGACTCAACTTGTTTGTTTCCTGTCTCTCAGAAATCAGTGTTCTTTGTTGCCTGATATCAAATGTTTTGAACATTGTTTTATATGCTTTGTCTGTTTTTTTTTTTTTTTTTTTAGATGCTTCAGGTGGGATGGTAAATCTGTTTCCTGCTACTTCATCATGGCCAGAAGGGGAAGTCTAGTCATCGCTTTTTCTCTTTGAGATTGAATATTTTCTCTTTTTCATTTCAGCTTTTTATTTTGAAAAGTTTCAAGTCTTTGAAAAGTTGTAAAAATTATCAAGGAATGCCTGTATGCATTTTCTCTAGATTCACCAATCGTTAACATTTTTCTATGTTTGTGTGCTCTCTCTCTATCCCTCTCCTCCCCATTTCTCTCTTTCTCTCTTTCACACACATTAGCTAAATCATTTGAGAGTAAATTGCAGACATTATGATATTTCATCATTAAATAACTCTTAAGAACAAAGTAATTTTCCTATATAACCACAATATAATGATGAATTTCAGGAAATTTAACATCGAGAGAATATTATCTAATATATATCTAATATATGTTCTGCTTTGATTGTCTATTGCTGTGTATCAGATGATCTCAAAACTTAGAGGATTAAAACAACTTACTATTCCTGTATCATGATTCTGCAGGTCAGGGGAATTCAGATATGGCACCCTGGGAAGGGCTCTTCTCCACTGTATGATGGCTGCAACCTTAGCTGTGGTGACTCAGTGGCTGGGGGCTGGAATCGCTGGGAGGTGGCTGAATATCTTTTTTTTTTTTTTCCACATGGCTTCTCCACCTGGCTAGTTTGGGCTTTCCACAGCACGGCACCTTCAGGATAGTGGAACTTCCAACATGGTGGCTCAAGGTTCCAAGCATGAATGCTTCTAGGGGTCATTAATAATACAAATTGGCATCCCACACAAGGTGATGCTCTGAGGGCATAACATTACCTTTATCATATTCTTGCCCAAAATACGTAATTGGTATTTAATCATGAGAAACAATCAGATGAGTCAAAATTAGGAAACATTCTATGAAACACCTGACCTGTATACTTTAAAAATGTCAGTGTCCTTAAAGACGAGGAAAATGACAAACTGTTTCAGATTAAACGAGACTGTATCTATGTGCTAGTGTGTTGGCATAACAAAATGCCACAGACTGGGTGGCTTAAACAACAGATATTTATTTTCTGACAAATTTGGAAGCTGGAAGTCCAAGTTGAAGACATCAACAGGTTTGGTTTCTTCCATACTCTTTCCTCCACTTGCAGGCAGCCACCCTCTTGCTGAGGTCCTCACACAGCCATGTGGTCATCCCTCTGTGTTATCTGTGTCCTAATCTCCTCCTCTTATAAAGTCACCAGTCATGCTGGATTAAGGCTCATATTTATGACCCGATTTTAACTTAATTACCTTTATAAAGACCCGGTCTTAAAGTTTAGTCACATTCTGAGGTACTAGGTGTTAGTTAGAGCTTCAGCATGAATTGTGGGGGCCGGGAACAGCAGATGAGGGACACAATTCAGAATTCAGCCCGTGACAGAGACTAAAGGGACTTCTTTATGTGTGGTCCTGGATTGGAAATAAAGTTGCTATAAAGTATATTATCAAGGAAATTGGAAATGAATATGTACAGTATGGTAGATTTAAAATAGCCTCAATTTTTTGGCATTCCTTTCACTCAGGAATGGGGGTATATTTCCCCTCCTTTTAAATCTTGACTGGTCTGTGACTGATTTGACAAATGGAGTAGAGTGGAAGTGAAGCTATGCCAGTTCTGAGCCCAGCCTTTACAAGGCTGATTCTGCTTCCTCTTTCACTATACATTTGTCAAACAGTCACAGACTACCGGCCAAGATTTAAAGGGAAGGGAAATCTGTCCCCATTCCTCAGTGAGAGGAATGTTAAATAATTTGAGGCTGTTTTTAATCTACCACACAGTATGTAGTTATTTCCAGTTCTCAATAATGTACTTTATAATAACTTTTTTTTTCCAAATCCAAGACCAGGTATCAAATTTAGATGTAAAATCTCCTTAGTCTCCTGTAATCTGAAACTGTTCCTCATGTTTCCATGTCTTTTATGACACTGACATTTTTGAAGTGTATGGGATAGTTGTTTCATAGAATGTTCCTTAATTTGAGCTTGTCTGTTTCCTCATTAAAGGTATGCATTTTTGGCAGGAGTACAATAAAATAATGTTATATCCTCAAAGTATCATCTCATGTGTGATGTGATGTCAATTTCTACTTTGGGTGAAATTAACTTTAGTGCTTGGTTAAGGTGGTATCTGCCAGTTTTCTCTGAAGGAAAGGTCCCTGTTTCCCTTTGTGATTGGTAAGTAATCTCTAGGGAAATATTTTTTTTCTTTAAAAATTTCAAGAAAAAAAAAAGCTCTTCTGTATTCTGTGCCAGGCAATTCCAATATCTGTTGTCTGTTAAATTAAATTTGGCCTTGAGGCTGTCTTTATATTTTGAATCTTTTTGGAAAATGAAAAGAGAAAGCTCGTTTTAAAAAAGAAAAGAACAACAACCAAAACATATTTTGAGTCCTTGCATAACAAACTGCAACCTAATTTAGTATGTAAACAAACTGAAACCTAACTTAGAAGCACATTTTTCATATAAGATAGCTGTTTCTCAGCCAATCAGAAGCAGCTGAGCTTCAGACAATCACAGGCTGCCAACTGTGCAGACCATGTCCAAATAAGGCAAGTGTCTAGCTATAACCAATCAAGCTATTTCTGAACTTTACTTCCCTGTTCTGTCTATAAATACTCACTGCCCCCCTTCAGAGTGGAGCTCTCTGAACCTTTTCTGGTCCTGAGAGCTGCCTGATGCATAAATTGTTCTTTTCTGAAACAAACTGTTAAATTTACTTTGTTGAAAGTTTTTATTTGAACAGATCTGGTGTTGTTAAGGGAGGAGACCACCCCTCATATTGTCTTATGCCCAATTTCTGCCTCTAAAGGAAGAAGAAATGAAAACTAAAAGGCAGAAATGAAATCCACAGGCAGACAGCCCAATGCCGCGCCCTGGGCCTGGTAGGTAAAGATCAACCTCGACCTAACCGGTTATGCTATATATAGATTCCAGACATTGTTTGGAAAAGCACTGTGAAAATCCCTGCCCTGTTCTGTTCCATGCTGATTACCGGTACATGCAGCCCCCAGTCATGTACTGCCTGCTTGCTCAATCGATCATGACCCTCTCACGCAGACCCCCTTAGAGTTGTGAGCCCTTAAAAGGGACAGGAATTGCTCACTTGGAGAGCTCGGTTTTTGAGACCTGAGTCTTGCTGACACTCCTGGCCAAATAAAGCCCCTCCTTCTTTAACTCAGTGTCTGAGAGGTTTTGTCTGCGGCTTGTCCTGCTACATTGTAAGTGAGATCCAAAGGTGCCCTCCTGATGACGACCTTTAGGAGCAATGAGCAAACAGCTGTAGGTATCTTCCTAAACCCCTTATGCTCACTGTTTCTCACTGCACATTTGGAGGTTGTCATCAGCAAGTCCCAATTGAATATGAGCTCCATAACTTGTGTTGTGATCCCTGAGTTTATCTGAGCATCTTAAATCCAGACTGGGTTCACAAGTTGGACTGGGTTTTGTGTCAGATTGGATTCAACAGAAACTGGGCTGGGTTCCATAAAAGGCCTCTGGTACATAAGGTTACAAGAAGACCGGCAATAATGGGTTCATCTGAATCCAAGGTTCCTGGGGCTTCTCCATTTTGAAACCTGTGCTTTTCTAGAGAAATGAGTCAACCTTGTCTAAAATAATTTAGAATTGTACATTGACTGACTTAACTCTGATTGCACTTCTCTCTTTCTCTTTATTTTCCTCAGCATACTCTGAACCTTCGAAACTTTTCACTCTGTTAACTTCTCATCCCAAAGGGAAAAATAAAACCAGAAAAATGCCTTATAAATTTAGGCCCTCAGATCAACCATGTCTACTGCTTTAACCACCTTTATCCCTTGTTCAAAATCTGGAGTTCTGAGCAATATTGAAATATTTCTGTGTTCCAAAGGAAAACTCCTAGAAATTTGCTAAGAAATTTAGAATTCTAATTGGAGCATCTCATCCAGAACTCCTTGATCTTTACTAATTTATACACATGACGTGGGGACCTGAAGAAGCCCATAAATGGAGGGCTGAGGCCAAATGAGAGGTACCCAAGGAAGATATCAAAGACTCAACTCCTGTTTCTTTTAGGGATGGACCAAAGAGACTAGGAAAATAGCAGATGATCTCTTAGAATTCATCCCTAAAGTATTTTCTGAAAAACAAAAAAATAAAAACAAAAAGACACAAAATCAGACTGATCTGTTTTTGAATCTTATAAAGAGAAAAAAAGAATGAACCAATCTGACTCAATAATCTAGTTAAAAAACAGAAACTGGGTTGGGAAGCTGCCTATCTAGCTGGATTGGTCTCCAAAATACTCATTTCTGGCATTCAGCTGGTTATTTTGAGACTCTTTTGTAAGATAAATTTACATCTATAAAGGAAATTTCAGTTTTTAAGTTTGTCTCTCTTTCCGCACCAGGAGAGAAAGAGGACTGAATCATAGGAAACTCTTTTAATGGGGAAGGAATCTGGTTTAAATGTACATAACAAACGTTACCTTTGTTTAAGGTACTTTTCACCTTTTTTTGTTTTGGAAAATGATGGTTTTCAGCCTGAAGCATGTGCCTTTGAGATGCCAATTTTCTTTTCTTTTTCTTCTTCTTCTTCTTCTTTTTTTTTTGAGACCAAGTCTTGCTCTTATTGCCTAGGCTGGAGCGCAATGGCACGATCTCGGCTCACTGTAACTTCTGCCTCCCAGGTTCAAGTAATTCTCCTGCCTCAGCCTCCTGAGGAGCTGGGATTACAGGTGCCCGGCACCACGCCTGGCTAATTTTTGTATTTTTAATAGAGACCGGGTTTTGCCATGTTGGCCAGGCCGGTCTCAAACTCCTGACCTCGTGATCCACCTGCCTCGGCCTCCCAAAGTGCTGGGATTACAGGCGTGAGCCACCGCGCCCGGCGGAGATGTCAATTTTCTACCTCATCTTACCTGAGAGCCCTCCCTTTGAAAATGCAAATTTAGGGGAGATGACTCTGGGGAAGAAGAAAAAGCAAAATGAGAAAAAAGGGAAATCTGAAAATCGCTGAATAAAAAAATGTTAAAAGTCTTTTTTCCTCTCACAAATATTAGTAAAAAGTTTTGGCCATCGATGTGGATAATCTTGCTCCACTGGCTGGAAACCTAATTTTTTGTGATCTAAGTATTCTTTTATAAACTAGTGAGTTTTGTATTGCTGTGCCTGTCACATGGCTAAAATTTCAGACAAAAACCTGTCAGATCTGCTTCTGCCTGTATGTTTATGTAAGTCTTTATATGTATGTATGTGTAATATTTTTCTCCCTCCAGATGGTATTGCTACAAATCATTTATTATTAAAGTAATTAAATTTTATAAATTTATCAAATTTATTAATTAAAGAAACAATATTATTAAATTAATTATAATTTAATTTGCCTAAATAATAAGCAGTAATATAAATTAAGTATTCCTAAAACTCTTAGAAGTATAGGAACTAACCCAGATGTTTACAAATACAGAACTGTGAGTTCAACCTACGAACAAATGTCCAAATGGAAATACAGTGTCCATTACTCCGTATATATCAAGCACAGCAGTAAAACAAACAAAATCACATATTTAACTTTTAGGTTCTTGCCTTTGTGATGACTGCCTAACATATGTGTACTAACAGGGAAATAACTCAATGATGGCTAGATTTGTTTTAATAGACATATTATAAAGTCTTTTCGGTAACTTACACTTAATGGAGTTTTGCTAGGCTAAGAAATGGATATTATTGAATATTTAGATCATTTCCAAATAAGATAAAATGCTGAAATTCTAATTGTCGAATATAGGCTTAACGTTATATGCTTTTGGCATCTTGTTTTAATATGGTTATAGAGAAGTTAAATATATTTGAATTTGTTAGTAGACATGAACTATTATACTATGAAGAAGCACATTTCTAAAAGTTATAGTGTTACAGAATGCTTGCTCACAATTACTAAGGATTAAAATTCTAATTAATATGTGTAGTGAAAACTAGAAATCACAAGGGAAACAATTCCGTATGCAAATATAGAAAAAACAAAAGGTATTTTTGATAAGGAAAGTTCTAAGGCATGACAGTGTGTTTTCTGTTAAGGGAAAAAGGAGTAATTAATTCTGTACTGAAGTAGAATGACTGCTTGTTCCAGCATGAGAGAAAAAAATGGAAGGGAAAAAAGCTAATTAAAAAAAAGGTCATGGAAAGAAATCTTATCTTTCTTTCAAAGCTGGCTGAGATTGGATGAATTCATTTAAAAGTCTGTACTAAAATTAGCTTTAGCATTTATAGTACACTGATGCAAAACTATAATTTACTATTCTTGGTTAAAATAACATTTTCTTGGAGTATTAGTCTGATAATGTAAAGATATCTTTACCTGTTAATTGGTTTAGGAAACAAAGACTTGGGTTTTATCAAGATAATTTCTTGTGCCTCATGTTATCTTTTATTAGGTCTTTGATTACTTAAGAAAAGTGAGACTTCTCAGTATTAGAGCTAAGGTTTTTGTTTGTTTCATTTTGTTTTACAACTTAACTTTCTGCATTTTGCTTTTAAAATATTTTGTCACTATGATATTGCTTTACAGTAACTTGTGATCTTTTAAAATTATTTTAAACCTTCTGACATTTTTGACAACTTTCCAATATCATATTCTAAATTAAGTTTTTTAACCCTTGAACTAACTTTAGAATGTTCTAGAGGGCATCTTGAATGTCTTAAAGGATTGTTTCCCTCCTTATAAAACAAAATATTAAACTAATTAGGATTATGTATTAAATTATATAGGAAGCATTTTCTTTTACTTTACTTATGTTTTAGATTTTTAGAGATGGGGTCTTGCTTTGTTGCCCCGGCTGGTCTCAAACTCCTGGCTTCAAGTGACCCTCCCACTTTGGCCTCCCAAAGTGCTGAGATTACTGACATGAACCACTGTGCCCAGCTGTGAAGCATTTTCAAATAAGAAATGATGCTAAGCCTTCACTGAATTATATTTGTATGGATGTGTTATTAATATGTATTCCAGAAGTTGTATGAAATTCCTAGAAATCTGATAGTCTTAATATTCTAGTTACAGTCCAGTCATGATTCTAGTTATTATCTTAAAATATTGTATGCCACTGAAATAGCCAAAGTTCCTTGTCAATTGTGTCGTTGTTACGATGAACTCTCAGCAAATCTTTAACATGGTAACATGGCCATTTTAAGTGTTGTGATTCACAGACAGTTAATTGTTTTACTCTCATACTTCCCTAAAAGCTGTTACAGGCAACTAGGTATATACCTAAAGCATTTTGTCTTTTAGAAGATTCATGGAAGAGATTCTGACAAATACAGCTTTCTGATAACTTTAATATCATACCACTGGACTAAGAATTTCCATAAGTCTAATGAGGAAACTGATTGGTTCATAAAACTACTAACCCAACATCAAGCAGGACAAGAATTAACTGAAACCAAAGAAATGCTTTGCCAGATTTTCACACTAAGTGAGCCAGTATTGAAATTGTTAAGGTATGTGATATTGTTTGGCTGTGTCCCCACCCAAATCTCATTTTGAATTGTAGTTCCCGTAATCCCCATGTGTCGTGGGAGGGACCCAGTAGGAAGTAATTTAATCATGGGGACAGTTACCCTCATGCTGTCCTGGTGATAGTGAGTGAGTTCTCATGAGATCTGATGGTTTTATAAGGGGCTTTCCCCTTTTCTGCTTGGCACTTTTCCTTGCTGCTGCCATGTAAAGAAGGATGTGTGTGCTTCCCCTTCTGCCATGATTGTAAGTTTCCTGAGGCCTTCCCAGCCATGCTGAACTGTGAGCCAATTAAACTTCTTTCCTTTATAAGTTACTGAGTCTCGAGTATGTCTTTATTAACAGCGTGAGAATGGACTAATACAATATGCAATTTGAATAAATTTGAGTAAAGATTGATCAGACTCAAATTACATTCATTAACCTATTTAACAAACAATGCTATGCACTAAATTAGAGAAACAACACTGTTATTAATTTTAATTTTATTTCAATAGTTTTTGGGGAACAGGTGGTTTTTTGGTTACATGGATAAGTTATTTAGTGGTGATTTCTGAGATTTTGATGCACCCAACACCCAAGCAGTGTATCTATACCCAATATGTAGTCTTTTGTCCCTCACCCGCCTTTCAACGTTCCACTGAAGTCCCCAAAGTCCATTATATCACTCTTATGCCTTTGCATCCTCATAGCTTAGCTCCCACTTATAAGCAAGAACATATGATAATAGGTTTTCCATTCCTGCGTTACTTCACTTAAAATAATGTCCTCCCACTCCATCCAAGTTGCTGTAAAGCCCATGATGTTCCATTTTATGTCTGAGTAGTATTCTGTGGTGTCTATATACTACATGTTCTTTATCCACTTATTGGTTGATGGGCATTTAGGGTGGTTCCATATTTTTGCAATCGTGAATTGTGCTGCTATAAACATGCATGTACATATGTCTTTTCCATACAATGACGTCTTTTCCTTTGGGTAAATACCCAGTGGTGGGATTGCTGGATCGAATGGTAGTTCTACTTTTAGTTCTTTAAGGAATCTCCATACTGTTTTCCATAGCAATTGTACTAGTTTACACTCCAACCGGCAGTGTAAAAGTGTTCCATTTTTACCACATCCATGCCAGCATCTATTATTTTTTGATTATGGCCATTCTTGCAGTAGTAAGGTGGTATCTCATTGTGGTTTTTATTTGCATTTCCTTGATAATTAGTGATGCTGAGCATTTTTTCATATGTTTATTGGCTGTTTGTATATCTTCTTTTGATAATTGTCTATTCATGTCCTTAGCTCCTTTTTGATGGAATTATTTTTTCCTTGCTGATTTGTTTGAGTTCCTTATAGATTCTGGATATTAGTGCTTTGCCAGATCCATAGTTTGCAAATATTTTCTCCCACTCTGTAGGTTATCTGTTTACTCTGCCAACTATTTCTTTTGCTGTGCAGAAGCTTTTTAGTTTAATTAGGTCTCATTTATTTATTTTTGTTTTTGTTGCATTTGCTTTTGGGATCTTAGTCATGAATTTTTTGCTGAAACCAATATCTAGAAGAGTTTCTCTAATGTTATCTTCTAGAATTCTTAAGATTTCTGGTCTTAGATTTAAGTCTTTTACTGATCTTTAGTTGATTTTTATATAAGGTGAGAGATGAAGATCCAGTTTCATTTTTCTAATGTGGCTTGCCAGTTATCCCAGCACAATTTATTGAATATGGTGTCCTTTCCCCGCCTTATGTTTTTGTGTGCTTTGTAAAAGATTAGTTGGCTGTATTTGGCTTTATTTCTGGGTTCCCTATACTGTTCCATTGGTCTATGTGTCTATTTTTATACCAGTACCATGCTGTTTTGGTAACCATAGCCTTATAGTATACTTTGAAGTTGGGTAATGTGATGCTTCCAGATTTGTTCTCTTTGCTTAGTATGGCTTTGGCTATGAGGGCTCTTTTTCGGTCCCATGTGAATTTTAGTATTGTTTTTTCTAGTTCTGTGAAGAATGATAATGGTGTTTTGATGGGAATTGCAGGGAATCTGTAGATTTCTTTAGGCCATATGATCATTTTCACCATATTGATTCTACTCATCCATGATCATGAGATGTGTTTCCATTTGTTTGTGTTGTTGATGATTTCTTTCAGCAGTGTTTTGTATTTTTCCTTGTAGAGATCTTTCACCTCCTTGGTTATGTATATTCCTAAGTATTTTATTTTATTTTTTGCTGCTGTTGTAAAAGGGATTGAGTTCTTAATTTGATTCTCAGCTTGGTCATTGTTGGTGTATAGCAGTGCTACTGACTTTTGTACATTGATTTTGTATCCTGAAACTTCGCTGAATTCATTAATCAGATCTAGGAGCTTTTTGGATGAGTCTTTAGGGTTTTCTAGGTATACAATCATATCACTTGCAGCGACAGCCTGACTTCCTCTTTACTGATTTAGAGGCCCTTTATTTCTTTCTTTTGTTGGATGGTTCTGGCTAGGACTTCCAGTACTATGTTGCATAGAAGTGGTGAAAGTGGGCATCCTTGTTTTGTTCCAGTTCTCGGTGGAATGCTTTCAATTTTTTCCCGTTCAGCATAATGTTGGCTGTGAGTTTGTCATACACGGCTTTTATTACATTGAGGTATGTCCTTTGTATGCCCATTTTGCTGAGGGTTTTAATCATAAAGGGATGCCAGATTTTGTCAAATACTTTTTCAGAGTCTATTGAGATGGTCATATGATTTTTGTTTTTAATTCTGTTCATGTGGTATACCACATTTATTGACTTGCACATGTTAAACCAACCCTGTATCCCTGGTATAAAATCCTCTTGATCATGGTGGATTATCTTTTTGATGTGCTGTTGGATTTGATGAGTTAGTATTTTGTTGAGGATTTTTGCATCTATGTTCATTAGTGATATTGGTATGTAGTTTTCTTTTTTTTGCTATGCCCTTTCCTGATTTTGATATTAGGGTAATACTGGATTCATAGAATGATTAGGGAGGATTCCCTCTTTCTCTATCTTTTGGAATAGTTTCGGTAGTGGTGCCAATTCTTCTCTGAGTGTGTGATAGAATTCAGCTGTGAATCCATCTGGTCCTGGACTTTTTTTTGTTGGCAATTTTAAAATTACTGTTTCAATCATTTCAATCTCGCTACTTGTTATTGGTCTGCTCGGAGTTTTTATTTCTTTCTGTTTTAATCTAGGACGGTTGTATATTTTCAGGAATTTATCCATCTCCTCTAGGTTTTCTAGTTTGTGCACATAAAGGTGTTCATGATGTTTACAGTAGCCTTCAATGATCTTTGGATTTCTGTGGTATGAGCTGTAATATCTCTCATTTCATTTCTAATTGAGCTTATTTGAACTTTCTTCTTTTCTTGGTTAATCTCACTAATGGTCTATCAATTTTGTTTATTATTTCAAAGAACTAGGTTTTTGTTTTATTTACCTTTTGTATTTTTGTTTTTGTTGTTTCAGTTTCATTTGTTCTGCTCTGATCATTGTTATTTATTTTCTTCTGCTGGGTTTGGGTTAGTTTGTTCTTGTTTCTTTAGTTCCTTGAGGTATGACATTAGGTTGTCTATTTGTGCTCTTTCAGACTTTTCAATGTAGGTATTTAATGCTATGAACTTTCCTCTTAACACCACTTTTGCTGTATCCCAGAGGTTTGGATAAATTGTGTCACTATTATCATTCAGTTCAAATAATTTTTAAATTCCTATCTTGATTTCATTGTTACCCAAAGATCATTCAAGAACAGATTATTTAATTTCCAGGTAGTTGTCTAGTTTTGAGAGTTCCTTTTGGAGTTAATTTCCAGTTTTATTCCATTATGGTCTGTGGAGCTACTTGATATGATTTCAGTTTTCTTAAATTTATTGAGACTTGTTTCATGGCCTATCATATGGACTGTCTTGGAGAATATTCTATGTGCTGATGAGAAGAATGTATTGTATATTCTGGAGTTGTTGGGCAGAATGTTCTGTAAATATCTGTTAAGTTCATTTGTTCTACAGTATAGTTTAAGTACATTGTTTCTTTGTTGAATTTCTGTCTTGATGACCTGGCTAGTGCTGTCAGCGGAGTATTGAAGTCCTCCATTATTATTGTGTTACTGTCTATCCCATTTCTTAGGTCTAGTAGTAATTGTTTTATAAATTTGGGAGCTCCAGTGTCAGGTGCATATATATGTAGAATTGTAATATCTTCCGGTTGGACTAATTGTTTTATTGTTATATAACGTCTTTCTTTGCCTATTTTTACAGCTGTTACTTTAAAATCTGTTTTGTCTGATATAAGAATAGCTACTCCTGCTTGCTTTTGATTTCCATTTGGTGAAATATCTTTTTCTACCCCTTTACCTTAAGTTTATGTGAGTCCCTATGTGTTCAGTGAGTCTCCTGAAAACAGTAGATACTTGGTTGGTGGATTTTTATCCATTTCACCATGCTGTATCTTTTAAGTGGAGCATTTAGGCCATTACATTCAACATTAGTATTGAGATGTGAGGTACTGCTCTATTCATCATTTTAGCTGTTGCCTAAATACTTTTTTTTAATTGTGTTATTGCGTTATAGGCCTTGTGAGATCTATGCTTTAAGGAGGTTCTATATTGGTGTATTTAAACATTGTATTTTAAGATTTAGAACTCCTTTTAGCATTTCTTGTAGTGCTGGTTTGGTAATGGCAAATTCTCTCAGCATTTGTCTGAAAAAACCTTTATCTCTGTTTCATTGATTAAGCTTAGTTTTGTTGGATACAAAATTCTTGGTAGACAATTATTTTCTTTAAGGAGGCTAAAGATAGGACCCCAGTCCTCTCTGGCTTCTAAGGTTTCTTTTGAGAAATATGCTGTTAATCTGATAGGTTTTCCTTTATAGGTTACCTGATGCTTTTGTCTCACAGATTTTTTTTTTTTTTTCTGAGATGATGTTTTACCCTTGTTGCCCAGGCTCAAGTGCAATGGCATGATTTCAGCTCACTGCAACCTCTCCCTCCCAGGTTCAAGCAATTCTCCTGCCTCAGCCTCCCAAGTAGCTGGGATTACAGGCATGTGCCACCATGCCTGGTTAATTTTTGTATTTTTAGTAGAGATGAGGTTTCACCATGTTGGCCAGTCTGGTCTCAAACTTCTGACCTCAGTTGATCCTCCCACCTTGGCCTCCCTAAGTCCTGGGATTACAGATGTGAGCCATCACACCCAGCCAGTCTCACAGCTTTTAAGATTCTTTTCTTTGTCTTGACTTTAGATAACCTGATGACTATGTGCCTTGGTGGTGGTCTATTTGCAATGAATTTCCCAGGAGTTCTTTGAGCTTTTTGTATTTGGATGTCTAGATATCTAGCAAGGCCATTGACGTTTTCCTCAATTATCCCCTCAAATAAGTTTTCCAAACTTTTAGATTTCTCTTCCTCAGGAATGCCAATTATTCTTAACTTCGGCCATTTAATATAATCCCATATTTCTTGCAGGCTTTGTTCATTTTTTAAAATTCTTTTTCTTTCTTTCTTTTTTTTTTTTGTCTGATTGGGTTGATATGAAAGCTTTGTCTTTGAGCTCTAAAGTTCTTTCTTCTACTTGTTCTAGTCTATTGTTGAAACTTTCCCCTGTATTTGGTATTTCTGTAAGTATGTCTTTCATTTCCAGGAGTTGTGATTGCTTTTTCATTATGATATCTATTTCTCTGAAAAATTTTCCATTCATATCCTGTATTGTTTTTTAAATTTCTTTTAAAAAAATGAAAATTTGGTTTTCATCTTTCTCTGGCTTCTCATTGAGTGGCTTAATTATCAACCCTCAGAATTCTTTATCAGCAATTCAGAGATTTTTTGTTTGTTTGTTTGGATCCATTGTTGGGGAGCTACTATATTTTGGGGGTATCATAGAACCCTGTTTTGTCATATTATCAGAATTACTTTTCTGGTTCCTTTTGGTAGACTATTTCTTCAAATTGTTCTTGAATTTATTTTTGATGGGATTGTGCTTTTTTAATTTATTTTTTCCCTCTTAAGGATTAGACCTTAATATTTATTCCAGTCTAATTTGATTCTTGGTGCTTGCAGGGGTGAAGACTCTGTATGAGTTCCTTAGTTATAGAGAGTCTTTGTGTGCTGGCTCTCCTGATGCTGATTGTAGTAGTTATGTACTTGGTATGTGGGCAAGTTCACTGTCTCCTATGAACTTGGAATGGCAGGGATCTCTTGAAGCTTATCTCATTCTCTTGTGGTCTATATTTATTTGTTTAATTTTTCCCCAGTATTTTATTTACTGAGTTGACGATTCAGGCTTCAGGCCAATAGGGGAGGTATTCTTGGGTAGGTACTAGTTGTAGCTAAAGCAGGTGAATAGATATAATCCCAATGGTGGGCTCAGGCCCCAGCCTTGATGAGGATGGCTGCGGGAGCTCACAATTTGATGTCCTGAGGTTTTATCAGGGTGAGGAGTAGGAGCTACCTCAGCTCCCTTCTCAGGTCATCAAGCTATTCACCTCACAGTCTCATTCCTGTCCCAGTGTTTCAGCTATTCAGATCAGTCAGGACCTCTTTTCATCTACAGGAATGTTGATGTTTCTTGCCTCTTGTGCAGGCTTGAATCTGGGGGGGTGCTTCTCCTGTGGGGCTTGTGCTTACCCTGGATTGTTCCAGCAAGGCTGTCTATAGCTGCCTCTATGCTGCATTCCTGTGGAAGAAGCTTCAGCTGTGTCTGCAGTGTAGTGCCAGGGGGAACAAGGATGCCTTCTCTAGTGCCCTTCATAATCACACAGGCCACCTGCCTGTTGGGGTAGAGGTGCAGACTTTCTCTACTGTACCCAGCACTGCAATTGTGTCTCTGCTGTGAGAAACTTCCCACCAGTAGAAAGATCTGGAACTCACGGCCTGGTGTTTGGATTCTTTTGTCCCATGGGGTGACCCCTTGATGTGGTGCTCTCCCTCTTCCCCTAGGAATGGGGCTTCCTGAGAGCCAGACTGAAGTGATTGTTATTCCTCTTCTGGGTCTAGCCACCCAGCTAGGCTCTGAGCTGGTGCTGGGGAATGTCTGCAAAGAGTCCTGTGATGTGATCTGTCTTCAGGTTTCCCAGCATGGATACCAACACTTGTTCTGATGGAGGTGGCAGGGGAGTGATGTAGTCTGTGAGATTTCTTGGTTGTAGATAGACTCAGTGTGCTGGCTTTCTTGAATGCTGGTTATGCTAGCGGTGAAGTTGTCATGTGGACAGACTCAGGACCTTTAGTTAGCCAGGGTGTTGCAGTGAGTGGTATTAGCTGTTGTTTTCTCCTTCCTGGAAGAAGCGTTATTCTGCCAAGAGTTGCTGTAATGGCCTGAGTTGGCTGGCTTCCAGCCAGGAGGGGACACTTGCAAGAGAGCACCAGCTGTGGTAGTAGCAGTGACATTTGAGCTTGGCCTAAGTTGTCTAGGGGAAGTATTCTGGTTTCCCAGGCAATGGGCAGGGCCATAAGGCTCTCAAGAGTTTATGTCTTTTGTGTTAAGCTACAAGGCAGGTAGATAAATACCATCAGGTCGGGGCAGGGTTGGGCGGGCCTGAGTTCAGATTCTCCCTGGGCAAGGCCTGCCATGGCCTGCTGGGGGATAGGAGGGGTGGATCTCAGGCCAATGGGGTTATGTTCTAGAGGAGAGTATGGCTGCTTCTGCTGTGCAGTAGAGTTTGCAAGGGGAGTGGGGATTAGCTCATAGTGAAAGTCCTCATCCAGCTCCCACAGAGTTGGTGAGGCCAGTCTTGCTCCCATGGTGCCCCACTAACAGCACTGAGTTTAGATCCAGGCAGCTGGTGTGTAGAACTCAGACCTGCCCTGGGCCATGAGCTTCCCTGCTGAGGAAGAAAGCATGGCTTTCAGGTCACACCCCTCCCCATCTGCCTGCAATGCTGGGTGCCCAGCTTCTGCCCTTGTATCTGCATTAGTTTCCATTTGTCCGCCCACCCCTGGATTCTGTTCAAGGGTGCTCATGCCCACTTGAAATTACCACAAAACTCAGTTGGTAGCTTATTTCACTCTGTGACTCCTTCCTAAGTTTGGTGGCTGCCTTCCCTGAGGGCCCCTGTTAGATATGGTCAGGGATGGCTTCCCTGGGCTCAAGCTGGAGACTGAGAATGCCTCCAAGGCTCTTCTTGCTGCTGCTTCTACTTTTGTATTTTGTGCTGCTCCCTAAGTCCATTCCAGCTCTAGGTAAGGCTAAAGCCTTCTCCCATCATCTGGATTTTCAGATTCCACAGTAGGAATGTGTGTTCAGAGGCAGGCTCTCCCCTTTTCCTACACTGAGAATTCAGTTTTTTGCCTGTCTCACAGACTTTGCTGTGGTGTGCTCCTTTCATAGGATCTGCGAATTCTTTTGATTTCCTGGTAACTTCCTGCAGTGGTTCTTGGAATAAAAGTTCACAGTGTTAATTGCTACACACTGTTCTGTCCTTCCAAGTGGGAGAGGCACACTAGCACTGCCTACTACCTGCCATCTTAGAACAGATAGACAAACCAAAACATATTTTTTTTATTTTTAATTTTTTACTATACTTTGTTTTAGGGTACATGTGCACAACGTGCAGGTTAGTTACATATGCATACATGTGCCATGTTGGTGTGCTGCACCCATTAACTTGTTATTTAACATTAGGTAACCAAAACATATTTAAAAGGATGTAAATTTATTGCTAAGTGTGGACTCATGGAGGCCCCATATGGCCACCTGGTTCTTCCTGAGTCCTTAAATCTTCCATTATTAAAAACTCTGTACTCCATTACTCATCATGGGGTAGACAAAAAACTAGTTCTGGGAAGACCTATATCCTTAATAATAGACTCTCATGTATCTCCTGCTCTTATAAGCTTTGCTGTAACTAAATACTGCAAAGCTTTAATCCATTATATGAAAGTGTGTTTTCCCCAGGTAAAAGCCTTTTGTGATACACTGAGTACAACCAACCTTTCACAATCTAGAACTCAGAGATTGAGTCTTCTGGAAATAACATCCCATCTGAGAAAAACTGCTCTTGTATCCCATTAGAAGAGATTATATCATGTACTTCTCTCACCACCCACAGTAAAACTTCAGGGCCTCGAGTTTTGGTCCATACCTTGTAACTCAAAAGAGCCCCTTCAAACTCTTGGAATTATACACCTGTTGGAGATCTTAAGGTAGGGAAGTTTCTCCCCAGAAGCAGATGGCATCCTAGACATGGACAGCTTTCTCAAGATCATGGATCAAGACTTCTCTGCTATCATGACTATCTTATCTTTTTTTCTATTTTTTCCATATTTCCTGCTGGGAAATCCATGGGACCATAATTTATAGATGGCTTTAGCTAAGGCTCATGCTCTAACAAGAAAAACTAGAGCAACTGTTGGGTTTCTGGACTGATGCCAAAAAAAAAACCCCTAGGAAACAATTTTATTAATGCCAATGCCTCTCTGTGAAATGAAAGCCACCCTAAAACCTCAAAAGCAGATTGGAAAGCTATCTTTAATTTTGTAGATATCACTGCTACTTGCTTTCCTACACTTACTGAAAGCAATAACCCAACTTCTCCAATTAATAACCTACCAGCTACCAAATATAGAAAAGCTGAGTGATTCTTTTTTTTTTTTTTTTTTAGATTAACTTGCTTGGCTCCTTTATTATTCTCCTTTATTATTAAACTTCCTCAGCATAATGTGATTTGGGCAGACAGAGATGTTATCCTGTGGCTTATTGTTGGCCTACATTCTCTTTTTTTTTTTTAAATTTATTTTTTTTTTAGTATTTATTGATCATTCTTGGGTGTTTCTCGGAGAGGGGGATTTGGCAGGGTCATAGGACAATAGTGGAGGGAAGGTCAGCAGATAAACATGTGAACAAAGGTCTCTGGTTTTCCTAGGCAGAGGGCCCTGCCGCCTTCCGCAGTGTTTGTGTCCCTGGGTAGTTGAGATTAGGGAGTGGTGATGACTCTTAGCGAGCACGCTGCCTTCAAGCATCTGTTTAACAAAGCACATCTTGCACTGCCCTTAATCCATTTAACCCTTAGTGGACACAGCACATGTTTCAGAGAGCAGGGGGTTGGGGGTAAGGTTATAGATTAACAGCATCCCAAGGCAGAAGAATTTTTCCTAGTACAGAACAAAATGGAGTCTCCTATGTCAACTTCTTTCTACACAGACACAATAACAATCTGATCTCTCTTTCTTTTCCCCACATTTCCCCCTTTTCTATTGGACAAAACCGCCATCGTCATCATGGCCCGTTCTCAATGAGCTGTTGGGTACACCTCCCAGACAGGGTGGTGGCCGGGCAGAGGGGCTCCTCACTTCCCAGACGGGGCTGCCGGGCAGAGGGGCCCCCCACCTCCCAGACGGGGCGGCGGCCGGGCAGAGGGGCCCCCACCTCCCAGACGGGGCGGCGGCTGGGCAGAGGCGCCCCCCACCTCCCGGACGGGGCGGCTGGCCGGGCGGGGGCTGCCCCCCACTTGCCGGGCGGGGCGGCTGGCCAGGCGGGGGCTGCCCCCCCACCTCCCGGGCGGGGCGGCTGGCTGGGCGGCTGCCCCCCACCTCCCGGACCAGGCAGCTGCCCGGCGGAGGGGCTCCTCACTTCTCAGACAGGGCGGCCAGTCAGAGACGCTCCTCACCTCCCAGACGGGGTGGCGGCGGGGCAGAGACACTCCTCAGTTCCTAGACGGGTCGCCGCCGGGCAGAGGCATTCTTCACCTCTCAGACGGGGTGGTGGGGCAGAGGCGCTCCCCACATCCCAGATGATGGGCGGCCAGGCAGAGACGCTCCTCACTTCCTAGACGGGGTGGCGGCCGGGAAGAAGCGCTCCTCACTTTCCAGACTGGGCGGCTGGGCAGAGGGGCTCCCCACATCCCAGATGATGGGCGGCCAGGCAGAGACGCTCCTCACTTCCTATACGGCGTGGCAGCAGGGCAGAGGCTGCAATCTCGGCACTTTGGGAGGCCAAGGCAGGCGGCTGGGAGGTGGAGGTTGTAGCGATCCGAGATCAAGCCACTGCACTCCAGCCTGGGCAACATTGAGCACTGAGTGAGCGAGACTCCGTCTGCAATCCCGGCACCTCGGGAGGCCGAGGCTGGCAGACCACTCGCGGTCAGGAGCTGGAGACCAGCCCGGCCAACTCGGCGAAACCCCGTCTCCACCAAAAAATACGAAAACCAGTCAGGTGTGGCGGTGCGCGCCTGCAATCCCAGGCACTCGGCAGGCTGAGGCAGGGGAATCAGGCAGGGAGGCTGCCGTGAGCCGAGATGGCGGCAGTACAGTCCAGCCTCGGCTCGGCATCAGAGGGAGACCATGCAAAGGGGAGACGAGGACCGTGCAAAGGGGGGAGGGAGATGGGGAGGGAGACAGAGAGGGGGAGGGGGAGGGGAAAAGCTGAGTGATTCTTGCAAAAGGTATATATTATGCTTCCAGGCATCATATGCTCAAGACCTGGGGACTATGTGGGTATAAGTAACTGATTGTATAACGCCACTGGATGAAATCCAGTAATGTCCTTTTTCACTAAATGTGGTTATACACCCTTACAGCATGTTACAAAGGGAACACAAAAAAATAAGTTTCACACTGGACCTTGTTCAGGAGCAGTGTTGACCTATTTCACTGACCTATCCTCAACTGCCACTAGGTGGCCCTCTTTTCCAGCTTCCAAGGGCCTACATTGGGCCTATGCGGCCTCAGTATAGCCTCAGATTTCCTGCTATGAAGCTTAATGAGCCCAGCACTGGCTCTAGCTATGGTTTGTTCCTTTTTGGGTGGAGTGGATGTGTGGTTCTTGGAGAATCTACTACTTTCCCGTGAGTGCAGTGGGAGACTGCATTAGAGAATCTAGCTATCCTGACTGCCTAAACAGAGCCTACCATAATTTTTCACTCAAATCTTTAGTGTAAATATAATTGTCTTTGCTTTCTGTAATAATATCTTTGAAGAAATACGGATTTAAAAAAATCATTTAATATTCTCAGACCTGCAACATGGGAAAAATATTATTATTATTATTATCATTTTTGCAGTTGAGAGGGCTGAAATCTCGCAGGGTGATTAAGTTTATTAGCCTCTCTAAAGTCTCAGTTTCCCACTCTGTAAAATGGAAGGGTCCCTATCTCTTTCCTACTGCTTTGTGAGTATTTAAGGGGATGGAATTTGGGAAGCGCTCAGCACCCAGTCTACTATTGGCACAGGGTTTTAAAGCCACCCAGAGGCCGAGGCGTCAACCCTCCGTTTCCCTCCCGGTGCTCCTTCCAGCGCCCGGTGTGGTCGATTTGGCGGGGGTGGAGCGCCAGGCGCGTGCAGAGCCGGGCGGACCAGCCTCTCCGGCCAAGGCGGGAGGCGGAGCTCGTACTCAAGAGCCGCCTCCCGGGCGGCTGGGGCGGTCCCCGAGCTGCTTTCCGCGTTCTCCCCTCTCCGCGGGCAGTGCTAGCTCGCCGCGGCCGCCTCCGGGGTGAGTACGCTGGCTCCGCCGGCGCCCGGGAAATGCAGTTCCCTGGACACGGGCGCCGTGCGAGGGTAGCCGGGCGACGGCCGGGGTCAGTCCCAGGGCTGTAGCGGGGCGGGCGTGGGGATGACGTGGCGGCGTCCGTGGGGCAGTCCCGCCTCAGCCGGAGCGGTGGGCCGGGCCGGGGGCCTACGGAGGCCGAGCCTGGCGGGAGGCACCGGCTCAGGTGCTGGCGTTCCGCGCGGCGCCGCCTCTGCTGCGGGCCGGGGGAGCCAGACGAGGTGCTGCCGGGTAGGAAAAAATCCAGGGCTCATTCATACCCCAGGTCACGATTCCGGGGTCGCCCCCAGCACTTCTCCGCCGGGTGCATCAACCTGAAAAAGCCCCTTCTTCCTGGAAACCCTCCTTCTCCAGCGTTTCAACGGGGAAACTGATCAGCTGACACCAGCCCCAGTCCTGCGAGGGGCCGGCGACCTTTGACCTTTCTCCAAAGGGGTTGGTCACCTGGATTATAAAAGACTTCGGAGACAGCCATCCAGTGTTTGTTGATCTGTATCCCTTGATGTTCTGTCTTCCATTAGATAAGGGCTGTTAATTCTTGGTTTGAAAAAAAACAGACAAAGTCCAAAGGACTCTGCATCGAGGAGAGGCCTATGGGTTGGTAGCCTTAGGAGAGTAGTTATCAACAGTGGGTGGGTGTGCACACTGTTGCAAAGTGTTCCAGAGTGGGTGAGGGATGGGGACGTGGCGGTGGTGAGGGTACTGGTAGACCTCCTCAGCCGTTTGGTGATGAAAAGGAGGAAAAAGAAAATGGTAATCTGAGCGTGGAGGCGAGTTGTGGCTTTTTTTTTTTTTTTTAAATTTTTAAAGAAAGGAAAATAACACCTTTAAGATGCAAGAAAATCAAGGAGAGATCAGGATGAATAGGATTCAGGGTCCGGATTGAGAAACTGGGATTCAGAAGGGAGGGCTATTCCCGAGACCCAGGCGGGGAGTGCTGGAAGGTCTCTCTTGGGAGAGGAGATAATGCTTGATTGGATATAGTTCAGAAGTTTTTGGAATTTTGTCTTCTAGAGCAGGTTTGTTCTTTATGGAAATTGTAAACCCCATGAAATTGCAATAACTTTCGTCTACCTATAGCTTTGATCAGATTGAAAACATACGTTGTGAAAAAGTACTGACCTGGATTGAACTGTTTGACTACATAATCTAAGGGGAAGTGGATAGAGAGGGCAATAAAATCAGCTCTGTGGTTGTAGTTTATATGCCACTTAATATAATAAGTATTTAGTATCTACTTTAAGCCGAGCTAATAGTAATGCCTGCCTTTTCCAGAGATGCATGCAAATGTTTTGGGAACTAACCTTCTCTTTGAAGATCTTTTATTCAGTGGAAACATCCAAAGCAAATCAGTGATGGTTTTCTATTCTTTGTTTTAAGCCATCAGTGAACAGTGGTTTCTAAAACCTGGCTGTGTGACTCAGAGTTACCTAGGTTCTCGATAAAAATATAATTTTTTTTTTTTTTTTTGAGATGGAATCTGGCTCTGTGGCCCAGGCTGGAGTGCAGTGGCACAATCTTGGCTCACTGCAACCTACACCTCTCAGGTTCAAGCAATTCTCCTACCTCAGCCTCCCGAGTAGCTGGGACTACAGGCCCAGGCCACTACTCCCGGCTAATTTTTGTATTTTTAGTAGTGATGGGGTTTCACCATGTTGTCCAGGCTGGTCTGGAACTCCTGACCCCAAGTGATCCATTTGCCTCCCAAAGTGCTGGGATTACAGATGTGTACCATGGGCCCAGGCAAAAATATCAATTTCTTGACTCCACTTCAGGCCTTTGAAATAAAAATCTCTGGGGCTGGAGCCTGGGAATAGGCATTTCAAACACAGACCACAGTGTTCTCTGGCACTGAAGATTACTAACAGCCTCTGAAGTTTTTCTTTGAGATTGGGGCTTTTTGGCCTATTTAGAACAGGTTTTCTTAAAGGTTATATGAATGAATTGTCAAACTTATGTAACTAAAAGTTATAATTCCTGTCTGTGATGTTATCTTTAAATTTTAATGTACAGTCGTCCTCCTTATTCTTGGGGGATATGTTGCAAGACTGACAGTGGATGCCTGAAACCGTGGATAGTGCCAAACCCTATATACGCTGTTTTTTTCTATATATGCATACATATCTATACTAAAGTATAACTTATAAGTTAGGCACAGTAAGAGATGAATAATATCTAATAATAGAACAGTTACAATATGCTGTGATAAAAGATATGAATGTCATCTCTTTCTCAAAATATCTTACCGTATTTTTTTGTGGTTAACTGAAACCGCAGAAAGTGAAACCAAGGACTACTATATTTTAAAGGAAAACTATGTAGTCATTTTATCAGAAAACAATATTGTTTCTGTTGATGAAAACTCCATTTTAGAAAAATTAGAAGATACAAAAGAAATAGAAGTTTTCTCCTAATACTGTAATTAAGAGATGACCACCAGTGACTATCATTTTGTATGTAAAAGGTATGCACACACACATGTATTGCATAATTGGTATTATATTTTATATACTTTTTTTTTTTTTTTTTTTTAGAGACAGGGTCTCTGATGCCCAGGCTGGAGTGCAGTGGCATGATCTCAGCTCACTGCAGCCTCCGCCTCCCGGGTTCAGGTGATCCTCCTTCCTCAGCCTCCCAAGTAGCTGGGACTACAGGCATGCGCCACCATGCCAAGCTAATTTTTGTACTTTTAGTAGAGGAGGGGTTTCAACATGTTGGCCAAACTGGTCTTGAACTCCTGGCCTCAAGTGATCCTCCCGCCTCGGCCTTCCAAAGTGCTGGGATTACAGGCATGAGCCATCACACCCAGTCTTTATTTCATATACATTGTTATATCTTTTTTTCTACTTAGCTGTTATGAGCATTTTTCTGTGTAGTTATTGTAAACATTTTAATGAAAGCATATGTCCCATCATATGGATGTATTATAATTAATTAAATCAGATCGCTATTGTTAACATTTAGACTCTTCAATTTTTGGTTATTTTAGCAATGTTGGTTTGAATATCATGGTATACCTCTCTGATTATTTTCTTAGAATACATTTCTAAATGATGGAATCAAAAACCTTTCAAATACATTTTTAAAATCTCATTTTCACATATCTTCTTACTGCTTTTCCTTACCAGAGGGAAAACTAACATATCTGAAAGATTGATTGCATTCCAGGTCCATTCTCTTATATCAGTGGTTCTCAAACTTTAATGCAGATAAGAATCATTTGGGGAGCTTGTTAAAATTTCATTTTTCTGAGTCCTAGAGGCTGCTGTTCTGACCCATTGGCTTTGGAGTGGGGCCCAGGAATCTGCAGTTTTAACACATTCCTTTATGTATTTGATAAAGGCTCTCTTGGAACCAGATGTTGAGAAATGCTTTTTAAATAAATGGCCAAACAGACTCAAAACATTTAGGTTACTTGTCAAAAGCCATTCATGCATCTGATAACCAGAATTTGAACTCAGCTCTTTGTGACTTCAGAGCCCTGTTATACCCATGATCTCAGAGCTTTTTAAACCTTTTTAAGGTTTACGGTGAGGTGCCCCTAATGACTGCAGAAAGTAAACTCCTACTGACTCCACTGTTGGTTTCTTAGGGACAGCTGAAAGTCACATATAAGTACACAATGAACTTCTATTGGAACCTCCCATCAGAAATTCTGGTGAATTCTCTATTATGCTGCATAACATATACTACACAAAATAACTTTGGTTGTTTGGGTGTTGCAGGACCACCTGGCTTCATGTGTGGATTTCCACGGCTCTTGCCCAGAGGCGGGTACACTGTGTTCCAATGTGCCACGGAACTCACGCAGTGGCACTTTGTGGCTTCATGAAGGAAGAGGCAGGCCACGCAACACTTCCTCCCCAAGCCAAGGAGAAGTATCACTTTTAGAGGCAGAGGAGCGGAAGGCAGTGGGTGTGACCAAAAGTGCCATTTGTTAAAGGTGAGGACCCTACCCTTAGAAAAGTGTTGATATTAGTGAACTGAAGGGAGCTAGTATCGGGGTGAGCCTTTTTAATTTTTAAAATCCTTCTCAGGTGGAATTTTGTACTCATATTATTAATCTTTATTTCCCACCTTCTTTTTTAATGTTTCATTCCTTTTAGCAGTAGCCTGGAATTATGATGTGTCCTTGTGTATTTCAACTAGTATATCCTAGTCCGTCATTTGTTACTAAATTGAGTACCTGCTATGTGTCAGGTTGGTTTGAGGCACTAGGAATACAAAAACAATGATTCTCCTTGAGAATTAAGTTAATTTACTATCATTTGTTGACTCAGGTTATACCTAGTCTCTGACTCTTTATTTTTAGTTTTAGTTAATTTTAGACTTACAGAAAAGTTGTAAAAATGATACACAGTTCACCTAGCTTCCCCTAATATTAACCCCTTACATAACCATACTACATTGATCAATACTATTAACTAAACTACAAACTTTATTGAAAATTCATCAATTTTCCTACTAATGTCTGTTTTTTTTTTCTGTTCCCATTGTATTTTATCAAGGATCCTGCATTTTATTTAGTTTTTCTTTCTCCTTAGTCTCCTCCAATCTGAAATAGTTCCTCAGTTTTTCCTCGTCTTTCATGATTTTGATTCTTCGAAGAGTACCAGTTAGGTATATCGTGGAATGAACTTGTGGTGAGCGATTGGATTTCTCCACTACAAAGTTACTGTCTTTCCCTTTGTAGTTAAGAATTATCTTGGGGAAGATACTTTGAGACTATACTGTTTATCCTCAAATTTTTGCCTGTTAGTTTAGCATCCACTGGTGAACCTTGTCTGCAACAGTTATTAAGTGGTGTTTGCTGAGAGTGATTTTTTTTCCATCGCTCACTTTCTTACTAGTTGGAATTTAAGAAAAGAGCCGCCCCTTCTCTTCTATTCATTTATTTGTTTGATCATTTTTATCAGTGTAGACTAGTGGATAGTCACTTTATCCTATGGGTTAAAATACAGTGCCATCATTTTTTTTTTAAATTACTCAAATGCTTCTAGGTTGGGCTGTTAGGAGCTTAATCTCTGGGTTTAAATGACTTGTACATGTAAATGGCTGTCATCATTTTTATCCCATTCCTACCCTGCCCAGGGAACCACTGTCCCTTTAGGATCTGGCCAGTGATCATTTAGAAGTCTCCTAAAGGAGTTGTAATTGGGATAATGAATACCAAGGCCTAAGGAAAGTGGGGCAATGTGTGTGTAAAAGGTAAACTCCTAGGAACTCTGCAGGAGTAAAAAGAGTAGCAAAATAATCAGTCTTTCTTCTGGTGTTGCCCCAGGGAGCCCCAAGGCATCAGGATCATGTGCCTGGGACAACATCAAGCCCACTCACATGCCCTGTGTCTGCAAAATTACCTGATAGGTTCAGAGATGTTGGAATGCTGATTTTGGTGCTCATAGCTGCCGAATGAACACACCCTTTCTCCTTGGTGCAAATGCTTAGTAAATATTTTTAGAGTGATACATGGTGTCCTCCCCACCCACTTTAGTGGAGTAAAAATGTGTGTGGTTAGAGATTCTCCAAGAATGATACTTAGCACTTATGTTTCCTTTCCTTTTGTTATAGCTTATCTTCCTTGCCAGATTTTAAAAACTATTATGGAAAATCTCAAGCATTCACAAAAGTAGAGAGAAAGAAAGGACTCTCAGGTACCTATCACTTATATTCAAGACTTCTCAGTATTTTATCCGTCTTGTTTCATCTGTTCTCCCACTTTGGGATGTTGTTCTCATATTTGACAGGAAATTGCAGACATTGAGATCTAGAAAAAGATAGAAATAAACCCTGAGTACAAAGACTAGGCTTTAATTCTCTTTATATGGTTTTCCCTTTGCTTGAAAATAGCAGGTAGTCAGAAAAAGACTGGTTGAATTGAGTGGAGGAAAACCAAATATGAAAACATGACCATTTTTAACTAACTACGGGGCAGACTTCTAGAAAGGAAAAGAGTGGTAAATCTTGCCCTAAATAACTTCTTTCATGTTGCCTGAATTTGTTCTCAATACTGATGATGTAGTCCCTTGGCACTTCAAGACAGCCTTGACTGAAAAAGAAAATAACTCTGAGACTCCTGTGAGAATTAAGGGTCTCTCAATTACTTAAATGTTAGTGTAAATAAATCCAATATGATGGCACTTTCCCAAACACCAACCAGGAGTCACTTGCCCTAAAAATAACTTTCTTTAAAAAGTCATTATGTTTTTCTAATTATAAAAATATTACATACTCATTAAAAGAAAAAATGGAAATTACAGAGTTAGAAAGTAAAAATCATCTCATTAATCCCAGAGATAACATTATCTTGGGCAATATTCTGATAACATTTGAACATGAATCACATTGGTAATTAGAGCCAATAAATACATGTGTTCCTGGCCAGGCATGGTGGCTCACGCCTGTAATCCCAGCACTTTGGGAGGCTGAGGTGGGCAGATCATTTGAGGTCAGGAGTTTGAGACCAGCCTGGCCAACATGGTGAAACTCTGTCTCTACTAAAAATAAAGAAAAATTAGCTGGGTATGGTGGGGCATGCCTGTAATCCCAGCTACTTGGGAGGCTGAGGCAGGAGAATCGCTTGAACCTGGGAGGCGGAGGTTGCAGTGAGCTGAGATCACACCACTGCACTCCGGCCAGGCCGACAGAGGGAGACTCCGTCTCAAAAAAGAAAAAAAAAAAACTTGTGTCCTGGAAATGTACCAGATATAACAGTGTACTTGGGTGCATCATCTCATTAAATTCCTAGAGCAACTTTGTGAGATAAATATTTTTCATCATTTTATAGCTGGGACACAACGGTGAGAGGGGTTGCCTCCAGTCACTTGGCTGGTCTTTCTTGAAACATAGATGGACAGACAGATGACAGACCCTTCACACTTCAGATGTTTACTCACAGGAGCCAAGGAAACCTTACTTCTGAACTTCCTTATGCTGGCTCTCTGTACAGTTTTTGGGAGAGCACTTAGACTTAGAAAGATAGGTAAGAATTATTTTTAACTGGGTCAGATGTCTCAGAAGCAGGATTAGTAATGAAGGCCTAATACTTAAGTAATTATTAATAATGGCTCCTTGCTTTTAGAATAAATGTCTTACCTTTGAACAGAGTCTGTAAGCTGCAGTTGAGCAATATTAGTTTATGAATATTTGCAGCTATTCTTGGATAGGTTTTTTTGTTTTTGTTTTTTTAAATTACAGTCATCCCTCAGTATATGGAAGGAATTGGCTCCAGGACCCCTGCATCTACCCAAATCCATGCATGCTCAAGTCCTTTTGTCAGCCCTGAGGAACCCACATATTGGAAAAGTTGGCCCTCTGTATACACAGGTTTTGCATACCGGGAATATTGTATTTTTGGTCTGCATTTGGTTGAAAACAATCTGAGTATAAGTGGAGCCGTGCAGTTCAAACCCATGTTGTTCAAGGTTCAGCTGTATTTTTTAGGACAGTTTTAGATTCTTAACCAAACTGAGCAGAAGATACAGAGATTTCCCATGTACCCCGTGCCTTGGGTAGGTTTTTAAATCTCTTCCCACTCTGTAGAATGAGGGAGGTGGATGTGTGGTCTTTAAGATCTTTTCTGATTTCAACACTGCAGTAATTTTATGGTCATAACCTCCTTCCACTTGGCGATTCTCTCTTCCAGGGGACTCTCCCTCTAAAAATAGCTCTTAGAAAAGCCATGTTCCCAGGGCTGGGTGCGGTGGCTCACACCTGTAATCCTAGCACTTTGGGAGGCCAAGGTGGATGGATCGCTTGAGGCCAGGAGTTCAAGACCAGCCTGGACAACATGGTGAAACCTTGGCTCTACTAAAAATACAAAAATTAACTGGGCGTAGTGGTGCACGCCTGTAATCCCAGCTGCTTGGGAGGCTGAGGCACTAGAATTGCTTGAACCGGGAGGTAGAGGTTGCAGTGAGCTGAGATTGTGCCACGGCACTCTAGCCTGGGCAATAGAGTGAGACCCTGTCTCAAAAAATAAAAATAAAAAATAAATAAAGATAAGCAATGTTCCCAGTCTGAATTTTCTAAGATTAAGATCCTTATTTTAAAAATTGCCAATCCTAGCATTTAAGCCTCCTACAATTAAGTCCACAAGAGGTTGTCTGATTGGCCCCAGGAACCTGATGACTTACTGTCACCAGGTGGGAAGAGAACAGACCTCCAGGAAGGCATTTGATCAGACAGTCCCTAGGAAACGGAAGGCAGATGTGGGAGAGAGGTAGAAGGCCCCCAAGGGAACCTGAATATTCAAGGGTCTGTGTTGGGACTACCCAGGCACCAAGGGGAGAAAAGAGGAAATATCCATGTGAAGGATGTGGAGCTGAGCACCTGGGCGGAGACCCCACGCTACCACTTACTAGTCGTGTGGGCTTTGGCAAGGTACTTAAATCTCTCCAAACCTTCCTTTCCTTTTCTTACCTGTAAGATGAGACTAGTAATTCTTACATCATATGGTTAAATGAGAATTACATAGGTTAATATAAGTGATTTTACCCCAGTGCATGGCACAGAGTAAATGCACACATAAATTGCCCTTTTTATTTGTTATTACTGCTTTCAGCATTGACTTCCTGTGATACCTTCACAGGACCCTGAACACAGGCCATATTGTTTAATTGCTTCCTGGGTCAAACATTCCCCAAGAACTAACCTCCCTTTTCATCTATAGCATTGTGTTTAGAGAGAAATATTTTCTAGGTTTCCTTCAAACTAACCTGAAACTAAATTTCTGGAGTTGTATCCTTTAGTAAGTGTGAAACTATCTTGAGAGTTTCTGAGGTGGTTGTTGTTTTTTACAGTTACTTACTGCCTCTCTATTCACCATTAAAAAAATTCACTTTGTTTTCATTGTAAGACTGCCATATTATAAAATGATATATGTAAAATATATGTAAATATGACAATATGTGATATACAAAAATATATACATTTATATAAAATATATTAAAAATTCTAAAAATATAAAATATATTAAAATATAAAATATATTATTTTATATTTTATAAAATATACTATTAAAAATTATTAAATAAAATAAAATTTATAAAATAAATTTTATAAAAATAAAAATTATTAAAAATATAAAATATATTATTAAAAATTCTAAAAAGAAAAGAGAAAAAATAAACCACCCCAGCGAATCCCATTCTCCTAATATAATTATTATTAGCTTTCTAGACTTTCCTTAATTGTATATATTGTTAGTTGTAATCATAGCACAGATATAGGGCTTACTTTCTGTTTTTCTTTTTGTCATTTAAGATTTAATCATAAGTGTTTCCATGTGATTATTTAGCATAGAAAATATTTTGGTCTCCATTTTATTTGTTTGAGAATATGTTTGTCTATGGAGATTATCTGTGCCCTAGCTTTAGCATTTTCTGTGTTCTTCTGAGAACATGTTTAGAATTTGAGGAGAGACGTGATTTGTCCACACAGAGAGGATATGGTGGATGTTGCTGGCGGCAAACCAGGTATCCTTGTCAGGTGGCCTTTACCACTTTAGTGTATTTTCTGTGGTCCAGGGTGGGCCCTCAGCTAGGTGGTCTTAAAAACATGATTTTTGTCAATAATTAAGAGCATAGCCCCCTCTTAGAAGTGAATTCATATTATCCCATCTCATGCTACTGAAGTATGAAATCAGAGTGGCAATTTATCAGCTGACAGTGAGAAATACAGTACAAAAAGTGGTGTTTCAGTGTGTCTACTTGTTGGTCAAGGTGGGATAACACTTTACATATTAATAAATTAGGTCATCTAAGCCCCACAATAACTTTTCTAGGTAGATACTATTTTTATCCCCATTTTACAGATAAGGAAACTGAGGCTTAGTTAAATGACTGGCCCAAGGTTATGTAGCTGTTATGTGGTAGAGCTGTAGTTTCTGTCTAAGTCCAAACTCCTGATCTTAAACACTGTGCTGTAGTTTTGTTATTCTTACAGATAGATTGTTGACCTCCTGTTTGGGATTCTCATAATGTTTCTTGACAGACTCCCTCCTGGCCCCCATTGCAATGTGCCCTGTGCCAGTGCCTCTTTGAGAATATAGCATTCATTCCCTGTTGTTGAGGACCATGTTTTTCTAGCTGTCACAGGGGAGAAGAACTTTTCCCTTTTCCCTTATTTTCTCTTTGGGTCAAAATGTGCTTCTGTAACAAGGCTTCACATTTTTTTAAATCCTCCTTAAAACTGTGCCAGGAAGGGGCAACTGAGGCAGAGAACCATTAGGGCTATGTCTTAGGCTGTGTCCAGCTCAGGTCTTTGCAGTCTCCTTGTCTCCTTTGCCTATTTGTTCTGTCCAACATTTGGAAATTGCTTCCCTTCTTGGGTGGCAGACAGCCTGGCTGATAAACTAGAGAGTGCTTCTGTGATGTATTGATGCTTGGAACCTCTAAAACCTCTGGTTTTCGAATCTCTAAATGCTAAGTGGAAGACCTACCATTACGGTTAGTCAAGGTCCATCGGGGATGGGTTTTCAGTTTGTGCTGGAGTGAATCACTTCAGGATAGAATTTCCATTTGAAACAACGTGTCTTTTGTGATTGCGTTTTAGACTGTTGGAGCAGAACTACTGAGAAAAACCAGGCATTGTATCTTCAGTTGTCATCAAGTTCGCAATCAGATTGGAAAAGCTCAACTTGAAGCTTTCTTGCCTGCAGTGAAGCAGAGAGATAGATATTATTCACGTAATAAAAAACATGGGCTTCAACCTGACTTTCCACCTTTCCTACAAATTCCGATTACTGTTGCTGTTGACTTTGTGCCTGACAGTGGTTGGGTGGGCCACCAGTAACTACTTCGTGGGTGCCATTCAAGAGATTCCTAAAGCAAAGGAGTTCATGGCTAATTTCCATAAGACCCTCATTTTGGGGAAGGGAAAAACTCTGACTAATGAAGCATCCACGAAGAAGGTAGAACTTGACAACTGCCCTTCTGTGTCTCCTTACCTCAGTAAGTGTTGCTTTTTTCCTTTGATTAAGTAGTATGCAAACTTTTTATTTAAGTATAATATGTACTTGCCTGTATCAAAACATCTCATGTACCCCATAAATATATATATCTCCTGTGTCACAAAAACTATACATTCAAATAAAATAAATATAACATGTACAAGAAAGTACAAAACTCAGAAGTGTACCACTTGGTTAAGTTTCAGAAAATGAACATACTTGTTTAACAAGCATGTAAATTAAGAAATGGAATCTTGCTGGAACCATAGGAACTCCCATGTTTCTTTCAGTCACCACTCCGGCTTCAAGATTCTAACTCTACACATTAGATTTTTCCTATTTTGGAACTTTACAAATCGGAAGCATACGTTATGTACTCTTTTGTATTTGGCTTCTGTTGCTTAACGTTACTTTTGTGAGATCTGTTCTTATGGTTGCGTGCAGCTATGGTTTGTCCATTTTCATTGATGTATAGTATTCCGTCATAGGAACAGACCCACTTTTATTATCCAGCCACAAAAGTTTAGCAGCACACATTAGTAGCGTCCATTGATCTAGGCTGGTGGCTCTGCCCCATGTGCCTCCTGTCCTCCTCCTGAAACTAGTGGGCTAGCCTGGGTATGTTCTCCTCATGGCATCAGCAGAGCACCAGAGCATGAGAGGAGAAATGCAAGCACATTCAAGCCTCAGTGGGGTCACATCTGTTGTATTCCTTTGGCCAAAACTATGGAGTCAAGGGACAGAGACTAGGTAAGTTTTTCAATGTGGTCTTTAGTGTTTATTTCTTAAATATGTTGTATGTTTTGGTTCACCTTTTATGTCTTGCCTCTCAACTTATGTTAAACAGTAAATTAGTCTTAAGATCAGGGTGCCAGCATGGTCAGGGCCCTCTTACTGGATATTGTCCTCACATGCCTTTCCTTGGTGTGTGTGCGCACACACATACATGCAGGGGGAAAGGGAAAGAGAGAGGGAGAGAGAAAGACAGAGATAGATAGATCTCATGCCTCTTGCTCTTTTTATAAGTGCTTTAATCCCACCTGGCAGCTCCACCCTTATGATGATCTCATCTAAACCTAGTTACTTCCCAGAGGCCCCACAGTGGGCATTAGGAATTCAACATATGAATTTTTGGGGACACAGACATTCAGTCTGTGTACCCCTTTCCTAGTTGAGTCACAGTCCTGTATTGTATTCATATTGGCATGCTGCTTCTCTTTAGTCATGGAAGAGTCAAAGTGTTATTCCTGATTGTGTATTCCTTCACAGATTATACAAGCTGCGATGTAAAAATGAGTCAGGGAAATGCAAATTTTACTGGCTGATTATTCCCCTTGCTTAAAATGCTCACAGTATATTTAAACAGTAAATTCATTCATAAAGAATAGAGGGACAGTGATGCATTACTGGGCAAGTACTGGACTAAAGGTGATGTGGTTGGTGATGACTTAAAATGGGCCATTAGTGACCCAAGGAGGGGCAGATCTTGAGAAGATGTTGGGGTAGGGGGAGTGATAGGGAGACTGATAGAGAGTAAGTGGAAGCAGATACTAGGTTAGGGCACGTAAAAAGTTATGACGATGAGAAGGTGAGCCGGGGGACTAGTTTATATTAGACCTGTTGCGTGAGGCTCTTTGAGCGCGCAAGAACAGAGACACAGTCAGGTTAACGATGGGGATTGTGAACAGGCCACACAGGAGACCATCTCAACAGCTACCCCATTATCTCTGGTAGCTCGATAGCCCAGCATCAGCTCTAGTAGTTGTCATCTGTGTAACTCCATTCCTTACTGTTTGTTTTTAGGGCATTACTGACTGCTGTGTCTTGCATGTAGACCCTGCAGGAAGGCTCTCGTAGGCCAATTATTCTCTTTGGGTGGCTTGAAGAAGTTACTTACCTTGCCTGCTGTTGAGCAGAGCACCAAGGTGCCATTAGACACGTGAGCCTGGTCTAAGCAGCCATGGCCAGGGTAGGGGATGGTTACATGGAACAAGTCATGGCGACTTTCGCACAGGAAGGGCCTATGACTGCTTTACTCAGAAGGGGATAGCTCAATTTGCAAGCATCTTGAGATTTTACAGCCTGACCAGTATACGTGGAATTTAGAAACAAACAAACAAAAAAACCTGAGCTGTTTTCCTCCTGTGGATGGCTTTGGGTTTCATCTGTTTGGATTGCTTCCAGACACTGAGCAAATACTGTGCTCGATTGGAAACGTCTGTTGTGGTGGCAAAATGGGAGAGTTGTTGCAGTGCCACACATACCTGTTACAGCTGGGTTAGGGAGGGAGACTGGTTTCTACTTCTTTTTAGTGCTTTGCTTACAGGGAGCCAGGGTGGTTCCAGAGTTTAGGGAAGGGGTGGGAAGAGTGCCTTGTCCAGGAGCTTGATTCTGTGGAATGCTGTTGATATTTAAGAGATTTTCCCCTCCTCCTGGAATTTGGTGAAGGAAAAGAGGATAGACCAAAGTTGAAGTTACTCTGTCTAGCCCTGCCCTTTGCTCTTACCAGAGTTCACCAGGATATTCCCTCTTACAGATGGATCATAGAGCAAGTTGATTACCCAGCCACAAGGAAATGCTTATATTATATATCCACCACTTGCTTTTGCAGCCAGTAACCTTAGTGACATGATGCTCTGGCCATTATCATGACTAAATGAGCCTTTAAAGTAATCATAATAAAAGCTGACATTTGTAGTACTCACTGTGAGCTGGGCAGTGTTCTTTCTATGCATATTAGCTCGTGTAAACCTCAACACTTTTTGAAGTAGCTACTGTTATTGTCTGTGTCCTATGTTCATTGTAGGAGGCCAGAGCAAGCTCATTTTCAAACCAGATCTCACTTTGGAAGAGGTACAGGCAGAAAATCCCAAAGTGTCCAGAGGCCGGTATCGCCCTCAGGAATGTAAAGCTTTACAGAGGGTCGCCATCCTCGTTCCCCACCGGAACAGAGAGAAACACCTGATGTACCTGCTGGAACATCTGCATCCCTTCCTGCAGAGGCAGCAGCTGGATTATGGCATCTACGTCATCCACCAGGTGAGCGTGGGGGCAGACCAGGGCCTGCCCTCGACCCTCCTCTTCTCTGCCAGACTTGGCCATGTGACTGTTTGTCTATGTTGGGTAAAAGGAACATCAGACTATCATCAAAAACGAGTTCTCTTACCTCATTTATCCTTGAAAGGAGTAGAGGAAATTCTTGTCTCAGAGTGTGGAGTTATGGGTTCAAGTTCTGGGAAATTTTACTGCCCTTAAAGGAACCTCTGGAGGAAGCCTGTTTTGTGAGCCCTTCCATGTTAGCCAATGACTGCCCTCAGATTTCCCCGGAGGCTTCCTGGCCCCTTCTGTTTCTTTCTGTGCGTGCCATGCACTATATGATGAGATTCTGGAATTGTCTGTCATTATCAACCATAGCAACTCAATGGGGATCTAGACAGAGGATTTGAAAGAACATTCTGTATTAGTAGCTGTGGTGCTCTATGGCTGCCACCACATTTCTGCCCTGAACTTTGCCACTATTTATTATGTGAAACATATTATGTTTGATTTTCACTTTCTGGATTCATCTATTTGACTTCCAGAAGCATGATTTGGTAGGAGCACAGCATAACTATCGGCTGCTTTTGAAGAGCTTACCTCTGAGGTCAGTGGAGTGGATGATTAAAGATACCTCTATTTGGCATTAAAGTTTATTGAAAGAAAACTAAGACATCAGTTTAAACATCAGTGTCTAAACTTTTCACAGTTATCCTTGGCCATCCAAGGAGGCCAAGAAGAGGGATAATTCCCCCTCAAATTCTTATAAATTCTAAGAATGTCAGCAAAATCATCACTACTGTTAGAACAGGTAATATTTCTTTTAGATAAAACTTTGGACAACTCAGAGGACCAGCTCTGCAGTATAGACTTGGTGATAAACTGAGGCTCTTGAAAATCAGTGTGCTTATATAGCACACCTATGTCTGTATTTTAGTACTTGGAACAAAATGTTACTATTATATTGTTTTATAGCTATTTTTGTTTTTAAGGTTGTTGGTCATAGTTATGATTTATTTGATTCTGAGTTCTTGCTCAGGACAGTAACCTACAAGGTATAGTACTATTTTTATGAATAGAAAAACATGTTTGCTTTGGGCCAGGCCCGGTGGCTCAGCACTTTGGGAGGCCAAGGTGGGTGGATCACTTGAGGATAGGAGTTTGAGACTAGCCTGGCCAGCATAGTGAAACCCTGTCTCTACTAAAAATACAAAATACTCTGTTAAAATACTAAAAAAAAAAAAAAAATTAGTTGGGTGTGGTGGCACATGCCTGTAGTCCCAGCTACCCAGGAGGCTGAGGCAGGAGAATCACTTGAACCCAGGAGGTGGAGGCTGCAGTGAGGTAAGATCACACCACTGCACTCCAGCCTGGGCAACAGAGCGAGATTCCATCTCAAATTAAAAAAAAAGAAAAAGAGAAAGAGAAAAATATGTCTGCTTCGTGTTATTCTTATCAGGAAAACATTGTGGTAACTTCTGAGAAATACTTGCACTTTTATGATAAACCACTTAACTGGAATTCATTCTGAAGGAATTTGAATGAAGCAGCCATGAAAAAATTATTTAATTTTTTTATTACAGCTTCAATCATATTACAGGTCAAACTGTGTTCTTTTATTGCCCAGTGACGAATCTACCTCCATAAGGCCACTGTGAGGATTAGCCTCCACCAGTAGCATTATAACAGGATTCTCTTACAGGGATTTCTGAGAAACTTTAAAGTAGCTTAGAAATATTAGCAATAACTTTCTCTTTCTATAGGTTGAGATTTCTTGATCCTTTCTGGCAAGCTATTAACTAAGTCTCTTAGAAGCTTAGTGTAAATTCATAACAGAGGGTAAGATTGGGATTACCTAGGGTTGAACTGTGAAGCAGTAATACTAATTGACATGACTAGTATATAAGAAAGGTTTTGTAGTTTTATACAGAATACGTAAAGGTATTTGTAAAATTTTAAGAGAAAATTTTTTTTTGTTAACTGTGGTAAGAATATTTAACATGAGAGCTATACTCAATACATTTTAAGTGTACATTATTATTGATTATTTGAGTTATTTGTATTTTAAAGCTGCTTTTAAAAAATTTTTAATTGTGAAACACACGATGTAAAATTTACCATCTTAACTTTTTTTAACTTTTTAAAATTTTTGCTATCTTAACTATTATTGAGTGTGCAGTTTAGTAATGTTAAGAATATTTACATGCAATGTATCTATGCATAATTATGCAATATATTGGTTGCATAAATATATGCAGTGTATTTATGAAATCAATCTCCAGAACTTAATCTTGCAAAACTGGAACTCTCTATCATTAAACAACAAGTCTTTGGATTTCAAGGACTGTTTCTAAGTTCTGGAATATAAGTATGTGTGAAGCACGAAGAAAAAAATCAAATGGTCTTTTATTGTCATTGCATCTTCTCTGTCAGATCTTTATGTCACAAGTGTAGTCTCGTGCGTAGAATAATTAGAATAATACCATCTCCTGAATCCTAACTAAGAGGCAAACAATATGAAACTTTATCTCAGGAGCTTTTCAAGTTTTAATTTTCATATCTCTAGGCTGAAGGTAAAAAGTTTAATCGAGCCAAACTCTTGAATGTGGGCTATCTAGAAGCCCTCAAGGAAGAAAATTGGGACTGCTTTATATTCCACGATGTGGACCTGGTACCCGAGAATGACTTTAACCTTTACAAGTGTGAGGAGCATCCCAAGCATCTGGTGGTTGGCAGGAACAGCACTGGGTACAGGTAAGGTGGTTCTGCTGAGGGTGGCTTAGGTCGAGAAGCTCAACTATTGTGATCAAGACTGGGTGGAACAAGCATCCAGAGTGTCATAAGAAAATGAGAAATAGAAAAAATGGTCCATAATGTATGCATCACTTAAAGTGCAAAACAGAAGTTAGAGAATGTAATGAGGAAAAAGCCCTACAACTTCAGCAGAGGATCACAAAGACAAGGGAAAGCATTGGAGAGAAATATCATCCAAGCATTGCAGGTGGTGGCCAGTCTCACCCGCAGCGCCCCTGTCGGGGGGCTTTCGCAAGCTTTCCCACACTGACTAGAATGCAAGTAACTTGTTTGTCTATTCCTGACTCCCCCTCTAGGAGGCAACAGGCTGGTGTCCTTAGTGAGACCTCTGTTGAGACATCACTTTCCAGACTGTGGCCTCTTTCTAGAGTATGGGGAGAGGTGGGGGAGGGCATGTCCTCTGAGTAGTCTTCTCGGGAGCCAGGACACCCAGGACAAGTTCATTTCTCTCAAAGCCACTGTGAGAAGTGCCAGATGCCATCATCTGTGTCTTCATTCCCCATCCCCTCCACCCTTAAGAAGGGTGTAGCTGCTTTTCAGCCTTATTTGATTCACCAGCTCCTATTCAAGCACAACCAAGCGGGAATAGTGACACAGAATGTTTCTCTGCAAATGAAACACTATATTCCCTCATTTGTGTGCACACTTACCTGTCAGCTTTCCCCAGGCCCTGCTGTTCATGGGTGCTCATATCTGTGGTGCTGACTGTGCTGGAGGCCATAAGACCAGTTTGAATAAGGCAGAGCACCTGCCCTCACAGGGCTCCCCGTTGAGTGTCAGTGTGGGGAGACAGGTAGCTACAGTGGAGTTGCGTTAATTTTGCATTTCTGCAAATACAACTATAAGCACTTGGTAAGGAGGGGAGAGAGGGACAAATGAAGAGAGGAAGAAGAAGGCAGGAGAGAAAGAACTGTGAAACTATCAAATAATGCTGGAGATTCCACCAGTATGTACTCTACGTGAGTGTGAAGTGGAAAGTGAGTCTCTTGATACCTCATTTGTTCTGGGCTTCTGTGTTGCTCTCTCACTTTGGGCAATTTAAGAGAATTCTTAAGTAACATTGATGTAGGTGACTGTTGCCTCAGGTACTGACTTTAAACCCCGGCTGTGTGTAAGCTGCAGGACATAAACACCTAGAACAAACTATGGTGGGTGAGAGCACAGTGTCTTTAAGAAACACCTTGAAGGGAAGGGTTTAAAGCTGTTCCCCAGGTAAGGTGGTACCTTAATCTTGTGGAACAACAAGAGCTTCTCAGCAGAGTTCCAAGACATGCCAGAGAGCACAGCGCAGTTTTGGGGAAAATGCAATAGTTCACTGGTATTCTAGAAGGAATGTCTGCGAGGAGAGGCAAGAACTGAGGCTAAGCAGGAGCCAGATTACGCAGGCCTTCTTTAGTCTGATATGGAGTTCGAAGTTGCTGTGGCAGGGGTTGGGGAGCTGTTGACACGTTACAGCTGGGGAAGGATGGGAGAAAGCTTGGTTCAGCTGATTTTGAATGTATCAGATGAAGCAAGGGAAGAGGGGAAAGCTGAGGGGAGAGACGCCACATGTCTGAGTTAGGGCGGGGGCTGTGGATCCAGAGGGCAAGGAGAGAATCCCATGATTTTTTTCTTTGGGGAAACTTGATCTTTGGATCTAATCTTATTATCTAGGGGTTTTGTTTTCTGGTTTCTTTGAGTCACTTCTGCATTGAGGAAAGCAGTGTATCATGGCTGGGCAACTTGGTTTTTTCAAAAGCATGTCACCATCTGTTCACTTACTCTGTAGTAAGATGTCACTATTTACAACACAGAACACCTGTACCTTAGACACTTACCATAGATGATAATCTTAAACTTCCCATTGCCCAGATTTTTTTAAACACCTGGTTGCACCATTCATTTCTAAGCAATCACAGAGGATTGCTTAAGGACAGGTTTTTTGCTGGGATTCTAGATTTTATCTTTCTATTAAGCTGAACCATAAGAAGGCTGAGCTCTTGGACATTCCTGCCAGGAACTGATTTTCACTCATGCTTTGGTGTCACAGTCATGGATTTCATCAGATGCCGCTCACTCTGAGAAACAGCATATGTATGACTCTTGCTGTTTCTAACTTGCCATTCTAACTGGCCAGATGTTTCTTTTATAACTAGGTATCAGAAAGCCTTTGTTGAGTAACTGACAGGTTTTCTTAATATGATTCAGGTAATTGAATGTGTTTCCCCTTTTGATCGAGAGGCTCTGAGCCAAATCCATGGCCCTCTTTTAGAAATTGAAAAGAATCTTATTTGCAGATCAGGGTTCTAATGTATTTCCCATCTTAATTTTCTATTCTGATTTAAATGTTTCTAGGGTCCTGGTTTATCATTTATGATTTTCTCTTTTTTGTATGTATCATGTAAGCAGCCTCATCTTTTGTGGCTGGAGAGAGGTATGTATAAGTAATGTAGGTAGGAGTTGCCTTCCTCCTGGACTACTTGATTTTGCTGCTTTGGGCAAAGTCCCTGTGGCAGGCAAGTTCATTTCCAGGCAGCTGAGTGTCTGCCCCGTGCTGGCAACTGTGTGCCCCAGTGCCACAGAGCTTAAGTCAGTACATGCCTCATCACTGTCACACCAGCCCCACAAGTACAAGCGCAAGAAAGGTTTTCACCTTACACACATGCAGAGGGAAGAAGTTAAAGTAAGTTGCCCCAAGTCTCTCAGACTCTGATGAAGCCAGAAACAAATCTTGTTTCTCACTGCCTATGGGATCAGTGATGAAGCTCTGGACCAGCCAGTGGCAAATTTTACTGGCAAGAACTCCTTTGGTACCAGCCTCCTTCCTACAAGGATTCTATTGTTATTTTATGACTACGTTTTCCCCACCCTTGGGCCTTACAGGGCTTTAAAAATAAATAAAAAGGTTCCAGGGCCAGTTAAATATTTATGCTTTTACAGGTAAGAAGAAAAGCCAAAAGCAAAGATCAATAAACACAGAGATAGTTGTCATCTGACAGGCACCTGAGAAACAGTTCCTTTTTTTTTTTTTTTGAGACAGAGTCTCACTCTGTTGCCCAGGCTGGAGTGCAGCGGTGCGATCTTGGCTCACTGGAACTTCCACCTCCCGGGTTCAAGGGATTCTCCTGACTCAGCCTCCTGAGTAGCTGGGACTACAGGCACGTGCCACCACGCCCAGCTAATTTTTTGTATTTTTAGTGGAGACGGGGTTTCGCAGTGTTAGCCAGGGTGGTCTCGATCTCCTGACCTCTTGATCCGTCCGCCTTGGCCTCCCAAAGTGCTGGGATTACAGGCGTGGAGAGACAATTCTTTAACCCTTCTTGCTGACTTGTCTTCTTCTGCCCCTCCCCACTCCAGCTCACCCCTCTCCAGGTGGTCGTCGGGCAGCCTGTGTCTTTCTCCCTCCTGTGCTTTGCCTCACAGAGTTGTGGTCACCAGGAGATCCCCCATTTTTCTGCCTATTTGAATCCTTCCAGGCCCCCTCCTCCTGATGTGGCGACACCTCTCTCCTCAGAACCCTGATAATGTTCACCTCTCTTATTAGGTTATAAACTCTGAGGGCGGGGCTCCCGCATTCCCGTGTTTAGCCAGCCGTCTTGCACATGGCGATATTGGTTTTGATAATCTACCACATCATTCCCTTGTTCTCATGCTGATTGCTTGTTGGTGTCAGCAGGTTATGCCTGCCTTATTACCGCATCCTGATCAGGCAGCTGGTGTTCAGGCAGCTAAGAATCCCTCCCCTCTATAAAATGCATTCTGATAACTATGGTAATGAGACACTGCTAGTAGATGTCTTGGTCAGTGATATTTACCTTCTAAGCACTTTATTTCCTTTTTTTTGTTTTATTATAGGCTGCAAAAATACAATTTCCCAGAATTTTAAGTTAGGGGCATATAAGTAAATCTGCTTCTCTTATGGGTTAAACAGAGTCCCCAGTCTTTTCTCAGAACGTAGAAAGAAACAACTGAACTACAGATTAGCTTTTGGGATGCCACTTGTTTGATGGCCAGTGTCTACATGTTTATTGATCACTCCTTTTGGTTTTTCTTTTTATCTAGAAAATCATAAATATTTTATCGGTCCTGGAACAGTTTGACCTGAAGTTAAAGTTAAAAATTCTCTAGATATTCACATCTTTTTATTTAGTAACATCCAAGTTTTTAAGCTACCTTAACTTGCATTTCTGAATTGTTCAAATGTTATATTTAAGGGATACCTTTATTTCTGAGATTTACAAATTTGTCCACTGATAATAAGAGTCCTATATAACTGGGAGGCTGGGAGGTGCTCTCTAACTTTTACCTCCTGATCTTTCTCCTCTTGCCTCTTTTTCTTTTCGGTATTCCTAGGGTTCCACAGAGCTGAGCCCCTTGGGTCTACCCTTTGTACTCTTCTCACCAACTAGATTGTTGGAGATTTCTCGACCTATGCCTTCAGGTACTACATGATAACAGCTTATTTCCAAAGCCATATCTGTAGTCGTTCCTCTCTTGTGAGCTTGGACCCTGTATCCTTTTGCCTACTGGCAAAGCCCCAGGTGTATCTAAAATTCAGCTTATCTAAAGCATGATTCACTGTCCTTCCTTTCAAAACCTAATTCTTGTTCTGTACAGCCTATTTTCATGAAAAGCACTACCTAGACTCTGTCTGGTTGGCAGGCCAGAAACTTCAGAGGGTGTTGACATGTGTTGGGTTATCCAGGAAACAGACTCTGAGCTGGAGATGCATGTTGAGAAGTGGAGATTTGCATACAGAGTGTGTGCGGGAGCTGTCTCCTGCCTTCAACCCTCCCCTGCAAAAGTGAAAGTGAAAAAAAAGAAAGGTATATTCATCATGACACGCATTCGTGCTGAACCCGGATGCAGCCTCAGAATCCTTCTTAACCCAGTGCCCTTGGCAACTGTTACCATTCCTTGGATTGGCACATGAGATGAAATCTTATCAATATCTGATGGTGTGGTTCACATTGACAGGTATCTCTATAGGCCTCTACACACAAACATCACCATTAACAGCTGGGTGGCACTTTGCTCAGTGAGCAGAGGTGAGCGTTTGTCTAGATAGAGGAAAGAAGACAAGACAGGGAAGGCCAGGAGCATTGGGAGGTGGGTGTCAAGCAGGAGAAGCAGGAGTGGGTGGGTGGAAGTACATGGTCTCCCAGGTGTTCCTAGAACGCCAGCCCTGAAATCAGAGACCTTTGGTGCGAATATTCTTACCATTTCTCTCATCTCTTTTGCTCCAGGTTACGTTACAGTGGATATTTTGGGGGTGTTACTGCCCTAAGCAGAGAGCAGTTTTTCAAGGTGAATGGATTCTCTAACAACTACTGGGGATGGGGAGGCGAAGACGATGACCTCAGACTCAGGTGAACAACAGAGAAAGGTCCCCTTCACGGGGCTCTGCACTCAGTGTGGCTCTGGAGACCTGCATTTATATTTATTCCTTTAGATGCCAGTCCAGCAGGTCACTAGGCTGCAGATTTGGGCTTGAAGGGTGCAGGGGGTGGAGGGAAGGTAGGATGGCCCACATCATTCTGTGCCAGTAGCAGTTTACTTCTGGCCTGGGGGCATTTGGGGTCCAGAAGTGTTGGTGGAGGCCTCATGTACTTGTCGGGAAAGACTTACTGAGACACCAGTGAGTGAGAAACCCCAAACTGCAAGGTGTCTGCTGAACTGCAATTTGGAGACCGGGTTGTTAAGAGCCTCATGCTTTCTGTCAGACCCCTTGGGGACACAGTTCCCAGTGTCCCCCTGCAGGGAGTGCCAGCAGCCTCTGGGGAGCTGCACATGTTGAAGCAGGCAAAGAGGTCCTCTCCTCAAGCGTTAGGCAGCCCTGGCAGCCCTGCACGCTGTGGAGACTGCAGGTGGCCTGACCCCAGGCCTGACTCTGGGCTGTTGACATTACCCTGGGTTCTCTTGGACTGCTTTCTGCTCTGAGGGGCTCAAAGGGAATAAGTCTGGCCTCCACCCACAGCTTCTTCCCCTCAACTTGGATTTGGGGGCCAGATAGTTATAGTTATCCCTGCCTCCCAGAAATAAGTAATTATTCAAGAGCTTAGGCTGGTATCTTTAGACTTGTAATCACAAGGCCATTCTGGGTGTCAGGAGGCCCCCTTCCCTCCTGCTTGTTGCCTCTTGGAAAAGAAATTCTTTTTTTTTTTTTTTTTTTTTTTGAGACAAAGTCTCGCTCTGTCACCCAGGCTGGAGTGCAGTGACGTGATCTCGACTCACCGCAACCTCTGCCTCCCGGGTTTGAGTGATTCTCCAGCCTCAGCCTCCCGAGTAGCTGGGACTACAGGCGTGTGCCGCCGTGTCTGGCTAATTTTTTTGTATTTTTAGTAAAGGCCAGGTTTCACCATATTGGCCAGGCTGATCTCGAACTCCTGACCTCAGGTGATCTGTCTGCCTTGGCCTCCCAAAGTGTTGGGATTACAGGTGTGAGCCACTGTGCCTGGCTGGAAAGGAAATTTCTAACCTGGGGCTCTGAATTATTAGTTACGTGACTGTCAGAAATTTTTTTGTTGCCTCATCATAAAGAACCCAGGGGCTCCATGCTGCTCTTGTTCCCATGTCTAGGCTGAGAGCCTCTGGAATGTTTCTAGCAGGAGGGAGTGGATTCCCCTGACCAGGGGCTCTACAGAAATGGCCGTAGTGATGGGCAACAGCTCTTCACAGCCCAGCCCATCAGCAGCCTATGTGGTCATGGCTTAGGAACTGGACAGAGGGTACGTGCTACATTTCAGGACAAGAGTAGCAAAGGCTAGTGATAAACAATCCCCATTATCTTCCCTAAATGTACTTCACTGGGGTGATTAGTAGAATTTTGCCCTGATCACATATCTTCAGTGTCTTCTTTCCTGCTATGCTTCAGCTTCAAAGTAGAGGGGAGCCTCCAATTTTGCTTTCATTTGAAAAGACCATCATGGCCTTCAGAATGGTTTTTGACTAATGTGGTAGATAAACTAAGATGATTTGAATATGAAAGTTGGTTGAGATTTACTGCTTATTTATTCGCCTGTGCAACAGGCACTACCCTTCTTTGTACTTATATAATACATATAATACATTGCAGAGTACAAGCATGTTCCATGCAGATTATATCATTTGAATATTTGAAATCAACTCCCTATCACCATTGCCATTTTACAGATGAGGGAACTGAGACCTGGAACTGTGAACTGACTTACTGAGGTTGTAAATAACAGAGTCCAGATTTGAACCTAGAATTGTAGCTTTAAAACTTGTGACCATAAATGGCCATTCCTTTCTTTGTTAAAAGAAGGCAACTCTAAGTAAATTGGGGATCCTAACAGACTTGATTCTCCTATTCTTCAGGATGTTTTGAAATAAGTACTTTATCATTTTTTTTTCTTTTTGAAAATGACTAAGTATAAACTAACACATCTCCTTTGTACCCCAGTAATAAATGCTGAATCTCATTCTTTTTTGGGCTTATCGCCTGAAGTTCCACCATTATAAGAAATTGGAAATTTTAGAAGTTTTTCTTTTTTTAATACTCCAATAATCAAGCTGTTTGTGACACTGTGTGTGTGTGTGTGTGTGTGTGTGTATGTGCGTGTGTGTGTATAAATTTTCGCAAATGATGCTTTTTATTTGCCTAGTGGTAGATAAATAGGATGGACTTTAAAAAAATCTCTATTATTTTTCTAGGGTTGAGCTCCAAAGAATGAAAATTTCCCGGCCCCTGCCTGAAGTGGGTAAATATACAATGGTCTTCCACACTAGAGACAAAGGCAATGAGGTGAACGCAGAACGGTAAGTCCTGGCTTCACCTGCCTAGCAGGCTACCTCCCTAGTCTGTTCTGTCAATAAGGACTATGTTGAATTCGATCAGATTTGAGCCAGTTCATTGTGTTAAAAGATTTTTATTAAGCAAATTTTCAAACAGACACAAAAGGAGAGAAAGTGGTGCACTGAACCCTCACGTCTACAGTTCTCAACTCATGGCCTCTCTTCTTTCCCTCAGTTTTTTTCTTACCCCACTGGATTTAGAAATGTGTCACAGATGTCATAGCATTTCATGTGTAACTGCTTCAGTATGTATTCTTAAAATATAAGCAATTTTAAAAAAGGAATCAGAATACCATTATCATACCTAGAATAAAATTAACAATATCTCCTTAATGTCATCAAATGTCTAGTCAGTGTTAAGTACTTTTTTATTTTTAAAACCAGTTGATCAGATCAGTGTCTAAACAAGGTCCACATTGCATTTGAATGATCTCTTTTAATATGTAGGTTCCCTCTCCCTTTCTTTATGTGTTCCTTGATATTTATTTGTGGAACAAGCCAGATTATTTGTCCAATAGAATTCCTTGCATTATGGATTTTTCCAATTGCATCCTGGTAGTATAACTTAATATGTCCTCCTGACCTCTATTTTCTCATAAACTGGTTGTATTAGTCAGGGTTCTCTAGAGGGACAGAACGAACAGGATAGATGTATATATGAAGGGGAGTTTATTAAGGAGTATTGACTCACACTATCCCAAGATGAAGTCCACAATAGGCCGCCTGCAAGCTGAGGAACGAGGAAGCCAGCCCGGGTCCCAAAACCTCAAAAGTAGGGAAGCCAACAGGGCAGCCTTCAGTCTGTGGCCAAAGGCCCGAGAGTCCCTGGCAAACCACTGGTGTAGGTCCAAGAGTCCAGAAGCTGAAGAACTTGGAGTCTGATGTTCAGGGTCAGGAAGCCCAGGAGAAAGATGAAGGCCAGAAGACTCAGCAAGTTGGCTTCTCCCTTCTTCTGCCTGCTTTATTTTAGCCTCGCTAGCAGTTGATTAGATGGTGCCCACCCACATGGAGGGTAGATCTGCCCCTCCCAGTCCACTGACTCAAATGTTAATTTCCTTTGGCAACACCCTCACAGACACACCCAGGAACAATACTTCACATCCTTCAATCCAATCAAGTTGACACTCAGTATTAACCATCACACTGGGATTTCTCTGCATTTCTGGAGACTTGAACAGAATCTTATTTTTGGGCAAGAATTTTCATTTATGGTGTTGTGTACTTCCTCCAGTGTCACAACAGGAGGATGTAATGTCTGGTTGTGTCATTTTGTGATGTTAGGATTGATCTGTGAGTTTCGATATTGCCAGTCTAATCTATGCATTGTGAGATTCCTCATCAGTTTTTTACCTAATGACTTCAGCAGTCATTGATGCTTGATTTCTAAATTTATTATTTAATTAGGAGTTGCAAAATTGTAATATTCTAATTCTATTGTTCCTTCTGCATTTATTAGATTTTTCTACAAAGTACTTTCCCTTTTCATGTATTTGGGTACTCTGGGGTATAGTTTTTATAGGAAAGGCAGAATAAAGAGAAAAGAGTCAAGCACTGATTAAAAATTTTTCAGACTAATGACTTGGTGTTTCCTAGCATCCTTCAGGATGTAGTTCTTGTACTTTTTGGTACTCATATTGTCTCATCTTTGGCCAATGGGATCTTCTTCAAGCTGGGTCCTGAATCCCAGTAGTCCTCGAGAGCTTCCCTCCCTGTGCTCTGCTGTGATGAAATGTTCTAGGCTCTTCTTGTACTTTTCCTGCCTTGGGAATTGGCCTATTCACAAGGAATCCTGGCAGATAAGCCAGTTCTTATGAGGCTTTGATTGAAGAATCTGTATTTCTTTGTTCTGATTTTTCCCCTTAAATTTTCAAACAGTCTTAAGGGGTTTTTAGTGCTTTTGTTATAGTCTACATTTTAAAACAATATTAAAGTGCTTTTAGCCTGATATTAAACAGTCCTGTTAAAGTTCATTTATTTTTTTCTGAGGCAGGGTCTCGCTCCCAAGCTGGAGTGCAGTGGCGTGACCATGGCTCACTACAGCCTCGATCTCTCAGGCTCAAGCAATCCTCCAAGCTCAGCCTCCCAAGTAGCTGGGACCACAGGCATGTGTCACCATGCTTGGCTAATTTTTTTTTATTTTTTGTAAAGACAGGGTCTTCCTGTGTTGCCAAAGGCTGGTCTTAAACTCCTGGGCTCAAGCAGTCCTCCTGCCTCAGCCTCCCAAAGTTCTAGGATTACAGCATGAGCTACCATGCCTGGCCTAAAGTTTATATTTTAAAGCATTATTAAATGGCTTTTCACCCTTTTGGTAGAGTCAACCACTCCAACAAAATAGCTATTTCTATTTTCTATGTTTTTCTAGTCATTGTCCATAGGTATGCATTTTTCTCTTTATGTTAAAAAAATTAATTATTGAGTAGATACAAAAGAGTATTCCTAAATTGTATGAAAAGTATGAAGATTCTTGATGCCATGAACACTGCTGATATCTCCTACCCCCACTTTGAGTGCATGACCTGTGTGGTCCTCCCTAATTCTGTAGTCTCCTCCTTCACATCTCCCCTATCCACCTACCCAAGTAACACTTCTCTGAATTTTTGTGATAAGTATTTGTGATAATGATAGTTATTTCTGCTGTTTCTTGGTTTTCTTGTTTTCCCATATGTTTGTATCCCTAAACAAAAGATTGCTTAGTTCTGCATGTTTTTCAACTTTATGTAAATGAAATCACACTGCATTTATTCTTCTCTGACTTTATTTAGCTGAACATTATGCATCTGATCCCCATCCATATTGTCATGGGTAACTAGCATTTATTGTCTTCACTGCTGAACAAGTAGAACCTATTCAGTTCACTGCCCACTTGTCTTCCCAGATTCCATGGTTCTGGCCACACTAGTGACTTCTTTAAATGCATCCTGCTCTTTTGCGTCTGTGCATCTTGCCCAGGGTGGTCTCTCTGCCTGGAGTGCTTTTTCCTTCACCTTCTTCACTTGGTGGATTTCTCTCTTTCAGCGTTACTGAAATTTTCCTTCTCCCTGACACCTCACCCGACTTCCTCATGAAGTTAGGTCTCCCTTCATTCATCCTCATCTACATACATTCTAATTTTTTTGGAGGCTCGTGAAAGCTATGTACCCACCTACAGACAAACTTTCCTTATAACATAGGAAGATTCAGAGATCCCCTGAAGCTCAGCCAAGGATCAGTTAGCAATGGTTGGTACATATCCTGTAGTATCTGTATTCCTTGCACATCCTTCTGTCCTGTAGACTGGGGGCTCACTGAGTGCAGTGACACTTTTCATCATGGGTCCCCGGGTTCTCACGTGGAGTCTGACACATGAATACATGGCTATCATGTCTGTCACCTTCAATGGGGCAAACAAACTTTGTAATGGTAGGAAACACAACAGGTACAATAATTTACAAAAATATGTTTGCCACATTTCAGGGCAAGGCAAAATGCAGTGGAGACATATGTTAAATTCTTATCATTCACATTTGTTCTTTTTATCTTTAGGATGAAGCTCTTACACCAAGTGTCACGAGTCTGGAGAACAGATGGGTTGAGTAGTTGTTCTTATAAATTAGTATCTGTGGAACACAATCCTTTATATATCAACATCACAGTGGATTTCTGGTTTGGTGCATGACCCTGGGTCTTTTGGTGATGTTTGGAAGAACTGATTCTTTGTTTGCAATAATTTTGGCCTAGAGACTTCAAATAGTAGCACACATTAAGAACCTGTTACAGCTCATTGTTGAGCTGAATTTTTCCTTTTTGTATTTTCTTAGCAGAGCTCCTGGTGATGTAGAGTATAAAACAGTTGTAACAAGACAGCTTTCTTAGTCATTTTGATCATGAGGGTTAAATATTGTAATATGGATACTTGAAGGACTTTATATAAAAGGATGACTCAAAGGATAAAATGAACGCTATTTGAGGACTCTGGTTGAAGGAGATTTATTTAAATTTGAAGTAATATATTATGGGATAAAAGGCCACAGGAAATAAGACTGCTGAATGTCTGAGAGAACCAGAGTTGTTCTCGTCCAAGGTAGAAAGGTACGAAGATACAATACTGTTATTCATTTATCCTGTACAATCATCTGTGAAGTGGTGGTGTCAGGTGAGAAGGCGTCCACAAAAGAGGGGAGAAAAGGCGACGAATCAGGACACAGTGAACTTGGGAATGAAGAGGTAGCAGGAGGGTGGAGTGTCGGCTGCAAAGGCAGCAGTAGCTGAGCTGGTTGCAGCTGCTGATAGCCTTCAGGGGAGGACCTGCCCAGGTATGCCTTCCAGTGATGCCCACCAGAGAATACATTCTCTATTAGTTTTTAAAGAGTTTTTGTAAAATGATTTTGTACAAGTAGGATATGAATTAGCAGTTTACAAGTTTACATATTAACTAATAATAAATATGTCTATCAAATACCTCTGTAGTAAAATGTGAAAAAGCTTTGAGTGTTCCTTCGTGTTTTTTATTGTTCTTTGAGGCCTACAGATATGTTCATTTCAGTATCCATAATTCTAAAGAGCTTAAAAACAGAACAAATGAAACAAAGCCCTCCACTACTTCTGTCTCCCGTCCTTCTGTCCCTCTCTTGTTTGTCTCATTTGTGACCTCCTTGTGGAACCAGCTCCAATCTTACGATAGGCCCGTCCATGTCTCACTCCCTGGGCCTCTCCGTGAATGCATTATGCTTATCATGCAAGCCCTAGGGGTTCTCAATCCATCATTATTGTATGACACCTCAACAGTTAAACTTTAACAAGAATGAGTGCCAGCCAGGAAGTTTAAATAATATCTAATCCTTCCCAAGCAGGGAGAGAGGGAGTAGGAAGTTTGGTGCTCCTAAGATAAAACAGGAGTTGTCACCACCCAAGTGGGGAAGGAGAATTTGAAAGGACAATACACTTCATAGGCATGAAACGTTTACCTAGGGCTAGCTTGGTTTAGCTTTTAACTCAGCACAGGGAGCAAAAGAGCAAAAGTGGTTATTTTTCTTTTCCTTTTTTTTTTTTTTTTTCTTTTTGCGACAGGGTCTTGCTCTATCACCCAGGCTGGAGTGCGGAGGTGCAGTCTCGGCTAACTGCAGCCTCCACCCCCCAGGCTCAAGTGACAATCCTCCCCCCGTCAGCCTCCTGAATAGCTGGGACCACAGGCGCACACCACCATTCCCAGCTATTTTTTTGTATTTTTAGTAGAGATGGGGTCTCACCATGTTGCCCAGGCTGGTCTTGAACTCTAGAGCTCAAAATCAATCTGCCTGCCTGGGGTGCCCAAAGCGCTGGAATTATAGGTGTGAGCCACAGTGCCCGGCCATGTTTTTTTCTTTACTTAGCAGAGAAATACTCAGGGTTTTCATGTTTTTTGCTCAAACTTTGTAAAGGAGCTTCATTCTTGGGAGATTTGCTAATGAGGCTGTAGTCTGTTGAGTAAATCTCTCCCTCACTGTCCCTTCTCTTTTCTGTAGAAACTTTGTCTAGAGCTCTCTCCCAATTTGCTTGACTATGACCATATTAACAGACGGTAATTGAGAGGTTGTAGGTCCCTCCCTCATCATGGTTGGGAAGGGCAATGGAAGAGAATGGTGTGTGCAAGGAATTTGAAGATCTGTATTTGAGAACTCAATTTCTTACTCAATGGAAATGGAGTATAGCTAGTACCATGCAGAAACTCTCTTGTGTTTTTTTGACATCTGCAATTTTTTAACTGTTGGAAACCACTGAATGATGCCTTTTATTTTTCTTCAGGTAATTCTTTCAACCAAGATAATCTAAAAGTCCCTTAAATGACTTGTTATGGAACTTCTTGAGGTGGAAGATAGTTTTTTAAGACCTTGACACTGCCATTGTGACACTTTCCCTGCACTGGGGCATCAAAGGCTGGTGACACGGGGCATGAGGCCGCCTGCCCACTCACTGCTGCCTCCCTCCCTGCTCTTGCCTCCCCACTGGGCAGGGGGTTTGGCTTCAAAGGAACTGGCTTCCTCCAGTTCCTGCCCTGTGCATTTTCTCATAGTTGCCAAAGAGGCCTACTGTTTTAAATATTGTAGAGACAGCTATGCCTACTATAATTGCTAAGGATTATGTGGGGGCAGGCTATTTGGATATCACAACTACCTAACACAAAGAGTGTGTTACTTTGAAGTTTTCATTGATTTTTTTTCCTCACCTATACTGGCATTCATTTCTATAGTGCTTTGCAGTTTGTGATATCTTTACACACACTTTATTGGTGCCGCTTACTCTTTTTTTTTTTTTTTTTTTTTTTGAGACAGAGTCTCACTCTGTCACCCAGGCTGGAGTGCAGTGGCACAATCTCGGCTCACTGCAACCTCCACCTCCTGGGTTCAAGTGATTCTCCTGCCTCAGCCTCCCAAGTAGCTGGGACTACAAGCATGCCTCACCATGCCCGGCTAATTTTTGTGTTTTTAGTAGAGACGGAGTTTCACCATATTGGCCAGGCTGGTCTTGAATTCCTGACCTCAGGTGATCCGCCTGCCTCTTCCTCCCAAAGTACTGGGACTACAGGCGTGAGCCAATGTGCCTGGCCGATGCTTCTGACTCTTGAGGTAAGAGGGCAGTTGAGTAAGTTGAGTAAGTAGAGGTCTCAGCCAGGAGGGTGCCTTGCCAGGAGTCTCACAGGCAGCAAATGGCAGATTCTGAGCAAAACTCGGGCCCTTTGACTTTCAAGACCATTACATCATATTGCCTTCTTCTTGGCTTCTCTACTTCTTTGTGGTAATTTTCCTGAATGTGTGTCATTGTCTTAATTCCTACAGAGAGTTAGTATTGTCTGGACCCTGGAAAGTGCATTCCTGTTCTCAGCTGCTCTCAGAACTTTGTCCCCAACTCCATCTGTAATTTTTCTGCCCTTACCCCCATCACTTCCACTCAAGCCCCAATGGATAGATTTCCTGGGAGCCCCAAAATGCTCTGTGAATGGACTTGAGTGAGATAAAAGACATTTTCTCCCAGACTTGAAATTCACTTTCCCCAATCCTATTCATATATGCAGTCCCTACCAAAAACCATTAACATGTTCTGCAAGATGAAGCATATTCAGGTACATTTCATAAGTTCTTTTTCACCAATCACATTCTATAACTTAAAAAAAAAACCCTCTATCCTTAGTGCCTTCGATATTTTATGCTATTTCTACCTTCGTTGATTTTTTTGTATATGCATAACCATCTTATACCTGCTGAGAGGGCCTGATCATTCTAAAAGTATACACAAGGGAGTGGTTTAGAGGTTCCACCCCTAGGAAGTACACCTGTACAGGTAAAGCCTCCATTGTTCCATTGATAATTGTTAAGATTTAAATAAAATTATCAAACCTTGTGTGCCCATGTGTGGAGTGTGAGTGTGTGTGTGTGTGTGTGTGTGTGTGAGAGAGAGAGAGAGAGAATGAGAGAGAGATGTGGGGGCTTGGAGCAGAGGTTGGTGAAGGGTGGGACATAATAATAAACTAAGTGCTTGCTCTGTATCAGTTTCCTTGATATAACCTCCTGATTGGCATCTCTTATAGACCGATGCACACTGTACGTATCTTACTGAATCCTCCCAGTCCTGTGTGAGGAGAGACCAGTTTTTCTGAAGCAGGCTCCAAGAAGCTAAGTGACTTGTCAAAGAGCTGGGATTTGGAGCCAAGTACTTTGACTCCAGAGTTCATGTTCTTAACCACTTCATGGTGATGGATAAATAAATACACCTACACCAGGAAGGAATAAATACATCCTATTTCCTAGAGGAAATAAGGATTGGAAGACTAACTTGGAGAGTGTCAATGCTCTTCAGCCAAAACCCCCCAGGAACACATTGCAGATAAATTAATTGGGTTAGAGTTGATCAAAGGGTACAAAATTTCAGTTGGAGGAATAAATTCAAGAGCTCTATTTTGAAAAAAATTGGGATTGTGACTAGTTGCAATCGTTGCAGTGAGTGAGAACACACCATGGGGGATCCATGAAGCAACTCAGTAGAAGGAAGTTAGAATTATTACAGCATTTGGGCTTTGGTTGGGTCATTTGGGGAGGGTCCAAGAAAGGGTTTGCTCTGTTGGATATTATCAGAAAGCAGGGGCAAGTCCATGGTTGTTTATTTCAATAAGTTTTATTTGTAGGGAGGGAGACTAGCAAGAGAATAAAGCTGTAATTGGGAAGACATAGCAGTCACTAATTTTAGCCAAGAAAGCAGGTGTTTGGTTTTTTGTGGGTGGCACAGTGACCTTGTTTTTGTCTATGCATAGACAAAATTATGCAGTGGCCTTGGCTTGCCTCGTTTTGTCATGGTCTCAGAGTGACCCTATGAGGCTGGTATTCTGTGAGATTGTTTATGTCTAACAGGAGAATAGTTGAGCCTAGTTGTGAGTGCCTCACCAGCATCTGTTGCTCTGTAGTTCTTTTTCAAGAGGAACTCAGGGTAGAAACCACTAGAAAGTAGGGCATGACAGTACCATTTCTCCAAACTCCAGGATTTGACTATTTGTGTCTTAACAATGTGGAGTGGGGGCGTGTGCTGGGGGAAGGGTTGGTTGGAGAAGTGTATGGGATCTCTGTTTCTCGGCAAGGCTGCCTTTCTCTACAATGTTTCTGGATCCCTTTACGGGATCTGGCCACTTGAGCCTTATAATACAATAGCAAACTCAGTAGTCTATAGCTACCCTTCTTTGGGGTTCTTCTTTGATTCAGTCTCACTTATACAGGCTGAGAAGGATCTGGAAGAGACACTAGAGGAAATACTAGACCCAGAAGGAGAAAGGAAATTGTTCCATCAATAGAAATGAGAAACCAGCTTAGTTTCTAATTCCTCAACCACAACACAGGTTGTCAGATTGGTTGGGGTGGGGGTGTGAGATTGAGAGGAGGTTAGATTTTCAAGTTCACATGACTAGTATTCCTTTTATGGGTAGCCAGAAAATATCTGATCTTCTGTTTAAAATAGAAGCAGTTCCTGTTTATTCCAGCTGATGTAGAGAAAGAAAAGCTACAAGGCTGACAAGTAGGAGCAATGGGCTTTTAAAAATTAAATGACAGACTGTTTGCCTGCCAGGAGCCTGTGGAGCAATCTAGGGATGGAAATGGCCAGCCAAGAGAGCATGATGACCCGCCTGGCGTTGCAATCAAGTAAAACTTACCCAAATTAGCCTGACACATTTTTGGTGTTAGTAATTATTCTTTGCCCACCTGATAAGCAGGTGTTGAAGAGGGAAGTTTCACAAGATAGTTGTGTCTGGGCCTGTCTCACACTCAGCAAGCTGCCAGATCCCTAGAGCCAAGCCGCCTGGTTCCCCTTTGCCTCCCTGGTTTGCTGGGGCTGGGGCTGGGGCTGAGCCTGGGCCTGCCTGAGCATTGGCTTGGGGCCACTTCCAGTCCCTGGAGCCAGAAGGAAGAGGGGCAAGGCTGGGCCTCCAGGGAAGGTGGAGGGACATGGGAGCAGGAACTGGGCAGAATAGAAACTGTCCTGAGGTTAAAACAGGAGAGCCCTGTAGAGGGAAGCACAGGAGTCCTGAATGGCCAGACTCTCTGCAGGGTGATCCTCAGACCTCGTTTCTGTCTTAGCTGAAAGGTGTGTCCTCCTCAAGTGTTGGAGCCCCAGGACATAGTGGGTGCCTGTGTTTAGGACCTTATTTGGTTTTGGAAGGAGCAGAGCCTGCCCCCATTTATAGTGGACTTTGCACCTTCTATAAAGGAGGCTGAGGCTGCAGGAAGGAAACTAGCTGGAGAGGGGGCAGGGGGCAGTGGCTCACTGACGGCCCCTTCTCTTTTAGTTATTGCTTGGTAAGGAAGTCAGGGGATAAGATTTAAGGAATAGTAGGTGGGCCATCTTGTCCCGCAATGGCTCTTTCATGCTCCCACTGCTGTGCTGGATTCCACCAACTAGAGATCAACCTCAGTTATCAAGAAAACGTCATAGAGATTGAGAGAGTGGAGTTGAGTTGTCACCCACTCCTTAGTATGAATTGGTTTCCAAAAAGGCCTTCCCCTAACCTAGCCGAGATCTAATCATAAGAAGGGAATTTTGCTACTTGGGTGGCTGAGGCAGGAGAATCGCTTGAACCTGGGAGGTGGAGGTTGCAGTGAGCCGAGATCGTGCCATTGCACTCCAGCCTGGGCAACAAGAGTTAAACTCTGTCTCAAAAAAAAAAAAAAAAAGGGGGGGGGGGAGGGAGGCGGGGAATTTTGTATGTAGAGAGAATTTTGGAGCATGAAGCCCTGGAAGGGAAGTAGGAGTGGGTTTGGGGCAGGAATTGCTCAGGCAGTCGGGAGGTGAGGGCACTGGAAAGCCCAGTGAGTGGTGGAGGCAAAAGGCACCAGAACACACAGGAGAGAGTGTGCGGAGGAAAATGAGAGCACGGCTGTTTCAAAGCTTTGCCCAGAGGAAGCTCCTTCCCTGTCCTCCTGTCTTCTAAAGGACCACAGAGAGAACCTTCTCAGCCAAGCACAGGTGTCATTTATCTCGATATCCCATGATCTTCATTCAGGAGAGACAAGGCAGGCCAAGGAGAGGTGAACTGGCTGTGCTGTCAGGACATGGACATTTGGTTCCCTCTCCTGGGAATCAGGGATCGGGCTCCTGCGCCAGCTTTACAACCAAGGCAAGTCCCCTCCAATCCTCCTTGTCTTTCCCCTACCCCCACGCTCAGCCTCACTCACAGGTACCCGGTGGGGGCATGGGATGGGGGTGCTGCCTGCGTCTGAGTCAGCTGGGAGCAGGACGCCAAAGTGTTTTCTTCATGAAGGACACACAGTTCTGCAGTTAGCATGGGCGAGGTTTCCACTGCTTTCAATTGCATGAGGTAAATGATTTGAAGAGCATTAGTCTCATCACTGCTTCTGGGGTAAGTGTAGCAGGAGCAAAAAGTAAAAGTGAGCGTAGAAGTTCCCACCGTTTAACTGTAAGGCAGCGTTTGCCAGCATCCAGCAGGAAGCCACACCCTGTGTCTGCAGTTTCTACCTCCTCCACTTTAATTCCCATGCTTTAGGCTTTTCTGTTGGAAAACCCATTTTGTTAGACTCATATATGACATTGGTAAAAATGAAAGTGAACAGATTTTAAAGCTGTCTTTACTTATAAGACCAGACAAATGTTGAGTTATAAGAATTTCCTTCAGGACCACAAATGGAAACATAGTGCAGATGAGAAATATTTTGACAGTAAACAGAAATCCCTGTAAATCACCCCATTCTATTGGCTGGCTTGCTTCTCTCCAGTTTGAAATGGTCTCAAGCTGAGACCATTCAGGGCAAAGACTGAGTAAATATATAACAGGCACCTTGTCTGTCCCCAGAAGTCCCCACGCTTTTTTGTTTGTTTTGAGACAGAGTCTGGCTCTTTCATCCAGGATGGAGTGCAATAGGTACGATCTCAGCTCACTGCAACCTCTGTCTCCCGGTCAAGTGATTCTCCTGCGTTAGCCTGCCAAGTAGCTAGGATTACAGGCACCTGCCATCACGCCTGGCTAATTTTTGTATTTTTGTAGAGACGGGGTTTCACCATGTTGGCCAGGCTGGTCTTGAACTCCTGACCTCAGGTGATCTGCCCACCTCGGCCTCCCAAAGTGCTGGGATTACAGGCATGAGCCCCCACGCCCAGCCCACACTTTTAATTAATGGAGAATTGAGGCTACTAAACACATACTTCAAGGTATGAAAGGAAATTTGAACCACTGTTAAGAATTATTCTGGAGAATAAAAGGATCTGAAGGTGGCATCAAGAGAATCACCCATCTCCATATATGGGAGCTACTCTAGAAAGAAATGCAAAAGGTATATTTCAGTAATCTTTTCCCAACTTCTCTGTTCCCCTGACAATACTGAGATCAACAGAAGCATTGGAAGGTTTCTTTTAGATAATAGTGAGAGATACAGGCAGATTGCTAGCCAAATACAGCTCTGGGTTACTGTGATAACACAGGTTCCTTCGAATGTATTTATTTTCCCAAATTAAAAATAAGCAGGGATGGAAGTAGTTATTATGCATTTTTCAAATTCTCCTTTCAACAGTCTATATAAATGTTGCAGAATGCTAGACTAGGATGAAAAGTAGGAGTCATGAGAACTGCAGAAGCCTGAGATCCTAAAGGAAGTCCGTACCATCTGACTTGGCAATGTAAGACACACACGTTAGTGTGGGGCACAAACGTGGAATATTAGGAGAGAGCTGGTTCCAGCACCAAATCCAGAGTCACTCGGGGAAGGAGGTATGGTGGCAACACTTTATGCTTAATATTCAATTCTGCTCCAGTAGAACATGGTACCCAGGAGAACCCAAAACTGGAATAGAAAAAAACAAGGAAAAATAAACAAGGGATTGTTTTAGAAACATCTCATTCTTGGAAAAAGTGGATGTTAGGTTCATTCAGGCTTAGGTGACAACAGATTTTTTTGTTTGTTTGTTTTTATTTCTTCTAAAAAACCAAAACAAAAACAGGATACATGTACAGAACGTGCAGGTTTGTTACACAGATGTACGTGTGCCATGGTGGTTTGCTGCACCTGTTGACCCATCCTCTAAGTTCCCTTCTCCTCACTCCTCACCCCTCAGCAGGCCCTGGTGTGTGTTGTTCCCCTCCCTTTGTCCATGTGTTCTCATTGTTCAACTCCCACTTATGAGAGGGAACATGCAGTGTCTGGCTTCCTGTTCCTGTGTTAGTTTGCTGAGGATGATGACTTCCAGCTTCATCCATGTCCCTGCAAAAACATGATCTCATTCCTTTTTATGGCTGCATAGTATTCCATAGTGTGCATGGACCACATTTTCTTTATCCAGTCTATTGCTGATGGGCATTTGGGTTGGTTCCATGTCTTTGTTAGATATCAGATTTTTTTTTTTTTTTTTTTTTTTTTTTTGAGACGGAGTTTCGCTCTGTCGCCCAGGCTGGAGTGCAGTGGCGCGATCTTGACTCACTGCAAGCTCCGCCTCCCGGGTTCACGCCATTCTCCTGCCTCAGCCTCCTGTGTAGCTGGGACTACAGGCACGCGCCACCATGCCCGGCTAATTTTTGTATTTTTAGTAGAGACGGGGTTTCACCGTGTTAGCCAGGATGGTCTCGATCTCCTGACCTCGTGATTTGCCCGTCTCGGCCTCCCAAAGTGCTGGGATTACAGGCGTGAGCCACCACGCCTGGCCTAGATATCAGATTTTTAAGAGTAATCTCGTTATAAGCAACATCACTGGGCCAGATGTGACACCAAATCCATCCTGCTCCAAAGCATCACTTATTACCTGCCACTCAGAAGCAACTTCTGTGTTCCCCACGTTCTGATCCCAGTTCTCATCCTAGATTCCTTGTCTTCTGGGGTTGCCCTTCTCGTCTGTGCTAAACTCTTTTTGCCATCAAGGCCACTTATCCTCCAATGCCTTCCTGTTTCTAGTATGTACCATTTCGGGGTAAGCATTCCTTGCTTCTAGTATTAAACTTCTCCCAGGGAACTTCTATTTTTTCCTAAAATGCTTGTGCCCTGGAATGGCTGCCTCTGAAGAATGCCACAGAACTCAAGATATCTGACTTAGGCAAGGGCTGAGTTTTATTTTAGTTTATTTGGGCTCTGTTTTAGATCTGGTACTTACTCCTGGGTAACTTTAGCCAAGTCACTTAAATTTCCTGAGCTTCAGTTTCTACATTTATAAAATAAATATAACATCTCTACCTACCCCAAGCTAGAGCAGTGAATGAGATAATGAAATAATAACAGGGTCTAATGTTTATTAGAATACCTTATTATGCATCACTCACTATTCTAAGTGTTACCCATATAACTGAAGTTAATGCTTCCAAAACCCTATGGAGAAACGGAGGCACAGAGAAGTAACTTACCCAAGGTCATAGAACTAGTAGGTGGTGGAGGTGGGATTCAAACCCAAGCAGTCAGCTTCAGAGCTTATCTAGTTAATCACTAAGAAAAAGCCCCTTGCAAGCAACAGTGAAATGGGCATGCTTAAGAGCTCTTATTAAGCACAATTCTTGAGAGCCCCACTGAATTTCTCTGCTCCTTGTAAGACAGGACACTGGCTACCTGCTTAGCTACTGTTGTGGGGATTTAATATTAAAAATATTTGACATGGTACCTTGTTTATAGCAGGCCCTCAATACATTTAATCATTTAATTCCCTTCCCTTCCCTTCCCTCTTTTGAATTTCAAGAGGGAATTAACTAGATCTAGAGTTTATTTGATACTTGTGGAAAATCAAGGGTTACAACTGGTTTGGAGTTCTAAGATACTCAAAGCCTTTAAACATTATCCCACAGTTCCTGCTAATATGGCACAAATAGAAACTTCACTGTTACCTTTCATTCATTCAACAAATGCTTGAGCCCTTACTACATGCTATGCTTGGCACTGGGGGTACAAAGAACAGCTAGTTCTCAGCTTTTTGCAGTCAAATACATCATCATGGAGAAGTTCCATCATAGAGGTGTGCTCAGGATGTTGTGAGAGCTCCTAACAGGTTGGGTTGAGGGATCATAAAAGACCCCTTGAAGGAGTTGATTTCCCTCTCCTTCCTGCCTCACTCAGTTTATCACCCCCTAAGCTAGCATTTCTTAAAGCATAGTGATATGGTTTAGCTGTGTCCCCACTCAAATCTCATCTTGAATTGTAGCTCCTATAATCCCCACATGTCATGGGAGGGACTCGATGGGAAATAATTGAATCATGCGACCGGGTTTTTTTCTGTGCCGTTCTCGTGATAGGGAATAAGTCTCATGAGATCTGATGGCTTTATAAAGGGCAGTTCCCCTGCACACGCTGTGTTGCCTGCCGTCATGTAAGACATGCCTTTGCTCCTACTTCGCCTTCTGCCATGATTGTGAGTCCTCCCCAGCCATGTGGAACTGTAAGTCTATTAAACCTCTTTTGCTTTATAAATTATGCAGTTTTGGGTATTTCTTCATAGCACTATGAAAATGGACTAATACACATAGTAAACACCTGAGGGACAGTTCAGAAGTCCATTATGTAAGGCTATCTGAATAACAATGAGAATTTATTTGCCTTTTTCACTGTTTTCATATTTGCACTGATGGTGTAAATGCAGTGGGAAGTAAAACTCCTGGAGTATTAGCAAGAATCAAGGCAGAGTCACTAAACTTTGTTAGTGATCATTGTGTCTTCACTGCTACGCACTTGCAGTAAAAAAAAAAAATTTAAAAAGCCAGTTTCACTTGAGATTGTCCTCAATGAAGCAGTAAGAACTACTAATTTTATTACATTTTGGCCTTTGAGTACACATCTTTTTAAATATTCTGCATGACAGAAAGGAAGTATTCATTCATAAAACAGTCTGTTGCATAGTGTAATATGGTTGTCTTAAAAGCACTTGCATGATTAAAAGGAAACACCACTTTTACTTTAAAAAATGATGAACAGACACGCTATGGTTGTTTGGACTTGGACATGTGGCAGATATTTTCTTGAAAATTTACAAAGTGAGTCTGTCACTTCAAGGAAAACAACTGACAATATTCATTGCCAATGATAAATTTGAACTTTCAAGCAAAAATCAGAACCTTGGAAAACTTGTAGTTGTCACCGTGAACTTGATAGCATTCCATTGCTTAAGGTATTTTCCATGTGGCAATATCAATGCCACATGTGATTTTCTGGATATTGCATACATAAATCAGTTAACATTTGGAAGATCTGCATAACACAATGAACTAATATTTTTTCCAAATAAGCAATCTATGATGTTATAGAATTATAAATGGCTGAAAGATATATGCAAAGTGCAAGACAAACCAATGTAATATATTTTAACATAACAGAGTATGAAAAGCTCATTAACAGAATTTCAGATTCCAAATTGCAACTGATCTTTAAGAAGCTACTACTTGTGGGCTGGGTGCAGTGCTCATGGCCATAATCCCAGTGTTTTGGGAGGCCAGGGTGGGAGGATTGCTTGAGGCCAGGAGTTCAAGACCAACCTAGGCAACAAAGTAAGATCCTGTCTCTACAAGAAATAAAAAAATTAGCCAGGCACAATGGTGTGCACCTGTGGTCCCAGCTACTGGGTGAATATTATTAAAGCACTATTTTTTTAATTACATGTCTATATGAAGGATGCATTTTCTCCAGATCATTCAACCTAGGCAACATATTACAACAGATTGAATGAAGGTGCAAATATGAGAATCTAACTGTCTTCTATTTAGCTAGTCATTGAAGAGATTTGCAAAAAAGTCACTATTATAAAATAGTTGTTTTTCCACAAAAATGTGTTGTGATAACTTTTAATGGGCTTATTATTTTAAAATAAATATTTTAAATTTTTCTATGTTAATTTCCAATGGGGTAAATGCCAATAGATATAGGCCACATAGAGAAAAGCTTTCTGGAGTCCTCAATAATTTTTGAGAGTGTAAAGGGGTTCTGAAATCAAAAGTTTGTGACTGCTTCTCTAAGGCAATGGTTGTCAACCCTGACAGCAGATCATCTGGGGGAAATAAAAGTGCCTTGGCTCAACCCCCAGGTCAACTAAATCGAAGTCTCAGAGGTTGGGATCCAAGCAATTTTTAAAAAAAGTTTCCCCATGGCGTTTTAATGTGTAGCCAGGGCTGAGAACCACCGCTCCAACCTCTTGCTGCATATGCGTCAGATAAAGTGGGCAGTAGGAAAGGATGAATCTGCCAGAGGCAGCTCTTTAGAAGGATCTGGGCATATTAGTATCAGGCAGGGGCCATCTAGATAGGTGACAGTCTTTGATATGTGGATGAAATGAATTAATGAGATCTGGAGACCAGGAGGAGCAGTTCACTAAGAACTCTGGCAAGGGAAAGAGGCTCTCCAGCCCTCTAAAGGCAGCTGCCCATCAGCCGGAAGAAGGAGCTGGTTGGCAGGGCACAGCCTTTCCCTGGTAGGGGAAGTTAACTCCTTGCCTCTCAAGAGAACCCACTGTCCTTCTTCCGGTGCCAGAAGTTTCCTGACTAGCCTTCAGGCCTGAGGTTTTGTTTCTAGACTTTCTAGTGTGGTTGAGGTAACCAGTGGCACTCTCAAGGTCTCTCCGTATGATCATCCTCTCAGATAAAATATGTGCTGGGAAATACTCACAGTCCAGCAGAGAATGGCAAATCCAAACCAGGCAACCCCCCAGGCGTGTCGGTTCATTGGACCAGAGATCAGTTCATAGCAGCCCTGAAGGAGTGGGCAATTCCACATTAGTGTGAGAAGAACCAGAAAGCAGAGAAGAGATTGATGGGAAAGCAGGTTCCTATTGGAATCAATGCTACTCAAAATTCTGATTTCACATATCCAGGCTATTTCCACATCTCTGAGGACAGCCAGCTACTAATAGTGCTTTACTAAGGGAACATAAACAATACTGTTGAACAATGATTCCACAACACATTTATTTGTGTCTTTATCACTTAATCTCACTAAAAAGTACTGCTATTTTAGCATAACCCTCTTTCTATACTGAATATGTGGACAATAAATTCAAAAATCTTAATTCAATTAGAATTTTTCCCTCCCCAAAGGCTTCGTTGGTGATTTATTTGGAGGCAGTTACTTTTTGATTTGTTTGTTTTTGAATAAAAATGCTTCTGTCCATGAAAACCAGAGGTCCCCTGTTGCCATTTTTAATAATCATTAAAGGAACTCCTGCATTATGCTCCCTGAATTCTCATTTGATGTTATATTTCAACATATCTTTACTGGATTCTAGTGAGACCTTGAAGGGTCACAGTGAGCATGCAAAGGAATAATTTTTTTATTCACCAAATCATCCATTCATGCATGCCACAATCCAGTAAGTATTTATACATGGCGCACTCTATCCTAGTCACTGTGCAAAGTTCTGGAGTGATACACGCATGTAAGGCTAGAGCTGCCATCTGAGCAGCCTCTACCAAAGCTCTGGGAACCAAAGGGAATGCCTAGGAAATGCAATAACCAGGGCTGGTTCCATGGACCATGCGGCTCTGCCTCTCACCCCATCTTCCACTACCAGAGGAGGTTTCTCTATAAAGCGAATGAGCTTAAGCTTCAGGGCCCCTTACTTGCAAGACCCTTTCAAGGCCCTGTGCCTAATTTTGTATGCATATTTTTATTGTTTTTCCTAAGAAGGATCCTTCCCTATAATTTGTGTGTGAGGGTGGGGGTGGGGGACTCCAGCCACAAAAAATCTAGCTCCATCCTTGTCATCTACTCATCCTTCACTCATTCTGACTTTGTCATACTGATCTCCTTTATGCTCCTTCAAAAAGCTGGGCCTGCTCCCACTTAAGGGCCTTTGCACTCACAACTCCTTTCTTGTAGAACTTTCCTCCCCAATCTTCCGGTGTCTCATTTTCTCACTTAATTCAAACCTCTGCAAATATCATCTCAACAAAGCCTTTCCTGACAGTGACAGAGAAAAAGACCCTTTCTCCATCCTACTCTATATACTCACCCTGCCTTATTTCTGCTCATGGCCTATTTGGGCCTGGAATTTTATCATGTATTTGTTTGGTAACATGTTTATTTTCTGTCTCCCATGCTAGAATGCAAGCTCCATGAGGGCAGGGATTTTATGTTGTTCACTGTTGAATTTCTAGAACCTAGAACAAGTGCTTGGCACATAGTAGACACGTAATAAACATTTACAGAATGAATGGAACATTAATGTTTACAATAGTATAATTTGCAACACACTTGATGGTTCACAAAACACTCCCATATCTGCTACTCCTTGGTCCTCCCAACAATCCTGGGAGGTGGTCGTTCATCTAATAATATATATATAAGGGCCCACTTATGCCAGGTGCCAAGTACTGGCTGGGCATTTAGCTGTGGCAAACAGAAATGGGCCTTGCCTTCATGAAGCTCACAGACAGAAGCCCCATTTTTTTCACCATCATTTAGTGCCTTTTCGTGATGCTAGTCAATTTAGTGGTACTTTACTTGATCTTCCTTCATTTTATTATAACATTTTTGAGGTATAGTGATCACAATTTGCACATAGCATTTCTGAGTCACATAAACCATAACATAGAATATATATATATTTGCATCTGACATGCTGTGTGAAATTCTAGTTAATTTCTACTATTAACAAGCTTATAGTGACTTCCCTAATTTTGTTAGTCTTCACAGCTATAGCAGCACATTTGTGCATTGTAGATCCTGAAAACCTACAATATGGTTGTCAAAAAGTGAAGCCTGGGCAACACAGTGAGACCTCATCTCTACAAAAAATAAAATTAGCCAGGCCTGGTGGTACATGCCTGTAGTTAGTTGGGAGGCTGAGGTGGAAAGGAGGATCACTCGAGCCCAGGAGCTTGAGGCTGCAATAAGCTGTGATTGCAGCATGGCACTCCAGCTTGGGTGACAGAGTGAGACCCTGTCTCTCAAACAAAACAAAACAAAAACCAGGCTGGGCACGGTGGCTCACTCCTTTAATCCCAGCACTTTGGGAGGCTGAGGTGGGTGGATCACAAGGTCAAGAGATCGAGACCATCCTGGCCAACATGGTGAAACCCCATCTCTACTAAAAATACAAAAATTAGCTGGGTGTGGTTGCGTGCACCTGTAGTCCCAGCTACTTGGGAGGCTGAGGCAGGAGAATCACTTGAACCTGGGAGGTGGAGGTTGCAGTGAGCCGAGATAGCGCCACTGCACTCCAGCCTGGCGACAGAGTGAGACAGGCTCCATCTCAAAAAAAAAAAAAAAAAAAGAAAAAGAAAAACCATTCACTATTCACTTCTTTATTCACCCATCTATCAAACGTCGGTGCTTGCTTTGTGCCAGGCATTATGCTAAGTACTAAAAATATCAAATCTGTAGAATCAAATAATACATAGTCCTCAAGGAGACTCAGAAAAAATAGACTTGGGAACAAATATAGTTCCAGGTAGTGAATGCAATAATAGAAATAAAGTATACCAGGTCTTGGGGTAGCACCTTTTTCTTGGTGGAAAAGGATGGCAAGAGGGGACTTAGCAAGACCTATGAGTCAGGGAGAATGGTGGTGTGTGGGAATCTGGGAGGCTGGGCTAGGGAGAATCAGAAAGGACTAATAGATAAGAGATTATGTCAAAGGAGCAGAATGAGTGAGGTTGAGAAACAAGGAGCACAGGAAGTCAGGAACAGAGAGAGGAATTTCAGAATTCAGGAATTTGGTGGAGGAGTAGGGCTGAGTGATGATGAATTTGTAGTTGGTAGGTAGTGGAGGTGGAGTTGTTAGAACAGATAAAGCCAGGGAACTGTAGGGTAGTGGAGGTGGAATTGTTAGAACAGATGAGGCCAGGGAACTGTAAGGGAACGTGTTAGAAGCATTGTCAAAATGGGTGTGGAGGTCCCAAGGTAGAGGAAAATAGTTCATTTGTATCTTTTCCTCAATTTCTCATCTATCTAAACTTGAGAAAAGCTTCAGGTTTGTCCTCATAACTAAAATATTATATGTGCTAGGAAAAAAGGTATAACTATGAAATAAACTGGTTATCTGAAGACAAATGTCCTATTTTTATCCCTTTCAAAGAGGTAATACAGTTTGTACACAATTACAATCCAATCAAGATTTGTTTGCATGAGCAGTTCCAGTGTTGAAATATCAAAAGCCTTTTATAGTCCTGAGAATAATTATATTGTACACCTTGATTATAAGCAGCAAATTTAATTTTTAATAACAGTCTGAATATAATTGATTAAAACAATGCCAGACAATGTTGCAGTAAAGCTCAATGAGGGTTGCTCTGGACACTGCTGCAAAATAATCTAGAACACTCCCATGCCCTTTTCTGGAATAATGCATCCAGTTCTAGTCCAGGCACCCTGTCAGCAACAGTGCCATGTCCCTCAATCTGAACATGCAGTTTGTACTGCTCCCAAACAAAACAGCCTGACATTTCTCAATTATTTAATGAGCTGGTACACAACTAGCTTTCCTTAAAGAGGTAACTCCCTGAGCAGAGCACAGCGTTTCAGTGTACAGGGTCAGCAGATGCTGACTACAAGTACCTGGAGGTTCTCATCAGGGCTTTTGGGGAATATTAACAAGTCTTCACTGGCTTAGAGTCTGTGCTTGAAGGCAGAAAACTCATGTTTCAAAAGCCAGAGAGTTTTTTGAAAAGACGGACATTTACTAGTTGTGTGACCTCAGCAAGGTATTTATTAGTATCTCTACGTCTAAGTTCTTCGTTTGTAAAACAGGGATCCTACTGGCACCTACTACTGAGCATTAAAGGAGATAGTGTATGTGTGGCACTGGAAACAGTGTTTGGCATTTAGTAAGTACACAATAAATGTTAGTTTTCATGATCGTAATCACATTATCCTCATCAGCCTGGAAACTTTTTCAAAAACTATCTGTATGTAAACTACCTTCCATCCAAATCACCAACCTAATGTTTATTAAGACTGTCCTACTTTACCATTGAATAAGGAATGTGGATGTGTAATTACTACATTTATCCTCAGCAATAGTCATTGCTTTGGAATTGGCAAAACATTCTTTTTGCACATCATCCCTTCCAATTTACATTTTGCAAAACTAGAGCAAAACTTTGTTTAATGTAAATATTTCTTGACATACCAATTCCATACATTGTGCAAATTGTCTTCATTTAAACAAAGTTGGGTTCTGCTATTGCAATTCTCATGTTTTGTTAATTTTATTAAAATGTAAATTTGCCCCTATCAGTCCTGGTTTAGCATTTGCAGTTTATTAACAGAGAAGGAAATAGTTAACATGAGGTTTAGGGAAAAGAATGTAGAATTCCTTACTGAAAGACTATTTCCTACAGTTGACCAATATTTTTCTCATAAAGAGCAGCAGAACCTCCTGGGAAGTCTTGGGAGGAGAGAGGACTCACCTGATTGTGATAAAAACCAGGCACGCCTAGTTTACAAGCCTCCAGGTTGAGAGGTTCTTTAAGATTGTTCATAACACAGCATTGACGAGGCCAGGGATAGTCAGCATCATTATTCTCAGTCCGGAAGGCAGATGTGTATTTTTGCCAGTCTGATGGACCATTTACGCCACAGCAATTGTCCTGTCAGCAGATGAGAGATACAAAATTCTCTTTCGTGGTCCCTACTAGAGCCATCAATGTAGCAACTGAAATTTTATAGAGAAAGAAGATACGGAAAGTGTACCATATCTTACATTTACTAAGAAATCCCCAAATGACAGCTGAAGGTATTGATAACTTACAACTTACATTTTACAGTTTGTAAAAGAATTTTTACACTTCCTACTTTACTAGTCATTAGTGAACCCTGTAGCCATTGACATGTTACTTAAACTGTCTAAGCCTCAGTTTCCTTAACTGTAAAATTGGAATATAGTACCTATCTCATAGAGTTTTTTTAAGGATTAAATGAGTTAATATACTTAATGTGCTCAATACAGTGCCTGGCTTATGGTAAACTCTTAATAAATGTTAATTATGATTGATACTGTACTAATATATTGATATAACAATGTGAGAGAGGAATAATTATTCTGATATATCAGAGCAAATTGAGAATCATAAAATTAAAGATTATATCAAAGCAAATTGAGAATCATAAAATTAAAAATTTTAGTGGTGAAGTTATGAGTAATTGTTCTTGTTTTGCTTTTCTATACATTTAAACATTTTTTAGAGTAATTAGGTATTATTTTTATAATGGGAGAAAATAAAGTGAAAAAAATAACCTGGTGACACAGAGCTATGTCTCCACATAGGGGAGGGAGACCAATTAATACATCCCTTACACTCTGGATAGAATTGAGAATAGAGGACAAAACACAATTCATATAGCTTTCCTTCTTTGTTATCAATTCTCCTAAAATCCTTCAAAAGGGAGGAAGTTAAAACCATGGGTATCTTGGAACTTTTAGAATGAATGTATTCAAGTAAACTTGATGATAAATCAACCATCTTTAAAGGATATACAATTTTGTCACTATGTTATGGGAAATATCTAACCAAGAAAAATAATTATTCTGCATTCTGGGAAAAATGGTTAAGTCTAAGCCAGGCTTATTTCAAACTAGGATTTAGTGGGCACAGAGAAGATTTAAGGGTCCAAAATTGAGCTTTGTAGCACTCCAAGCTTCAGATTTGGGTAAAGAGTGACAACCCAGCAGAGGAGACTAAGCGGGAGTAGTCAGTGAGACAAATGCTGATAAGATGTCAAAGAAGATGAGGACAGAGACTTGGCTATTGGATTTGGCAGGATGGAGGTAATTGGTAATTATGGCAGGGTTGTTTTTGTTGAGTGGTGAGGCAGAGGCCAATTGTAGTTGGATGAAAGCAGATGAGAGGGATGAAAATGGGACCACAAGTGTAGGCATCTCTTCTGAGATTTGCTGTGGAATAAAACAAAACAGTAGTAGGACAGAATAGTGGGTGAATGTTGGACAAGGGAGTCTTTTTATAAGATAGACAATTTAAGGTGTCCATGTAGGCTGTTGAAAGGGAGAAACTGATGAGGCAGATCAGAGCAGGGAAGACTGTTGGGGCAAAGGAGATGGAATGCAGAACAGAATCAAAAGAGCTGGACAAAGGACAGCCTGTGTGACATAACAAGAGAGAAGGCAAAGTGCACAGGTGTATATCAATGTAGATTTGGTGGTAGAAAGATGAGGTGGTTCTTGTCTAATTTCTTCTATATTCTTAAAAACATATGAGGTCGGGTCATCAACTGAGAGGGAGGGTGAGAAGAGGTGTGGCAGGCATGAAGGAAGAACATGTGAAATAGTGACAAGTGAATTTTCTGGGAAAATATACTAGGAAATATTGTGTGCCCATTTGAGCTCTGTGGTCACAAGTTTAAATTGAAATGATCATGGTTGTGTGACTTTTCTCAGCAATGTTTAGCTCTTAGAGTATAAACGAAGAGTGAGCAAAAAGCTATATTCTACTCGGTGGGCTTGGTTAGGAAAGAGTGACCCACAGAGAAGGGTAGGGAAGGACTGGCTATGGGGCTGGACCTGAATATGGGTTAGGCAAAGAGGAAAGAGAAAACATGAAAGGGGTGATAAAAGTTAAAAAGTGGTCAATTAATTGGAGGTCCTAATGGAATAAAATTATTAGAATTGAGATATTAGAATAAATGAAAGAAATGATAGAAATTAATGGTCAGAGAATGGAATGTTCTTAGTGGCACAGTTACTGGTGATGGCATGCTGACTATGGTCATGGAAGAGGGTGGAGGTGGGGAGAAAGACAAAATCTTTGGAATGGGGTAGGACAAGGAATTGTGAGACTAAATGTTGCTGAGTCATCCATGTGGCTGCTGAAGTTTCTAGGTGGGATATCAGGAGTATGACTGAAGAGGTAGATAGTTAAGTGAGATATTGAAATCCCTAATGAAGGCAGGAGAACGACTGAGGGTAGGGAGGCTGGTAAGTAATGGCAAGGAAGGATAAGGGGTGATGTAGATCAAGGAAGCAAATAGTATGGCAGCCAAGGGGAGCAAGAAGGACACCTAGCCAATTTCCAGGTCCTATGGTACATGGATATGGGAGGAAAATGAAGGGCAGGTAGCACTCCCAGGAGATAGCCAAATTTCCAATGAAGCAAGAAAAAGATAGTAAAGAGTTCATAGAAGGAGTGGTGGCTATAAGGGAGTTTGCTGATGACAGACTGTAAAAAGTTGGTGGTGGGGTGTGGAGTAGGAGCAGGGGCCAGTAAGAAAGCTAGGTCAGATTGGTAGTTATGTAGAGGATAACAATTTGCATACAGAGGGCAATGTGGGGGTGATGATGGATATTCTGGAAGACTTGGACTTTTGATGGCACTGGAGATAAACATGGACATAAACTATGATTGCCAGTTGGAGAAAATTGGGTGATCAAATCAAGATATAGGGCCTGGTCCTTGGCAAGACTAGCTCACAGGAGTTGTGAAGAGGTACCCAAAAGGCGAAACAGGCAGTAATTACCACTCGAGTTCACTGTGGGGTAGAGAAAATATTTTTCTTTTAATGTAAATGATACCTGAGTTCTAAGAGGGAGAGTGTATGATTAACCTAAGTTTCTTGACAAAATCATTCCAACAAATGTAAGCTAATCATCATGGCTTGAAATAAAATATAGGGTCCCACTGAGTCATGTGTATGACACCCACTCCCACCAGTAAGTAAAAATGGCATCTCCCCAAGACCACAGGTCTTACCTGGAGCATGAGCCTGTCCCAGGTTTTGGTGACTCCATTGTTTTTCCACTGGTCATCATTGTTTGGAGGGCTGTTGTTTTGGTACCTCTCTAGCATCTGCTTCAGGAAGAGGTTGGGTGTGAACTATAGTAGGAAGAGGCAACACAAGAGGGAGAGATAGCACGCTAATTTTCAAGGAGAGGAAAATATTTTTCTCTGTCTTTTCCTGGGGACACTGAACATTCTCTCCTGGAGCAAAACTGTACTCAGAGGCACCAAGTACAGCTGGCTGAGGTTGGCATAAGTCCCCATGCAGAGAAGAGACTCTCATCTTAAAAGAAATCACTATGAGGCCAGGGGAACACATACTGTAGGGTGGCTTAGGCTAGGAAAACAGAGAATGGGAGAGAAAGAAAGATGTAGAATTGAGAGCACGTCTTAGCTGAGGTAGAACAGAGATCCTCCCATTGGAAGGCCCATGGCCATGGCAGAGTGGTGAAACCCACAGGGGATTACAAACTTGGGCCCTGGGAGTCAGGCCATCTGGGTTCAGAATTCTTGCTCTTTCAGTTGCCAACTATGTCACTTTAGACAAGTCATTTTACCTTTCTGTCTCATTTTTTTTCCTTTCTCAAATGACCAGAGTGATAATGCCTATTTCATAGATTTATGAGGATTAAGTAAAATGATAGATGTATTATTACTGTGCATATTGGATTGCCTGGGCACATAGTAAGGGGTTAATACATGTTGGTTGTTATAATAATGATAATTCATATTATTTTGCTTTTTGAGGTTGTACTCACAAAGTCTTGTTGTGTTGCTGCTGTGATACAAGATGCCACTTCAAAGGCATATACTATAAACATCAGAATGAAATACTGGAAGGGAAATAAATGAGATAAAAGAATTACATTTACCCGTCAAAGAGCGACTTGCCCAAATAATTATGTTTTTTCAGCAAATTTATCATATAATCATGTAATCACTCATGTAGTTATTCAACAAACCCTCATTGACCAGTGGCTTGGATTGAGGCTTGGTGCTAGTCAGCTCAATTCTCTCCTTTTCTCCAGAGAACAAATAGCCATTGAATACAGACCTTCCTCAGTCCAGTTTCCTGAGTTTCTATTTTAACTGGGAAAAACAAGTACAAGAGAATGAACTGGTGTGTATGTGTGCACACACACATGTGAGCATTTACATGCTCATTTACATGTGTGCATTTACATGCATGTGCATGCTCAGTGAGTGGCAAGAGAGTCTTAGTGTATCACATACAGTATAGGGCCTCATAAATCCCCTTTAATTTTGGAATTTTGGAGAAATTTTCTTTACAATTTGCTGAAAATTTAGAATCACGGAGTTCAGAAAAAGATGAACTGGATAATGTTGAACATCTAGGGTCCTTCCTAACAAGCATCCAGTCTCATCAGAGGAGAGGCAGGCTTCAAGTGCACAGCATTTGTGGGTGTTCTTTCACACGCACCCACACTCAAAGTACATTGGTTCAGTTGAGTGAAATGGCATTTGCTGTGTGTGGTAGTGGTGGTGTGTGTGCGTGAGCATGGGCACATGGGTGCGTGTGCACATGATACCTCCACATGACAGTGATGCTATTTCTGGCTGGAAAATATCCGAACAGCAAATGACCTCTGAATCTGGGATGGGGACTGTTTGCAAGAGTTCCAGCTTTGCCTTCCCCAGGCTTGCACACACTCTTGGGAGAAGGGGCACTGTGGTCAGTGTCAGCAGGGTAGGCAGGGAAAACTGTCCTCCTCTTTGGGTATGGGAGGCTCTCCGAGCAGGACCCTCTGTTGCCCTCACTACTCAGCCCAGAATAAAGCTCTGGCTACAGTCAACAGCAGGAGCACCTTCAGAGGCCCCAGAACATTTTTTTCCTGTGTTAGCTGCTGCCTTGCTCCTTGCCAAGAGCTTTGCTGGCTCCTGGTAAAGACGCTCCAGAAAGGAGGTATGCAGTGAGGTGTTTCCTCCTTTAGCCCCTTTGCCTCCCCAGCTCAGTTCTCCTGGTTGTCAGGCATGCACATGGCTGGCCCAAAGTGAGGCTGGGATGCAAGTGAATTTGTCTTTAGGAACACCTGTGTCTCCTCTCCCTTTTTCCTGTATTCCTTTCCCCACCCACCAAAAGTGGGTACTTTTGCCCTGGAACTTACGCACACTAAGGAACCAGAGAATGTAAATGTTCTGTAATCCATTGGAACCAGGACAGTGGTTAGTTAAAAGGAAGAGTAAACTAACAAGCACCTTACATTGCTGGACTCATTCTATAAAGGGGGAACTGAGGTCCTGCAGCATTTGAATAAAAGGGTTATTTCAGGGGTGGGGGATTGGAGGCGTGTTCCATAATAGTGTGAAACTGCTGCCCTAAGTATTAGGGCAGACAGTAGGGGTCCACGTCTGAAACAGGTTTCTCAGCTCTGCTGCCTGCAAATTTGCTTTCATCTGCAAAGGCAGGGCATGGTCTTGCTGTCTATGGTTTGGGGCAGAAGCCTCTCCTTGATGTACAGAGTTAAAGCCCCCACAGGCAGGTGTGAGCTGAAGGCTCACTCTACAGTGGTGCTTATCAAGGTTTTCTGGGGTCCCTGAAAAGCAGATTGGATGATAATGTGGGGAGTATAGGCTATGATACAGAATCATCAACCTTGAGCTCAAAAATCTTTGAAAGCTTATACTTTCTTTTAAAAATGTATGCATATTTTATATTTTATATCCTAATATATTAATGCCTAATTAATATCAAAATGTTTTAAACAAGTTATTGCCAAGAGAAAAAAATCTAATGAATGAATTCTCACTGTGTCTCTCCTTTGGCCTATATAGCTCCTAGCTGTACCTACTGGGTGTATGCAGACACCAGCTGTAGAGGCACAATATGGAAAATACTCATTAGGTCACCCCCAGGTGTCTCCCCTTTGGCTTCTCTGTACTGGAGCCTTCTGGGCTTGCAATAGTGGAGGGCATCTTTGCCTCCATGTGGACCATTTCACTGCAGGGAAAGTCTTCCCCTCCTCACCCCTTATCTGGTACTTCCTGCTCCCCCACTGAAAGCCAAAGCATTGCTCAGTGAAGAAGAAAGAATCCATTACAATTGGCTCAGGGAGACAACTCCAGAGAATTTTGAGGTCTTACCGCCAGAAGAATTTTCCTGCTGGACTTCATGATGCCTACAATGCCTAGAACAGACAGGCAGAAGAGGCAGATGCCCACAAATATGCCGATCCAGGCAGCCCCATAGATGTCATCGTTGTCGGTGGCTTCAAGCAGTGGGTAGAGGCTGTGTTGGTCAGATACAAAGAAGATGCACTCCGCAGTCAGGGCAATGCCGCAACACTGGGGGCAAATGAAAGGTGGGCTCCATCAGGAGTGCAGCTTTGGGAAAGGGGGTGGAGGGTGGGGAAGGTAAGAGTGACTGGCTCCCTTTCCTGCACAGGCTTTATGCAACTAATCTAAACTCCCCATTGCCAGGAAATCAAACAACTACTTCCATCCTACTAACTGGTTGCATACATCCCTTCACATGTTATTCTGTCTATTTAGTAACAGACCCACACAATTTCAGACCATCCACAATGTCCTTGGGGCATGAATCACTCAAACAATGCTTTCTGGTATGAGAATGATCTCCCCCTGCCCCCATGTCATGACCCACATTTCTGGGTTGTAATATTTGAGCTGGTCCTGGTCATATTTATCAATGACAGCTGAGAGGAACCTTGCTGCTTATCTTTGCCAACACCCACATTTTATAGATGAGGAATCTCAGCCTTGAAAGGTGATGGCCAGAGTCATATGGGGAGTCAGAGGGAGAGCTGGGCCAAGAGCTCTGGACTCCAAAACAAATGTTCTTCTATGCCACCAGACCCACACAGTATGGCCTCTGTATTATTCTTACACCCTGGTACTGGCCTCTGTATGAGAAGAACAAGATGCAAGCATCTGTCCCAAAAAACCTTAACAGCAGAGTCCCATGGAAATCAAACCAAGGTGACATAGAAAAGAAATAGTGAAGTGTGTTCGTAGTCAGAGTGTTTAGACACTGACTATGGTTGACATGACTCCTTTTAGATACTTATATTTTAAAGTTGGGAGGAAAATATCTACTTTTTCAACCATGATCTTTTGACATACAGTTAAATTCTAGCTAGCATATTTACTAACACATTTCTTAAAATGAAGCAAAAATATAGGAAGCCAGTAATCACAGCATTATTTTCCTTTAAACTCTTACTTTTGATTCATCTAGAATTATGATTACAGGAAGTGCAGAATTTCCTGGAAAATAATCATTACTTACACCAATAATCACATTTCCAAAAATCAGCAGGCCCTGGAAGCAACGAACAGTTGAGTTGTCTTTGGCCATCTTCGGGATTTCCCACAAGCTGAAGGCACTGTTGAAAGCATTACCAAATAACTGCTACAGTTTCTGTAACATGAGTAAACCAAGCCATTGCGTATTGCCTCCTTGTTCCCAAAGCATCCAAACCAAAGCCATATAATCTTTTAGCGATGAAGGACATTTGATTATTGAGCTTGGTAATCACATAACTTTTATAAAGAATGAAAAGAATATAGCCTTCCAGAGCCTGGTCAGTGCCTTTCAGGAGTTCTTTCAGGCAAGGAGTGTGCAGAATGCATCCTTCTGAGTGGTGGACTGAGCCCCGCAAGGTGGAATGCACAAGGGGTAGACCTGAGATGGTGATTGGGTAGGGCCAAACACACTGAGGGTCCCTGGCATAGCCCTCACTGCCCTTGGCCATGACAAATGGAAACCCAAAGGGTAAACTCATGGCCAGAGGTAGTGGTTGGTTCCCATGTGGACTGCAGGGTGCTTTTAAAAACTATCATTTTCTGACTCTTTTATTATCTTCAAAGAAATAGTTGGCAAATAAAAAAGTGCCCCGTTGTATATGAGGGTAAGTGAAAACGGGGACTAGAATTTACTTCCTTCTGCCAGGTGTGTGCCACTCTACCAGGTGCTTTGCATGCACGCATCTAATTCTCATAACCCAGTTCGGTAGCAAAAGAAGAAAGGCGAGGAGGCTCCATTTTGCAGATGAGGAAACTAAAGCTTAAATTTGTAAATTAAGTTCCCTGGGGTCACACAACCAGTAAGTGGCAGAGCTAGGCTAGAGACCTTGGTGTGTGTGACTCCAGAGTCCACGTGCTTCCCCACAGCCCACAGTGACTCCCAGAAACTATGTATAGACTTTGGTGCCATACACAGCTGAACATGGGTCTCTCACCTCCCTGAGGATTTTCTGGAAGGAACACAAAGGTAAGTGTGTGGGTCAATCACTTGGGCTTCTGCACTTGAAGCACCTTGAGAAAAGCCATCTACAGCTCTCAACATTTAATTAATCAATTCATGCATTCCTGCTGTAAATAAAAAATGTATTAAATGGTTCAATATGCATTCTGAGGCATACAAAGATATGTAAGGGAGATTATTGTATTCTAGGATTTTTTGCGTTAGTAGGGAAACTAAGATGCATTCCCACACAATTATACTACATGTAGTGAGATGAAATATTGTGAGAGTCCTGAGGCGGGAAGACGTAAGTCTTGCAGGATGTGTATGGTTTGATATGTAGAGTAGAGGTGGATATGTGTGGGAGTGAGGTGGGGGTGGGTGACATTCCAGGTAAAGAGAAAGGAAAAGTTAGGGAGTAGAGACAGAAGAGCAAGGTGCCCACAAGATAGCAAACCAGTCAATTTGGTCAAAGTCCTAGTTTTGTAGGGTAGCAGTGGGAGGCAAACCTTCTATTTGTCTCAAGCCTTGCTAAATTTTAACCTCATTGTTACACTGTAAGTATTAACAACCTTCCAAGTAAGTTTAGACATCTCTAAATGTTTTCCTTTATCTGTTTACCTGGGTAGCTGTGACAAGTTCAGTTAAAATTTATGAGCACTTTTAGCTCAGAATTTGGCACACAGTGGGTACTCAATTCATGTTTGCTGGAGAAATGGAAGAATCTGGGCCATTGCGTCTCTGTGTAGTTTCTGCTTAGAAATGCCATTCATTTCTTTCTGCTTAGAAATTTCATTCATTCTTTCCAGTTATTGTTGCGTGTTAGACTGCACAAACTCCCCCAAGGGGGAAACTTACTCATGTAGCTGGTTGAGTCACATTGTAAAGTTCATTACTGGTATGTACAGACATTATTCCTGACCAGTTGGGTTAGTATCTAAACTAGAGACAAAAGTAAATAGACTGTGAAACGTAGGAGTTCAGATAACAGAAGCATAGAGAGGAAAGGGCAGAAATCAGTAGAGGCCAAATTCAGCACCGATATCAACTCGTACTGATTATGTACTGTGTGAAATAAGACAATTTCTTCTTTCAAGAAGTTTATTTTTATTATTATTATTATTTTTTGAGACAGAGTCTTGCTCTGTTGCCCAGGCTGCAGTGCAGTGGCACGATCTTGGCTCACTGCAACCTCCGCCTCTCAGGTTCAAGCTATTGTCCTGCCTCAGCCTCCCTAGTAGCTGGGACTACAGGTGCCCACCGCCACACCTGGCTTTTTTTTTTTTTTTTGTATTTTTAGTAGAGATGGGGTTCCACCATATTGGCCAGGCTGGTCTCGAACTCCTGACCTTGTGATCTTCCTGCCTTGGCCTCCTAAAGTGCTGGGATTACAGGCGTGAGCCACTGCGCCTGGCCTCAAGGAGTTTAAAGTGCAATTACAGCGTGGGTTCAAAGGAAAAATGACCGTGCACATCAAGGGGACAAGGAGGGCTGTGGAGAAAGACAGAGGCACCGCTGAGGGGCTTTATTGGTCCAGAAAGGAACTGCAGGGGCCCCGATCAAGGGAGGTGGCCTGGGTGACCCAATTATGCCCCGTGACGTACAGACTTTTCCAGAGATGACTCTGCCACACAGAGTTTAGACAAAGGGGAAAGAGCAAATGAATATTCTATGGGAGAATTGCAGGAGTCACAATTAGGGTGGAAAACGCAGATAAAAGTGGGAGAAAAGAAGGAAGGTAGAAACTTGCTCTGAGCAAAAAGAAAAGCATAAATTGAAGAAACCTAGGCAAGGACATGACAGAAATGCCAGGGAGGCAGCCCAGCTGTGGGTTGGTTATTGGAAGGTGGTGATATGTCAGTGGGCAAGATATTCTGAATTTTCTGGCCACTAAAATGTTCTCCTTTTTCACTATGCATTCTCTTCTTCTCCCTTAGGCCTTTGGTATCAATGGCACATGATAATTTAGCTACTCCTGTCTTCCAAGATAAGGAAATAGTGATGAAAACTGCCATTTATTGGGCACTTACAATGCTCTGGGCACTATGTTAGGCATTTGATATTCATCTTCTCAACAGACCTGAGAGATGGGTTTTTCAGGTCTGCATTTCCTATTGCTGCTGAAACAAATTACCACGAACTTCGTGGCTTAAAATAACAGAAATGTATCTTACAGTTCTGGAGGGCAGAGGTCTAAAATGAGTCTCACCAGGCTAAAATCAGGGCTATGTTGCTTCTGAAGGATCTAGGGGGAGAAGCTGTTGTCTTGCCATTGTTTGTATAAAGAAAAGGGGCCGGGCATGGTGGTTCACGCCTGTAATCCCAGCACTTTGGGAGGCTGAGGTGGGCAGATCACCTGAGGTGAGGAGTTCGAGACCAGCCTGGCCAACATGGCAAAACCCCGTCTCTACTAAAAATACAAAAATTAGCCGAGCATGGTGGCGGGTGCCTGTAATCCCAGCTACTTGGGAGGCTGAGTCAGGAGAATCGCTTGAACCTGGGAGGTGGAGGTTGTGGTGAGCCATGATTGGGCCACTGCACTGGGCAACAGAGCAAAACTCCATCTCCAAAAAAAAAAAAAACAAAAAAAAAGGGAAGCTTGGAGAGATTAATTTGCCCAAGGCCACATTGCTAGAAAGTGCAGAAGCTGAGACTGAAACACAGGTCTGCCTGGCGCCAGATCATTTGCTAAACACTCTACAGTTTATAAAGTCTTGCTACATAGCAAATGCTTTCAGTAGAAATAGAAACACCTGGAGTGGAGAGAACAGACACATTTCCCTGCTCAGGAGACTCTACCTTTGCAAAGGTCAGAAACACTAGGCTTTTCTTCACTTACATCTCCAGCTTCTTGTCTCTTTAGCCCCTGGACACGATGCTCATATTTGCATATTTCCCCCAAACTCAGTGCTGTACCCACATGCTTTTCCAGAAAACCTGTCTGGATGTATCAAAAATCTACAGCTCATCCACCTACCCCCAAGACCAGAATTCTTAGAAGTAAAATGTGCAATGTGCAAGTCAATGAGAGGTTAGCATTTCATAGCTTCTACTTGGCCACTTGTATTTTAGACTAGGTTGGTGTCCAGAGGACCTAAAACATTTGCTGCATCCCCCAAATGGCCACAGATGTCAAGAGGGAGCCAAGTGTAGGCTTCCAGTGGCTCACAGCATAGTCTAATATCTGTAGTATAATGGTGACCACACTGGACTTGGCATCAGAATGCCAGAGTTCAAGTCCCAGCTTTGTGCTGTCATTATCATTACTGTGTAAAGTTGGACAATGTTTTCCTTAGTATCTACTTCCTCGTTTATAAAATTAGTAGACAATAACTTGTTAGATGGAGTTGCTGTGATCACTAAATGAGATAAAAGATACAAAAGTAATAGGTAAGCACTAAGATTGTTTACACATATAAGAAACTATTAATTATAACCAGAGGATATTTAGGAAGGGCAGGGTATTGGGTTATGATTTTGTTTTATATATCAGTGACCCCAGGGGGATAGAAGGGAGGTTTTAACAGTGACTGGTCTCACAGCCAAGGGCTCTTAGATTGAGGAGAAGCAGCCTTCCTTCCACCTTCCCTCTGTTCACTGCACAGGGGCTGCTCTGCTCGAGGGACCAGGAGGGCTTACACAAGATACCCATTTGTACTTCTTTTTATTTTCCATAGATGAATTCATGAGAGAAAAGGAAAAACACTTCCTAGTTGTGCTTGGGGTGCGGCCAGAGTCAGGTACCAAGCTGCACATCCACATGGGAGGGGCCCGCCTTGCATGCCATTAGCATTCCTGAACAGTTAACACTCGCCATTGGGCCTCATCCCTCTGCCTTTGGCCAGCTCTAAGGCCTCTGCCCCACACTGCAAGTTGATGCAGAGATGGCCCCTGAGGTTGTCCTTGTCCTGGGGCCACTTTCTCCCTGACACAGACATTACTCAGAGAGTATTCTGCTCTGCTGCCCTTTTGCATTCTTTCCTCCCATTGCCAACCTGTGAAGGGCATCCTGCACTTTATTGCAAGAGTCTCCAAAGTAGGAGGAGGCATTTGGGACCCTGTTTTATTTGTCTTTCTAGGTCCAAAGTGGCATAGTACCTGACATGTAGTAGGCGCACTCAATTGTTTTGCTAAATAAAAAGATAAAGTAAATAAATAATGTTTATTTGAATAAATGAGTGTGCAGATTAATAATTTGCCTAGAACTTTGTTGAAGAGCAAGTTAGAGAATATGGTGAAGTGGAACGAATGTGGGCTTTGGATAGACCTGGGTTTGAATCTTAGCTCTACCACTTACTAGTTTTGTGACCCCAAGAAGTTACTTAATCTTCTCGAGCTTTATCTTCAAATGAGTATAGTAATACTTAACTTCAAGGGTTACTATGAAAATTAAATGAGAATATATGTGAAGTTTTAATACAATATTAGTTACCCAATACTAATTTTGCTTATTTTTGTCTTATAAAGGAGACAGACTAGAGCTAATAGCCCAGTGGTTGGTGAAGGTACCTAAAACCAGTGGTTTATTATTATTATTTTTTTGATACAGAGCAACATTTTCAAAGGAAATAGGGAAATATGATTTCAGTAGGGAACTCTAATATATGAAATCAGATCAGAATGGTACTTCTCTGGCTGAAACGAGAGTAGGAATCCTGGGCTCACAGAGCATCTTCTCACCAGCTCTAAACCTCCTAAACACATAGCTAGCCCCAGAACGATTGGAAACTACTATTCTAGAGCTAAAGGAAAAGAAAGAAATAGGCAAATTACTGAGCTCAGAAGACAGTTACCCAAGAAGTAAGAGGACACTCAAAAGTGATGTTGAAAAACTGGTCACAACGTGTAAGCTGACCTTACAAAGTCTGTGTCAAAGACTTCCCCCTGCCCCTCATTCAATGGAAGATGTCTAGAAAAGTCCTGGAAAACTGAGACAAGTGAGTTTACTTTTATAATACATTAGCTGGATGGATCTTTAGGAAGAGCTGCTTTCCTGGCACACTTAGAGGAAAGGTGACATAATTTCTACAAAAGGAAAAGATCAGGCCTGGCTGATGTTTAGGGTTCTTTGAAGATTAATAAATGCCTGTGCATAGGGGTAGAGTAATGCACTTTTTTTTAGGTTAAAAAAGAAAAGCTTTGACACAGTTCCACACTAATGGATATTTAAAAAAAAAAAAAGACATTATGAATTTGTTGACCTTTCCATAGAGGATAGGCACGGAGAAAGAACAAAAGGGAAGGACAAATGGTGACTTCTCTATACACAGAATATAAACTGTGGTGTTCTCTAGGGCTTGGTAGTAGTTTTGCCTTTGTTAATAGCTTCTTGAGTTTTGTCTCTGCCTGCCTGATAAAGAAGTATTGTAATGAACACCTTGCGCTGGTTAATTTTGTATGTCAACTTGGCTGGGATATGGTGTTTGGTCAGTATCAGTCTAGATATTGCTGGGATATGGTGGGATTGGCTTGGATATGGTGTTTGGTCAGATATCAGTCTAGATATTGCTGTGAAGATATTCTTTAGATGTGATTAACGTTTAAATCAGTAGACTTTGAGTAAAGCAGTAAAGCAGATTACCCTCCATAACGTGGCTGGCCTCCTCCAATCAGCCGAAAACCTTAAGAGCAAAAACTGATGTTTCCTGAAGAAGCAGCATTTCTGCCCTAAGAGGACTGTAACAGAGAAACTCTTAAGTTTTCAGTATGCAGATTTTAGGTTTAAGTCTGCAACATCAGGCCAAGCGCGGTGGCTCACGCCTGTAATCCCAGCACTTTGGGATGCTGAGGTGGGCAGATCACCTGAGGTTGGTAGATCACCTGAGGTTGGTAGTTCGAGACCAGCCTGACCAACACGGAGAAACCTCGTCTCTACTAAAAATACAAAATTAGCTGGGGGTGGTGGCGCATGCCTGTAATCCCAGCTACTCAGGAGGCTGAGGCGGGAGAATCGCTTGAACGGGAGAGGCGGAGTTTGCCATGAGCCGAGATTGCGCCATTGCACTCGTCTCAAAAAAAAAAAAAAAAAAAAAAAAAAAAAAAAAAAAAGCCGGGCGTGGTGGCTCACGCCTGTAATCCCCGCACTCTGGGAGGCCGAGGCGGGTGGATCACGAGGTCAGGAGATGGAGACCATCCTGGCTAACACGGTGAAACCCCGACTCTACCAAAAATACAAAGTTAGCCGGGCGTGGTGGCAGGCGCCTGTAGTCCCAGCCACTTGGGAGGCTGAGGCAGGAGAATGGCGTGAACCCGGGAGGCCGAGCTTGCAGTGAGCCAAGATCAGGCCACTGAACTCCAGCCTGGGCGACAGAGCGAGACTCCGTCTCAAAAAAAAAAAAAAAAAAAAGACTGCAACATCAACTCTTCCCCAAATTTTCAGGTTGCCCACCTGCTGTATAGATTTCGGACTTGTCAGCCCCCACAATCACATCACATAGGTTAATTCCTTAGAATTAATATATATATATATATATATATATATATATATATATATATATATATCTCCCTCTCTCTCTCTCCCTCTCTCTCTCTCAACAGGGTCTTTGTGTGTCACCCAGGGAGTGCAGTGGCACAATCATATCTCACTGCAGCCTTGACTTCCTAGGCTCAAGTGATCCTCCTGCTTCAGCCTCCCAAGTAGCTAGGACCACAGGTGCATGCACAATGTCTGGCTAATTTTTAAATTTTTTGTAGAGAAGGGGTTTCATCATGTTGCCCAGGCTGGTCTTGAACTCCTGTCCTCAAGACTTGGCCTTCCAAAGTGTGGAGATTATAGGCGTGAGCCACCATACGTTGCCTCTCTCTCTCTTTATGTATCTCCTTTTGGTTCTATCTCTGAAAGAACCTTGAGTAACACACCATCCCAATTGGGATTGATGTATATTTTTGATAGAAGCACATATGATCATTTTCTGATGTCTCCTGATACCATTTTACCAATTCCCACTGCCAGCCCCTAACTTCTGGATCAGATGAATTAAACATTTTCTGTTTCCATTCCATACAGTGCTTCCATGGTGAACTTTCTCAAGCAGAGGTTCTCAAATGATCCTCCAAAACACAGATGTTCCATTTACTGGGACAACATGTTTTGATGCCAATATTGAATGATTCCAGTCATTTCCTAATTTGAGGAAAAATTACTATAAAAATTTGTGATTTTAAACATTTTCCTCTTACACATTTTTCTTAAATTGTGGATGCTACTACCACCTGTCTATGCTAAAATCTAGTTTTTGGTATGAATTTAGGCCAAAATGATCTACTTACTTATTTTAAATTTAGTAGACCAAAATTTTCTGGTATTCTACAAAGATAAACATGGCTTCCAAGTGCCAGCCACTTAGCCAATCTTGAGATCCACTGTCCTAAAACACAGCTCTGAATTTATATCTCCCCCCTGCTTAGAACCCTTCAAAGGTTCCCTGTAGCCTAAATTCAAAGGAGAGCCCTCGGTCATTCCCTCTGCACTTACAAGCCCAGCCACCAGCTCCTACTTACTTCCTATTGCCAGGTTCATCACTTGTCCCCCCACTCTCTGTTGCTGACCAGTTTCTTTGAATCCAGATTTGCTCCTGTTCCCTTCTGAAAGACCAGTCTATAGTATTTGGCCAGACCCAACTATTATATTTTCCATTCAGCCAGTGGAGGAGTGGTTGGACCACCTAAGAGATAAAGTACAAACTCCTCAGTGTGTATTCAAGGCAGCACCCATCCAGGTTCTAAATGGCCTGCCTGCCATTTTTCACTGCGTGCCCCACCCCCCCAACCCTTTGGTGTCCTGGTCATGCCACCATGCTGTGCTTAGGGTGTCCCTGTCTTTGGAATCCCTTCTCCCATTTCTGCCTATCGAACTCTTTACCACCTTCCGAAGCCCAGCTGAAAAACCTCTTCTCTCCTCAACTTCTCTTACCCAGAATTATCCTTCCTTCCCTATATCCCTCTCTCTGCCTATAGCAAATAGCTCTCCAGGGAAGCTGAAACCATTGTGGATATGTGTTTATGGCTTTTCTTCCATACTAGCCTCTGCCACAGCAATATAGTCTGGTACGTTGTTACGTCTTTTCTTCACCCAAGTTTGTTTAATAAGATATTCTGAAGCCACAAAAATTGGATTGCTGTGCATCAAAAAAGCCAATTTAACAAATAATTGCATTAAAAAGCAAAATTATAAACTTTTAAATTAATTGACGGGTGTCACACTTAGAAGTCAATGACTACACTTTTGGTAGTTTTTGTTTGTCTTAGAAGATATGTAATTTGAGAGACATTAAAGTGTCATTCATCCTAGGACAGTTATTGGCCAGGTGCCTGTTCACGGCATGATACATCAGTTCTGGCTGCAAACTTGGAGGCTTTGTACAGGTGAGAAATTTAAGGCTCACAGAGAGAAAGTGACTTGTTCACGATCATGATGTGTTATTAAAAGAGTTAAGATTCAAGTCCAGGTTTCCTAACTCTTAACCCAGCCTTCTATGGGGTTTGTCACTAATGATTATTCTTTTTAAGGTAGGGAGATCCACTTCCCTTTACGTCTTTTTAAATTAAGAGAAACTCTTGACCTCCCACCTGTGAGCCTACCCATGAGACTCACTACAAGATAAGCCAGAAAGGGAGCCACATAAACAAAGCTGGCAGGGAGAAAGCCTTCTATCCTTTTCCTTCATTCAAAGGCTTCCTCACCGTTTACCCTAACTTCTGAATGCCACAATTTGAGACTCACTCCTTCATTCCTGATTAAAATGCAAGCTCATATAAAAGAGGCACATTGAGTTTCATGAGCCATCCATGTCAATGCCTCATTTATCAGCTCCCTTCTCTTATTTAATTTTCAAAGGGCGAGGGAAGACACCATGAGAAGGAAAGAGACCCAAGGAGAGGGTAGAACCTAAAAAGACAAACCTCGTAACTTATGATTTGGGGGTTTGGGTCTGTCTCTCTGGCTATACTGACTTCTAATGATATGATGTGTCCTCTTTCCTGCCTTCTCTTTTAGCCCACAGTATGTAGAAACTGTTTTAGATATGTGGTCTTCTGAACCCTCCCCACGTTATTCTAAAACAATGCCTCCCTGACTATATTGGATTACTTATCTGGCAGGGGTGGGAAGGAAACCAATGGGATGAGTTACATTTAACAAGTGGAAAGCGGTGGAAGGCAGAGGGCAGAGCAGCAACTGCCCGCGTTAGAGATGGAACGCCCCAGACTGAAAGTACGCAACTCACCTCGAAATATTTTCCATGTAAAGGAATAGCCCCTGTGCACCCCGCCCTGTGGGAAAACTGCCCTGTGGCCTGGTATGATGATGATTTACTCAAATTGCTCAATACCCTGGGAGTTCCTTTGCTTTAAAGAGTGCAGATTTTTTTAAAGCTAGAATTATATTTCTTGTTTTTTCTTTATTGTGCTTTCACTCAGTTTGTTTTCCTATAAAAATTAATCATACCCGTAGTGTTGATGTTTCCAGACACATTGAAAGGTCTAAAAACAATTGCTCACTAAACAAACCAATTTGCAAAGCAGAAGAAAAAGAAGTGAGACTCGCCCAGTAAGCATGAGATCATTTTTTCAAGTTCATTACCTCTTTTCCTCACCCAAGTTTGTTGTACCAGAGAACACACAAACCACACCTCAAACTTTAGTTCATGCTAGAGAAATTTGAATTAACAAAGGAGAAAAAAAGAAAAGGAAAAATAGGAGAGGAAGAAACAAAGAAACACAATATGCGATTGCCTTAGCCCTCACCCTGAAACTCAGCACAAGAACAGACACTTCCTTGGCTCAGAGTAAAGATGGGTGTGGAGATTGTAGGTCACAACAATTGCTGGTCTGCTTCAACTTAAGGTAGGATAAGTCCCTGGAAATAACAAAAAGAGGAGGTTTCTCCCAGGGCTGTCACCCATGGCTCACAGTGCCCATAAGTTTTTCTTGCTTTAAAGCTCTAAACCTGTGTTGACTAATACAGTAGTTAGTAGTTGCATGCAGTTATTTAAAGTCAAAAGAATTCAATTAAATAAAAGTAAAAATCAGTTCCTCAGTTGCTCCAACCACATCTCAAGCACTCCCTAGATACATGTGGTTAGTGTCTATTATCTAGAACATTTCCCTCATCACAGAAAGTTTTACTGGACAGCACTGCTCTTGATTCCTGGTGCTCCCAGTATGATGGGAGTCATCCACCCATTGGAAATCAGGGACTAGCTGTAAGCAATGGCTCAGGAGCACTCAGTTGCACGAGGGCCTCAGGTGTGGGCATTGCCAGAGAGATGCCCAGCTCCAGGGCAGGAGTACTATGGAGAGTCCTTGGGGCGGGGGGGAGGGGGTGGGCAGGCGGGTAGGGCGGTGTGTGATGATGGTGCCCCCTCACCAATGTGGTCTCTGTCCCAGTTGGTGAATGGTGGCCCATCAAGTTTGTGGGCAGCCTGCATGGCTATCAGGCACAAATTCCAGAGCATATTTAAAGGCTGGCTGGTGTTTACTCTGGTTAAGATTGTAAGCAGGAGAAGTCAAAAAGAAGTTCTGAGTTTTGGCCGGGTGCGGTGGCTCAAGCCTGTAATCTCAGCACTTTGGGAGGCTGAGGTGGATGGATCACGAGGTCAGGAGATTGAGACCATCTTGGCTAACACGGTGAAACCCCGTCTCTACTAAAAATACAAAAAATTGGCCGGGCGTGGTGGCAGACACCTGTAGTCCCAGCTACTCGGGAGGCTGAGGCAGGAGAATGGCATCTACCCGGGAGGCAGAGCTTGCAGTGAGCAGAGATCACGCCACTGCACTCCAGCCTGGGCCTCAGAGTGACTCCGTCTCAAAAAAAAAAAAAAAAAAAAAAAAAAAAAAAAAAAGAAAATAAAAGAAAAAAAAAGTTCTGAGTTTCTTTTTTTTCCCCTTGATTAAATGATGTCTAAGGTCCCCTTTGGATGTAAAAGTCTATGATTCTTCCCAGCAGTTAAAAAAAAAAAAAATAGGTGAGTTGATTTTAAAGACTATTTTATAGCAGAAAGCAAAACAATCTGTTGGAGCAGAAAGCAAAGTAAGAAATTTTTCTCCTCACTGAGAAGGTTAATAAAAAGAAAATCCACTTCTTCATAGGGTCTGAAAACTATGTAACCTAAATTTTGTTTATACTCAAAGTATGTATATCTATAAAACCTAATGAGTTCTTTCCTGTTGTGCTTAGCAACTCAGGCAAGAAATGTTCAAGAAACGTTGTCTTTCATTAAAAGAAGACATTCAAGTTAACAAAACTTCTTTAAAAATTTATTTTTATTTTTTTTAGAGACAGGATCTCACTATGTTGCCCAGCCTGGACTAGAACTCCTGATCACGTGGCCTCAGCTTCCCGAATAGCTGGAACTGCAGGCATGTGCCACTGTGACTGGCTACGAATTCTTAAATGGCTTAAAAATCTTTAAAACTAGTTAGAAGTGGAGTTTTAGGTTTATAAACAAATGCAAACATAAAATAATACTAGCATTATTTGAAACTTAAATTTGTATTTTGTGTGAAAATGTGATCAGAATGAAAAATATCTTTATGTCCTGCAGATCATGGTGGAGCAAAGAATTGGTAAGGAGTAAAAACAAATTATGTAAAAATAACATTGCGTAGATAAAGCTACTTTGTTGACTTACTTCAACTGACACATTTATTAAGCAGAAGTGTTTGCAGAGAATAACTGGGAGTAAATTGCTTCACACATTTCATTACAGGTTGGCAGGACCAAATGATTTCTGACAAGAAGACCAAGAAACTTTCTCTCTGCTAGCCTGAACAGATTATTAAGAAATAACACGAGCTATTTCGTTAAACTTTCTATTGCTTTTCTGACTCCACAAGGAAATTGGGGGTCTACAAAGGTGACTGTCTATGTGCGATTTAATCAGGAGATATAGGGTTTCTCGGGGTGCTTGGATTTTCTTGTTCTTTCTGTGGGGATATCTGAGGTTGAAAGCAGGATGGCTGCGTAATATCTCCAGAAGTTTAATGAGAACAAGACTTATATCAAGGGTATTAAGAAAGCAATTCCAACGGTTCAAAGTAAAAGAGAACAGGACAGTCACAATACCCTAAATTACAAAGAAAAAAATGACAGACTTTATGAATCAAGAATCTAACTTCTTCCCCTTTCCCTCCCAGTCTGCTAGCTTCCCTCCCAGGAGAGCAACCCAGCCCTTGAGCCCGGGAGATTCCCTGCAGAGGGAAAGCGGTCTACTCACAGCGCCTCCTCTTTCTGCGCACACGGTAGGGCCCGCTCCGCAGTCTGCACCCGACCCAGGTGCTTTTCTACCCTCCTGCAATTCTTTGAACCTCCAGGACCAGGGAAGGGTAGTCTGTGATTGGCAGGAGGCACCTCACATGGGCTGAGCTTTCCGCTGCCTGCCCTGCCTCGCTGAGGCGGGGGAGTAACCGGAGGCTGTCAGTTGATTTCTGCTGCTTTGGAATGTGTGACTCTGACAGATGGAAGCACCTTGACAGCCACACTCATCGCTTTCCTGGATCCCTCCTAGGTTTGGGCTTTACTGGAATACAAACTCAGGGATTTTATTTTGATTTGATTTGATTTGATTTGTGTAATTTGATCCTTACTCCTGCTTTTGTGTGTTGAAGGCTTGTTAGTCCTGACCGCTCACAGCGATGCTGATATGTGCTTACCTGTGTAGGGCCATGTCCAGTTTTAGTTTCTATAATTTGCATATGCCAAATTCAGAGAGACAGTAATTGCCCAAGTAATGCTCATACTGTAGGTGGCCCAAAGACTGATAAGGAGCAAGAGATGTGGAAAGAAACAGATTGGGAAAAATTCACGGAGAGAGAGGGCTCAAGTGATTATCTGATGTCCAATTCTTCCCTCCCCTCTTCTTCCCTCCCTTTCTCTTCTCTTCCCTTCCCTTCTTTTTTCCTTCTTCCCTGACTTCTGGAGCCATCATGTGTTATACATGGCACCCAGAACATTATTTTAATGGCTGCATAACCTATCATGGTATACATGCGCCATCGCTTGTTTAACCTGAGTTAGGAATCGGTAACTGCAGTAATGTTAGAATTTACTGAGTGCTTTTACCAATAGACTTGGGAGTTCCTCAAAGGTCAGCATCATCTCTGTTGCAGGTTAGGTTGTTCAGGAGCAGACTTTGAGACAAAATTTAGTGTGCAATATATTTATTAGACAGTGCCCTGAGATTAACACCCATGGCAGGGAGAGGGGAGAAACAGGACTGGGCAGAGGAAGAAGTTGAGCTGCAATATAGATGGGACAGTCTTAAGCAGCCCTCCTCAGGAAACTCTGGAGGAAGATGGCCTGTCAGAGTAGCTCTGACACTGGGCTCCTCTATGATCTGCCCTTCAATGTGGATTACCCTGGGAAGGCAGCTTTCTGTAGCTGAGGCAAGTCCTGAAAGGGGCTGATAACTGGAGGCTGGAGGTTGCAAGTACTCCCAGCAGCAGGGCAACCTCCCACTTCAAGGGGGACTGCATGGAGCACCTCTGTGTCCATCACAAGGCCTTATTCCTCTGCAGCTCTTCAGGGCCTTGTTAGATAAATTATCATATTTCACACAATAGAATTCTGTGCAATGGTTAAAAATGACACCACAGATAAACATTTAATGGTATGGAAATAAGTTCAGTCATTTATTTGACAAATATTTATTGAAAACTTAGGATGTGCCAGGCACTCTTCTAGAGGCTGAAAATGAAAAAGCGGTTTACAAAATAGTTTGTGTAATCTGACACATTTTAATTTTTAAGAAAGTTTACCTATGACTTAAAAAGTTAGAAATAGTATACAGCAAACATTAACCAGAATATATCTGAATGGTAAAATATGGGTGACTTTTACAGTCTTCTATTTTTGCAGTTCATATGTTTACAAAGGATCTATATTATAATTATAAGAACGTACAAGTTATTAAAAACATGTGCTGTCCTGGAAATATTTGTGATAAAGTAGCAAGGAAGCAAACAAGGACATGTGAATTTTCATTCATGTCTTAGGCATTTTATGTTCCATTACCATGATTATATGGGGAGAAAACAAAAAGATTTGAAAATCTTCAAAATAGATAATGTGAACACAAACCCAATAACAAGAGACAAGAGACTAGCTAGGAAAAGGAAGATTAGTTTTCAGATAATAACTGCAACTGAATAGTTGAGGAACGTCAAGTCGTTAATGTATGACAGGCTTATTTTTTTCCAGTTAATTTATTTCTAACTCTCTTCTGCTAATCTTCCTTTCTCTCTGGCTAGGTGGCTCCCTTACCCACATCTTAACCTGATTCCAAGCTCATCAGTGAATTCTCATTACTAATATCTCACTTCTGTTAGAAACACTTAGATATTTTCTTCCTATCACCACAATTCAAACTACAGACTCCAGTAGTTTTGGGGAGAAGTTGAGGTCTTTAATAACCCCCCAACTCCCTGTGTATGTTCATTTGAGAGGGAAATGATGTCGTCCTGTGTGAGTGGCCAGAGAGAGGCTCTATCCCTTTCTGTTGGCCATCCCCACTGTCTAGTTCACCACCACCAGCAGCAGTGTAGACAAGGGCAGTGCACAGGGCTGGCCGAGGAGAGCCCTACTGAACCCCACGAGTTCCTAAGCCTCAGAGGGTGCTCTGCCTCATTCATTGGTTTGCAGTCAGTCTTTGTCCTTCAATCTCACCTACCCTCCAGGACCCCAGTTCTCAGGTGGCTGGGTTCTACCTTCTGCACATCTCAGGAACCTAGAACTAAAGGTGGCATGCTTGTCCCCTTCTCTGTCGGGCCATACCACTGCACCATCACCCTCCAAAGCTTTTCCTTCTCTGTGGTAGTTCCAAGGCAAGTTAGCAGGCCTGGTGACTCATGTGATATTTAACTGGGCTAGAAGAATTGGTCCTACATACACACTCAAACTTTTCAGTCCTCATGAGGTTTTCCTCTGTCATCTTCGGGGCAAGGAACCACTGGAATGTTTGTCTTCTCTGCATTCCCTAACAGATCCCTCACTTCAAATTGACTTTCCTATGGCGAGGTAGGGAGTTATAGTGCAAACTGGGTGAGAAAGAGGCTGCCTCCCTACTGGAAGTTCGGAAAGTGGGTTATTTAATGCCTTTTGCTTTCTCTAGTTACCAATTTCAGCAAAAACACTTCTCAAAACATGATGTTGTCTACAATATTTTTAATATATAGTAAAAGTCCCAGGTACTGCCAAATTTACTCTTCACAATATCCCTTTTTTTTATTATTATACTTTAAGTTTTAGGGTGCATGTGTACAACATGCAGGTTTGTTACATATGTATACATGTGCCATGTTGGTGTACTGCACCCATTAACTCGTCATTTAGCATTAGGTATATCTTCTAATGCTATCCCTCCCCCGTCCCCCCACCCCACAACAGTCCCTGGTGTGTGATGTTCCCCTTCCTGTGTCCATGAGTTCTCATTGTTCAATTCCCATCTATGAGTGAGAACATGCAGTGTTTGGTTTTTTGTCCTTGAGATAGTTTGCTGAGAATGATGGTTTCCAGCTTCATCCATTTCCCTGCAAAGGATATGAACTCATCATTTTTTCTGGCTGCATAGTATTCCACGGTGTATATGTGCCACATTTTCTTAATCCAGTCTATCGTTGGACATTTAGGTTGGTTCCAAGTCTTTATTATTGTGAATAGTGCCGCAATAAACATACGTGTGCATGTGTCTTTATAGCAGCATGATTTATAATCCTTTGGGTATATACCCAGTAATGGGATGGCTGGGTCAAATGGTATTTCTAGTTGTAGATCCCTGAGGAATCGCCACACTGACTTCCACAATGGTTGAACTAGTTTACAGTCCCACCAACAGTGTAAAAGTGTTCTTATTTCTCCACATCCTCTCCAGCACCTGTTGTTTCCTGACTTTTTAATGATTGCCATTCTAACTGGTGTGAGATGGTATCTCCTTGTGGTTTTGATTTGCATTTCTCTGATGGCCAGTGATGATGAGCATTTTTTCATGTGTTTTTTGGCTGCATAAATGTCTTCTTTTGGGAAGTGTCTGTTCATATCCTTCACCCACTTTTTGATGGGGTTGTTTGTTTTTTCCTTGTAAATTTGTTTGAGTTCATTGTAGATTCTGGATATTAGCCCTTTGTCAGATGAGTAGGTTGCAAAAATTGTCTCCCATTCTGTAGGTTGCCTGTTCACTCTGATGGTGGTTTCTTTTGCTGTGCAGAAGCTCTTGAATTTAATTAGATCCCATTTGTCAATTTTGGCTTTTGTTGCCATTGCTTTTGGTGTTTTAGACATGAAGTCCTTGCCCATGCCTATGTCCTGAATGGTATTGCCTAGGTTTTCTTCTAGGGTTTTTATGGTTTTAGGTCTAACATTTATGTCTTTAATCCATCTTGAATTAATTTTTCTGTAAGGTGTAAGGAAGGGATCCAGTTTCAGCTTTCTACATATGGCTAGCCAGTTTTCCCAGCACCGTTTATTAAATAGGGAATCCTTTCCCCATTGCTTGTTTTTCTCAGGTTTGTCAAAGATCAGATAGTTGTAGATATGCGGCGTTATTTCTGAGGGCTCTGTTCTGTTCCATTGATCTATATCTCTGTTTTGGTACCAGTACCATGCTGTTTTGGTTACTGTAGCCTTGTAGTATAGTTTGAAGTCAGATAGCGTGATGCCTCCAGCTTTGTCCTTTTGGCTTAGGATTGACTTGGCAATGCGGGCTCTTTTTTGGTTCCATATGAACTTTAAAGTAGTTTTTTCCAATTCTGTGAAGAAAGTCATTGGTAGCTTGATGGGGATGGCATTGAATCTATAAATTACCTTGGGCAGTATGGCCATTTTCATGATATTGATTCTTCCTACCCATGATCATGGAATGTTCTTCCAGTTGTTTGTATCCTCTTTTATTTCATTGAGCAGTGGTTTGTAGTTCTCCTTGAAGAGGTCCTTCATATCCCTTGTAAGTTGGATTTGTAGGTATTTTATTCTCTTTGAAGCAATTGTGAATGGGAGTTCACTCATGATTTGTTTCTCTGTTTGTCTGTTATTGGTGTATAAGAATGCTTGTGATTTTTGTACATTGATTTTGTATCCTGAGACTTTGCTGAAGTTGCTTATCAGCTTGAGGAGATCTTGGGCTGAGATGATGGGGTTTTCTAGATATACAGTCATGTCGTCTGCAAACAGGGACAATTTGACTTCCTCTTTTCCTAACTGAATACCCTTTATTTCCTTCTCCTGCCTGATTGCCCTGGCCAGAACTTCCAACACTATGTTGAATAGGAGTGGTGAGAGAGGGCATCCCTGTCTTGTGCCCGTTTTCAAAGGGAATGCTTCCAGTTTTTGCCCATTCAGTATGATATTGGCTGTGGGTTTTTCATAGATAGCTCTTATTATTTTGAGATATATCCCATCAATACCTAACTTATTGAGAGTTTTTAGCATGAAGTGTTGTTGAATTTTGTCAAAGGCCTTTTCTGCATCTATTGAGATAATCATGTGGTTTTGGTCTTTGGTTCTATTTATATGCTGGATTACATTTATTGATATGCGTATATTGAACCAGCCTTGCATCCCAGGGATGAAGCCCACTTGATCATGGTGGATAAGCTTTTTGATGTGCTGCTGGATTCAGTTTGCCAGTATTTTATTAAGGATTTTTGCATCGATGTTCATCAAGGATATTGGTCTAAAATTCTCTTTTTTGGTTGTGTCTCTGCCAGGCTTTGGTATCAGGATGATGCTGGCCTCATAAAATGAGTTAGGGAGGATTCCCTCTTTTTCTGTTGACTGGAATAGTTTCAGAAGGAATGGTACCAGCTCCTCTTTGCACCTCTGGTAGAATTCGGCGGTGAATCCATCTGGTCCTGGACTTTTTTTGATTGGTAAGCTATTGATTATTGCCTCAATTTCAGAGCCTGTTATTGGTCTTTTCAGAGATTCAACTTCTTCCTCGTTTAGTCTTGGGATGATGTATGTGTCGAGGAATTTATCCATTTATTGTAGATTTTCTAGTTTATTTGTGTAGAGGTGTTTATAGTATTCTCTGATGGTAGTTTGTATTTCTGTGGGATTGGTGGTGACATCCCCTTTATAATTTTTTATTGCGTCTATTTGATTCTTCTCTCTTTTCTTCTTTATTAGTCTTGCTAGCATTCTATCAATTTTGTTGATCTTTTCAAAAAACCAGCTCCTGGATTCATTAATTTTTTGAAGGGTTTTTTGTGTCTCTATTTCCTTCAGTTCTGCTCTGATCTTAGTTATTTCTTGCCTCCTGCTAGCTTTTGAATGTGTTTGCTCTTGCTTCTCTAGTTCTTTTAATGGTGATGTTAGGGTGTCAATTTTAGATCTTTCCTGCTTCCTCTTGTGGGCATTTAGTGCTATAAATTTCCCTCTACACACTGCTTTGAATGTGTCCCAGAGATTCTGGTATGTTGTGTCTTTGTTCTCATTGGTTTCAAAGAACATCTTTATTTCTGCCTTCATTTCATTATATACCCAGTAGTCATTCAGGAGCAGGTTGTTCAGTTTCCATGTAGTTGAGCGGTTTTGAGTGAGTTTCTTAATCCTGAGTTCTAGTTTGATTGCACTGTGGTCTGAGAGACAGTTTGTTATAATTTCTGTTCTTTCACATTTGCTGAGGAGTGCTTTACTTCCAACTATGTGTTCAGTTTTGGAGTAGGTGTGGTGTGGTGCTGAAAAGAATGTATATTCTGTTGATTTGGGGTGGAGAGTTCTGTAGATGTCTATTAGGTCCGCTTGGTGCAGAGCTGAGTTCAATTCCTGGGTATCCTTGTTAACTTTCTGTCTCATTGATCTGTCTAATGTTGACAGTGGGGTGTTAAAGTCTCCCATTATTATTGTGTGGGAGTCTAAGTCTCTTTGTAGGTCACTAAGGACTTGCTTTATGAATCTGGGTGTTCCTGTATTGGGTGCATATATATTTAGGATAGTTAGCTCTTCTTGTTGAATTGATCCCTTTACCATTATGTAATGGCCTTATTTATCTCTTTTGATCTTTGTTGGTTTAAAGTCTGTTTTATCAGAGACTAGGATTGCAACCCCTGCCTTTTTTTGTTTTCCATTTGCTTGGTAGATCTTCCTCCATCCCTTTATTTTGAGTCTATGTGTGTCCCTGCACGTGAGATGGGTTTCCTGAATACAGCACACTGATGGGTCTTGACTCTTTATCCAATTTTCCAATCTGTGTCTTTTAATTGGAGCATTTAGTCCATTTATATTTAAAGTTAATACTGTTATGTGTGAATTTGATCCTGTCATTATGATGTTAGCTGGTTATTTTGCTCGTTAGTTGATGCAGTTTCTTCCTAGCCTCGATGGTCTTTACAATTTGGCATGTTTTTGCAGTGGTTGGTACCGGTTGTTCCTTTCCATGTTTAGTGCTTCCTGAGGAGCTCTTTTAGGGCAGGCCTGGTGGTAACAAAATCTCTCAGCATTTGCTTGTCTGTAAAGTATTTTATTTCTCCTTCACTTATGAAGCTTAGTTTGGCTGGATATGAAATTCTGGGTTGAAAATTCTTTTCTTTAAAAATGTTGAATATTGGTCCCCACTCTCTTCTGGCTTGTAGAGTTTTTGCTGAGAGATCCGCTATTAGTCTGATGGGCTTCCCTTTGTGGGTAACCTGACCTTTCTGGCTGCCCTTAACATTTTTTCCTTCATTTCAACTTTGGTGAATCTGAGAATTATGTGTCTTGGAGTTGCTCTTCTCGAGGAGTATCTTTGTGGCGTTCTCTGTATTTCCTGAATCTGAATGTTGGCCTGCCTTGCTAGATTGGGGAAGTTCTCCTGGATAATATCCTGCAGAGTGTTTTCCAACTTGGTTCCATTCTCCAAGTCACTTTCAGGTACACCAATCAGATGTAGATTTGGTCTTTTCACATAGTCCCATATTTCTTGGAGGCTTTGTTCATTTCTTTTTATTCTTTTTTCTCTAAACTTCTCTTCTCACTTCATTTGATCTTCCATCACTGACACCCTTTCTTCCAGTTGATCGCATCAGCTACTGAGGCTTCTGCATTTGTCACGTAGCTCTCGTGCCTTGGTTTTCAGCTCCATCAGGTCCTTTAAGGACTTCTCTGCATTGATTATTCTAGTTATCCATTCGTCTAATTTTTTTTCAAAGCTTTTAACTTCTTTGCCGTTGGTTCAAATTTCCTCCTGTGGCTCGGAGTAGTTTGATTGTCTGAAGTCTTCTTCTCTCAACTCATCAAGGTCATTCTCCATCCAGCTTTGTTACATTGCTGGTGAGGAGCTGTGTTCCTTTGGAGGAGGAGAGGCGCTCTGATTTTTAGTTTCCAGTTTTTCTGCTCTGTTTTTTTCCCATCTTTGTGGTTTTATCTACCTTTGGTCTTTGATTATGGTGACGTACAGATGGGTTTTTGGTGTGGATGTCCTTTATGTTTGTTAGTTTTCCTTCTAACAGTCAGGACCCTCAGCTGCAGGTCCATTGGAGTTTGCTAGAGGTCCACTCCAGACCCCATTTGCCTGGGTATCAGCAGCGGTGGCTGCAGAACAGCGGATTTTGGTGAACCGCAAATGCTGCTGCCTGATCATTCCTCTGGAAGTTTTGTCTCAGAGGAGTACCCAGCCGTGTGAGGTGTCAGTCTGCCCCTACTGGGGGGTGCCTCCCAGTTAGGCTACTCGGGGGTCAGGGACCCACTTGAGGAGGCAGTCTGCCCATTCTCAGATCTCAATCTGCCTGCTGGGACAACCACTACTCTCTTCAAAGCTGTCCAGAGAGGGACATTTAAGTCTGCAGAGGTTACTGCTGTCTTTTTGTTTGTCTGTGGCCTGCCCCCAGAGGTGGAGCCTACAGAGGCAGGCAGGCCTCCTTGAGCTGTGGTGGGCTCCACCCTGTTCGAGCTTCCAGCCTGCTTTGTTTACCTAATCAAACAACTAACTCATCAATGGCAGGTGCCCCTCCCCCAGCCTTGCTGCCGCCTTGCCATTTGATCTCGGACTGCTGTGCTAGCAGTGAGCGAGACTCCGTGGGCATAGGACCCTCTGAGCCATGTGCGGGATATAATCTCCTGGTGTGCCGTTTTTTAAGCCAGTTGGAAAGCGCAGTATTAGGGTGGGAGTGACCCAATTTTCCAGGTGCTGTCTGTCACCCGTTTCTTTTTTTTTTTGATGTTTTATAGTCGTCTGTTTCAGTGTGTCTCCCCTTTCTTTGACTAGGAAAGGGAATTTCCAGACCCCTTGCGCTTCCTGTGTGAGGCGATGCCTCGCCCTGCTTCAGCTTGCGCATGGTGCGCTGCACCCACTGTCCTGCGCCTACTATCTGGCACTCCCCAGTGAGATGAAACTGGTACCTCAGTTGGAAATGCAGAAATCACCCGTCTTCTGTGTCACTCACGCTGGGAACTGTAGACCAGAGCTGTTCCTATTCGGCCATCTTGGCTCCTCCTCACTGTGCTCTAGTTTATCTGTCACTGCTATCTCATCTGCTTTCTGTTATCAGAAATCATAAAAATCTCTGGTCTCTTTCTCTTCTGCTTTAAGTATTACAGTGAATTTACTTCCTTTTGTAAATCTTTACTGAAATGTTAGTGGAGTTTGAGGAGGATTTTTTCTTAAAAAATTAAAATACTGAATTAGGCAAACAATTTATTCTGCCTATTGGAATCCCCTAGGTGTTCATAATAATAGGCCACAGTACTACTCTCCATCTGGTATTAGATTGTTACAAATTCTGCAAACAGTATAAAAAAAATAGCCTGAGACTCTAAGGTACTAGCACACTGGCAATATTAGCATATTGTTTGTCTCTTATAAAAACACAGTGTTTTCTGAGTTTTATCCTTACAAATAAAAACACAGAGTTTTCTGAGTTTTATCCTTACAATGTTTCCAACCAAAAAATTGACATGAAGATTGAAGCATAGGCACAGAATCACCTGAAACCATACTTGTCCACATCCCTATACACACACATATATCTAGGCACATGTGAGCAGAAAACACTAACAGACATAATTACACTTACATACTCATAACTTATTCTCAAGAATAGGTGAGTTTGAATAGAGTTATTAAACAGGTTAAATACGTAAGAACAAAAGAAGATAGGTGGAGAAGAGTGGGTGAGTAGAGCTGAGAATGAGTTACTAGTCATGAAATACTACAAGGTTAATTTTAAAAATAAATCATATTCAAGAGACCAAAGACCAAAGAATAAAACAAGGGAATTTGTAAAGAGTAGGGGAAATAGGAGAATAATTCTCCTGGAAGGCTAAGATACTCTTGTTTTTGTTGTTTCTGAGTTTCACAACTATTCTTCTTCTTCCCTGTCATAAGGTGGAACTTAAAAATATTAACCTCGACATGTTTTAAAAATGGCTTTGTTTATATATAATTCATACACCATAAAATTAACCCTTTTGAAGTGTACAATTTAAGTGGTTTTTAGAATATTCACACTTACACAAATATTATCACTACCTAATTCCAGAATATTTTCTTCCCCCCAAAAGAAATCTCATGCCCATTAGCAGTCACTCCCTATTACCTGCTCACTGCAACCCCTGACAACCACTAATCTACCTATGTCCCTATGGATTTTCTTATTCTGGACACTTCATAGAAATGAAATCAAGTGGTTTTCTATGTCTGGCTGCCTTTATTTAACACAATGTTTTCCAGACTTATAAAAGTCATAGTTGTGTATCAGAACCTTATTCCTTTATATGGCTGAATAATAATCCATTGTATAGATATATCACATTTTTTCATTTTGAATTAAAAAATTTTTTGATTGTGGTAAAAACATAAAGTAAAATGTGCCATTATAACCATTTTAAAGTGTACAGTTGAGTAGTGTTAAGTATATTCACATTGTTGTGCAACAGATCTCCACAAAATTTTCATCTTGCAAAACAGAAAGTAAATCCATTAAATTGCTCCCTATTTGCCCTCCTCTTAGTCCCTGGTAATCAGCTTTCTGCTTTCTGTTTCTGTCAATTTGACTACTTTAGATACCTCATATAAGTAGAATCTCATAATATTTGCTTTTTGTGACTGGTTTATTTCATTTAGCATAATGTCCTCCAGGTTCACCTATGATGTAGCAATTGACAAGATTTCCTTCTTTTTTAAGGCTAAATAATATTCCATTGTATGTATAGACTATATTAAAAAATCCATTAATCAGTTGATGGATATTTGGGTTGTTTCTATTTTTTGGTTATTATGAATGCTGCTATGAGCATTCGTGAACAAGATTTTTTGTGGACATATGTTTTCAATTCTCTTGGGTATATACCTATGTATTAGTCAATTTTCATACTGCTGTGAAGAAATACGTGAGACAGGGTAATTTATGAAGAAAAAGAAATTTAATGGACTCACAGTTCCACATGGCTGGGAAAGTCTCACAATTATGGCAGAAAGAGAAGGAGGAGCAAAGTCATCTCTTACATAGTGGCAGGCAAGAGAGCATGTGCAGGGGAACTGCCCTTTATAAAACCATCAAATCTCATGAAAACTCATTCACTATCATGAGAACAGCATGGGAAAATCCTGCCCCCATGATTCAATCACCTTCCACCCGTCCCTCCTGTGATACATTGGGATTATGGGAGCTGCAATTCAAGATGACATTTGAGTGGGGACACAGCCAAACCCTATCAACCTAGGTGTAGAATTACTGTCATGTAATAACACAATGTTTCACTTTTTGAAGAACTGCAAAACTGTTTTCCAAAGTGGCTGCACCATTTTACATTCCACTAGCAGCGTATGAGGGTTCTAATTTCCCTATATCCTCACTGAAACTTACCGTCTTTTTGATTATAGTGAGTGTAAGATGATATCTCATTGTCGTTTTGATTTACATTTTTCTAATGACTAATGGTGTCATATTTATTCTTTAAATGGAAGAAGGGAGGAGAAAGATGAAGGAAAACTGCTCTAGTAGCTTTGCTATTACTGTGAGGAAATCAGGGTGGCTGGGGAATGATTTGAGGGAGGGTAATCAGAATTGCTCAGGTAAAATCCAATATTACTACCGTTGATAATATTACTAAAATAATCAGGACTAACAATGTCCATTACTGTTCTAAGTGTTTTTATAAACATCTCTAACAACACTTGAGGCACTTCATAGCTGTATGAAAAACCTGTTTTGCATAAGCTTCTTTAAAGGATTCCTTCAAGGGAGGTCATGTATTTTGATCTCCAGTTACTCTGACATTGAAACATTTATTTTCCTTTTATATTCGACATAGCCATCCACGTCCTCTTTCAGTTTTACTCCAAAAGGGCCAGTTCTAAGATGCCTCTTTCTCTTCTGCTTGATGGTAAGTTCCACCCAGATTTTTTAGTGTTTACTCCTGGCCTGGGACTACTTCCTTCCACTTAGGGACTAAGAGCTGAATACACTTTTAGCTGATTGGTCTTCTATATTAGATAGCTCTTTCAGTAGACAGCCTGAGTCATTGCATATGAAGCTTGATCTTCATTTTCTCCCTTTTCTTCTTAGACAAACATTTTCAGACAGGTTCACTGTACCATACCAAGCCCATCCCTCTTATCCGTTGCCTCATTCTGAAAGGTCAAAAATGAAGTTGTGAAAGGCATCCCAGAAGGCCAACAAGAAAGGCTGAAGTGGCTGGTGTGGTTGGGTCTCAAATGTTCTGCTTTAAGAAACATGGCAAAACGGTCTGGTCTTAGGATTGAAAACCAGTGAACTAAACTTAATCATTAATTTCATTTGTTGTTGATAACATTTGAGTTTTTGTCACTAAAATATTATTGGTCCATTTATCTTTGGATTATTTTATTCACCCAACTAATTGGTATGACCTTAGTTGTGTAACTCAAACTTTTCCCACAGGTTTACTGCAAGTTTATCAGCTTTCACCTAGTTTTGCCAGCCCACAGTCAACACAGCTCCTTATCTGTTTGAATGAGAACAATTTATTGAGTTTGAGCACATGTACATTTTGTGGACAACTGAAAAAAAAAACCAAGTAAACTTTGAAATTATAAAGTGATTTTTATATAATTTTAAGAAATGAAAGATATAAAAAAATAGAGTTTGTGTGTGATTGTTCAAGCAGAAACTTAATTTATTGTAATTCAACCATATAACAATACCAATTCATCAACTAAACATTGTAAAAACTCAAGTCTCCTGTAATGTTCAAATAGAAATTAAATGGAGGGTTCATATCACAAAAGTAGTATCAGATGATCATCTCAGTTATGATCTTTAGGCAGACACACTCATACCAGACAGACCAAGTTAAGAATTTTTGCATTAAAATACCAGTTGAACTGGTTATACATTCCACATGATGCAGATACTCTTTAAGGGAAAAGGTAATGAGAAAGTGATGTTCTGCCTCACCCACAGGTGTGTACGGAGCAGTATAACATGTTTGAGTTTTGCTGTAGGTTACAAATCAGAAGTGAGCTATCCATAGGAAAAGATTAGAATCACATCCACTAATGGCAGAATATAACAAACAAGGTTAAAGAAGAAACAGCAAAAATAAATAAGAGATATTACAACAATAATCTTTCATTAAGAAAAAAATGCTGTGATAAATTCTTTTTCACACATTTTTTGATTAGACATTTTGTAAATAGCTTGGAGACAGATTTATATGCTTTATAAGAAGTACATATAAATTGCTAGTTGTGATTTGTGGACTTATTCAGAGATTTAGGGGAATGAGTATTGAAATATCAATGCATGCATAAGTATAATGTGTATATTTTTGTATGATTATCCAGA